>NC_000017.11:82161210-82523287 GCF_000001405.40 Homo sapiens | reverse complement strand
AAAGCCACTCATCCCCTTGTGTACTCAGTACGGGTAGAGAGTCCCAGGCCCATGAGAAGTCCAGGATACATGTTCACCTCGGTGGCCACAAGACTCTTCCCTGAGCACAAGTGGGAGGCCCAGCCTCCATCTCACTGCCCTTCTTACTCATCTCTACTGCAAGACTCATTCCTACTGTTCAAAAGGTCTGAATTCGGCCAGGCGTGGTGGCTCACAGCTGTAATCCCAGCACTTTGGGAGGCCAAGGCGGGTGGATCACGAGGTCAGGAGATCAAGACCATCCTGGCCAACATGGTAAAACCCCATCTCTACTAAAAATACAAAAATTAGCTGGGTGTGGTGGCGTGTGCCTGTAATCCCAGCTACTCAGGAGGCTGAGGCACAAGAATTGCTTGAACCAGGGAGGCGGAGGTTGCAGCAAGCCAAGATCACGCCATTGTACTCCAGCCTGGCAACAGAGCGAGACTCCGTCTCAAAAAAATAAGGTCTGAATTCTGGCCCTCACTGAAAGGTCAACTTATCTCCATGTTTATCATGTTAGCATGTGCAGAATTCAATTCAATACAAATCGTTCTGGCTGAATGGTGAGGAGAATTTTCTTTAAAAACTCAAAATCGGGCCAGGCACAGTGGCTCATGCCTGTAATCGCAGCACTTTGGGAGGCCGAGGCGGGCAGATCATGAGGTCAGGAGATCGAGACCATCCTGGCTAGCATGGTGAAACCCCGTCTCTACTAAAAATACAAAAAAAAATTAGCTGGGCGTAGTGGCGGGTGCCTGTAGTCTCAGCTACTCGGGAGGCTGAGGCAGGAGAATGATGTGAACCCGGGAGGCATAGCTTGCAGTGAGCCGAGATTGCGCCACTGCACTCCAGCCTGGGGGACAGAGCAAGGCTCCGTCTCAGGAAAAAAAAAAAAAAATTCCAAAAAACTCAAAATCTTGGCCAGGTATGTGGGAGGAGTGGTGAGATCATAGCTCACACCTGTAATCCCAGCCTGGAATGCAGTGGTGCAATCATAGCTCACAGCAACTTCAAACTCCTGAGCACTGGGGCAGGAGGATCGCTTGTGCCCAGAAGTTTGAGGCTGCAGTGAGCTGTCATCATACCAGTACACTCCAGGCTAGGTCACAGAGACCGTGTCTCAAAATCAAAAACAAACAAACAAAAACTCAAGATCCTCACAGTAGACGCAAACTTCCTTTGTTGTGACACAGTATTTTGTAAAAAAAAAAAAAAAAAAAAAAAAGTCAGATTAAAGGGTAGCCATTAGGACCCTACCATTGATTTCATACCGTCTACAGTATAAACACACATAAATAGCATTTTCATTTGAAAATTTCTTTTTTTTTTTTGAGGCGGAGTCTTCCTCTGTCCCCCAGGCTGGAGTGCAGTGGTGCGATCTCGCTGGCTGCAAGCTCCACCTCCAGGGTTCACATTCTCCTGCCTCAGCCTCCTGAGTAGCTGGGACTACAGGCGCCCGCCACCGCGCCCGGCTAATTTTTTTTTTTTTTTTGTATTTTTAGTAGAGACGGGTTTCACCGTGTTAGCCAGAATGGTCTCGACCTCCTGACCTCGTGATCCACCCGCCTCGGCCTCCCAAAGTGCTGGGATTACAGGCGTGAGCCACCGCGCCCGGCCTGAAAATAACATTCTTTAAAATGCTACTACCAAAGTTTAAGGAATATGCTGGTGCACCTTTCCATGCTAAGAAACAGAACAGCGCATGCACACACACACAACACGCAAGTCAAGAAGAAAAGCAACAGCTCTTACCAGCATCTCCAACAACCGAAAGCGTTAAAAATTCCAATTTGTAGGCCGGGCGCGGTGGCTCACGCCTGTAATCCCAGCACTTTGGGAGGCCGAGGCGGGTGGATCACGAGGTCAGGAGTTCAATACCAGCCTGGCCAAGATGGTGAAACCCCGTCTCTACTAAAAATACAAAAAATTAGCCGGGCGCGGTGGCAGGCGCCTGTAATCCCAGCTACTCGGGAGGCTGGGGCAGGAGAACCACTTGAACTCAAAGGGCGGAGATTGCAGTGAGCCAAGATCGCGCCACTACACTCCAGCCTGAGCGACAAAGTGAGCCTCCGTCTCAAAAAACAAAAAACAAAAAAATTCCAGTTTGTGTGGACAAAGGCTGTACTTGCAATGATCTAGAAGTGAGCCCCTGAGGAATAATTAGCATTTCCTAGACAGCAAGTTTGTGTTTCAAGCAGAGTAAACGATAACTTCATAAAACCACAGGACCAAGCTAAATTGTTTTGTAGCAGGATAGGCAGTTCCCTATCAGGCTGACTTAACACTCTACATGACCTTGTAATAATTCCTAATCAACTGTCTTTTTGTAGAAGTTATGCGAAAAGCATCTAGTTTTCCCTAAATTTTAAGGTTCAGAGCACAGATTGAAAATCCATCATGCTTGAAGCGTCTTCCAATTTGGCCTACTGAAAACACGGCAGGGAAAAAGGAGTCCTTCCTGCTTAAAACACCGCACTCTTGAAACAGCTCACTACTGAAAACGACTGAACAACAACAACAACAAAAGACAACAGACAACCCTTCATCGGTTAAGAGACATAGATTTTAGTTCGGGGCAGTTCCTCCCACCGCACACCGTTTTCACATTTCTGTTCAGCGCGACCTCGCTGCAGAATAGAAACAGCACACGTGAACTCCCCGCACGCACAGAACCCAGAAACCTTGACCCGCGCGCGCAGCCGCCCGCAGCCCCGGCTCCAGGAAGGGGGAAAGACGGGGGGCTGCACCTGCCAGGAAGGGGACCGGGAGGACGGGGGTCGGGGCCAGGGGCTGTCGAGGGTTGGGATCCAGCCGGGGCCTGGGTCCCGCTGGTGGTCCCGGCTGTGGGAGAGTCGGGCCCCCGCTCGTGGGTGGTCCCGGGCCTGGGCGCGTGTCCCGTCCCGTCCTGCCAGGCGCTGCAGGCCGCAGACCCCGCCCGCCCCGCCCCGAGGCCACTCACACGCGCGGCAGCTGCAGCGGCGGCGCCCCGCGCCTCTGGAACACGCCGTCCACGAATACCCCGTTCTTGCCCAAGCAGCGCAGGTAGAAGTCGCCGCCGGCGTCGGGCCTGGGCTGCGCGGGCGGCAGCTCCGGAGCGGCCCCGCCATGGCCGCCGCCGCCCGGGGGCGTGAAGATCTCGAGGTGGCGCCGGGAGATGAAGCTCGAGTGGCCCATGCTCACGTCCACCGAGCCCTGCGACGAGTTGCGGCCGATGGTCACCGAGCGCTTCTTCATCAGATACTCGAACTCGCGGCCCTCCAGGCGCGCCACGGCCCAGCCGCCCGGCGGGGACCCGCCGCCCCCGGCCCCGCCGCCCCCGGCCCCGCCGCCCGCGGGTGGCGTGCCCGCGCCCGAGAGCGCCGCCGCGGCCGCCGCCATGGGCCTGCGTGAGGGCCCCCGGGCCGCTCCGCGCGGGCGCCGGTGGCGCGGGCCGAGGCCCAGGCCGCGCGGGTCGTCGGCCGCCGCGCACCGGAGCTGAGGGAGGGGGCCGAGCGGAGGCCGCCGGCCGGCGAGCGAGCGAGCGGCGGCGAGGGGCGGGAGCACGCGCGGCCGCGCCACCGAGCCGGCACGCCGGGCCCGCCCCTCGCTGACGGACGGTTACGCCGGCCAATGGGGGCGGCGTACGGCAGTGGGGCTACCGAAGCAGGCCAATGGCAAGACACGTCGCACCAAGCTGCCGGCACGTCCGGCGGCGACGCCCGACGCAGTCCCGACTCCGGGCGCCGCGGAAAACCCGGGGCGGACAGTCGGCAGCCCGCGCGGGATCGGGGCTGGCGCGGGGTTGGCGCGGGCGCGGGAGCTCGGGGGTCTGAGCCCGGCCTGGCAGCGCCTTAGGCGCGGCGGGCGGGACCAGGCCCAAGGTCACAGCGGGCGCCAGGCACGCAGCGGCCCCCAACCCGGCGTGGACGCCGGGGTGCGGATAGGCGGCGGCCCGCGAGCCCAGGCCCGGCCGCCGAGCGGCCTTTTCCCCGCGAGGTGCGGGAATATCGCGGAGGGGCCGCGTGCCGCGTGGCCTCAGACCCAGGGGACCCGGTGACACGTTCGTTTTTAACCAGCAGCTCCAGGACTGGATGTCGTTATCTTTCCTGGCTAGCGAGTCATGTCATTGTGTCAAAACTGTCCTGCAAAATACGCAGAAGTTCTGAATCACATTTACTTAACTGTCGTCAGCACACAGTTTAAAAATATACACGAGGCCGGGCGCGGTGGCTCACGCCTGTAAGCCCAGCACTTTGGGAGGCCGAGGCGAGCGGATCACCTGAGGTCAGGAGTTCGAGACCAGCCTAGCCAACATGGTGAAATCCCAGCTCTACTAAAAATACAAAAAAAAAAAAAAAAATAGCCGGGTGTGGTGGTGCACACCTGTAGTCCTAGCTACTCAGGAGGCTGAGGCAGGAGAATTGCTTAAACCTGGGAGGCGGAGGCAGGAGAATTGCTTCAACCTGGGAGGTGGAGGTTGCAGTAAGCCGAGATCGCGTCACTGCACTTCAGTCTGGGCAACAAGAGTGAAACTACGTCTCATATGTATATATATGAACTATATATATGTGAACTATATATATATATATGAACTATATATATATGAACTATATATATATGAACTATATATATGAACTATATACATATATGAACTATATATATATGAACTATATATATATGAACTCTCATGAACGAATAGTTAATATCTTAACCAATCTGATACTAAGTTTTTAAAAAAAGAATTTCGCCACCGTTTAAAAAATTACAAGATCCCATCTAAATCAAGATGATCAATAGTCCAGATGTTCACTAATCAATGAAACTCCTAACATTAAAAAGAAAAAATCCTGTGGCCGGGCGCGGTGGCTCACACCTGTAATCCCAGTGCTTTGGGAAGCCGAGGCGGGTGGATCACAAGGTCAGGAGTTCAAGACCAGCCTGCCCAACATAGTAAAAGCCCGTCTCTACTAAAAATACAAAAATTAGCCAGGCATGGTGGGGCGTGCCTGCAGTCCCAGCTACTTGGGAGGCTGAGGCAGTAGAATCGCTCGAACCTGGGAGGCGGAGGTTGTGGTGAGCAGACATCACGCCACTGCCCTCCAGCCTGGGTGACAGAGGAGACTCCGTCTCAAAAAAAAAAAAAAAAAAAAAAATTGGGAAAAGAAAGAAAAAATCCTGTAAATGTATCTCACGGGTACTTAACCAGTTGTGGAGACGTTCAAGGTTCAGGATCATGAAAAGTCTACAACCTCTTAAACAGGAAGAATTCCGTGGGAAGTCAGTGTCAGCCCTAGAAACCATGGCTTGGGCTCCAAGCGCGCATCTTCGCAAAACTGAAATAGCAACAAATGGTACCAATTTAGTCTCTGCTGGGGAGGGACTGCCCCCTGAATTGTCTCACTTCTTTCAGCATGGTGGTTCCTGCAGGGTGTGTGAGGAGAAGATCCTATTATAGCCTATATATACAGGTTATAGCAAACACCCCAGGGTTCCTCTATTTGCTGCTTGTTAAATAGCAAAGAACAATTAGAAGAGAGAAATGATATAATTTAGGTACAGAGGCCTGGCACGGTGGCTCATGACTGAATCCCAACACTTTGGGAGGCCGAGGTGGGTGGATCACTTGAGGTTAGAAGTTGGAGACCAGCCTGGCCAACATGGTGAATCCACATATCTACTAAAAATACAAATATTAGCTGGGTGTGGTGGCACGTGCCTATAATCCCAGCTACTTGAGAGGCTGAGGCAGGAGAATCGCTTAAACGCGGGAGGCGGAAATTGCAGTAAGCAAGCGGAGATTGCACCACTGCATTCCAGCCTGGGTGACAAAGCCAGACTCTGTCTCGAAAATAATCATCATCATCATAATGTAGGTACAAAAGGAGTTTAGTGTGAGTAGAAAGACTTGAGACTGGACTTAAACGGAGCAGGATAAAGTGGAGATCCTGAACAGGAACCACCAACTGGGGGCCCCAGGCAGGAGACATCAGGGTCAGTTCATGCATTTTTATTCCTTCAATGTGTAAAAACTTTTTCTAAAAGAAATGGAAATTAATGTGTCCCTCTGAATGTAACATTTACATGTCTTTTTTTTTTTTTTTTTTTTTTTTGAGTGGAGTTTTGCCCTTGTTGCCCAGGCTGGAGTGCAATGGTGCGATCTTGGCTCACTGCAACCTCCACCTCCCAGGTTCAAGTGATTCTCCTGCCTCAGCCTCCCAAGTAGCTGGGATTACAGGTGCTCACCACCACGCCTGGCTAATTTTGTATTTTTAGTAGACGAGGTTTCACCCTGTTGGCCAGGATTGTCTCGATCTATTGACCTCGTGATCCACTTGCCTGGGCCTCCCAAAGTGCTGGGATTACAGGCGTGAGCCACCATGCCCGACCTACATTTACATGTCTTAATTGCCATATATGTGTTTGTAATTATAGTACAAATTCCTACAGGTGCAAAGTGTTCTGGCAGGATTTCCTAGACAGAAAAAATTGTTTCATTAAATATTCACTTATATATTAGAGGAATTTTTTTTTCTTTTCCTTTTTTTTTTTTTTTTGAGACAGTCTCACCCTGTTGCCCAGGCTGGAGTGCGGTGGCCCAATCTCTACTCACTGTAACCTCCGCCTCCTGGGTTCAAGCGATTCTCCTGCCTCAGCCTCCCGAGTAGCTGGGATTACAGGCGTGTGCCACCACACCCAGCTAATTTTTATATTTTTAGTAGAGACGGGTTTTCACCATATTGGCCAGGCTGGTCTCGAACTCCTGACCTCCAGTGATCCGCCCGCCTTGGCCTCCCAAAGTGCCAGGATTACAGGTGTAAGCCACCGTGCCCGGCCATATTAGAGGGATTTTAGGGGACATTGAGATGACTATGGAAATGATAAATAGGAAGTGTATCATTTAACCAAAAAAAAAAAAAAAAAACAGGCCGGGTGTGGTGGCTCACACATGTAATCTCAGCACTTTTGGGAGGCCGAGGCAGGCGGATCACTAAAGGTCAGGAATTCAAGACCAGCCTGCCCAACATGGTGAAACCCTGTCTCTACTAAAAATACAAAAAATCAGCTGGGCGTGGTGGCGCATGCTTGTAATCCCAGCTACTCAGGAGGCTGAGGCAGGAGAATTGCTTTAACTAGGAGGCGGTGGTTGCGGTGAGCCAAGATCGTGCCACCGCACTCCAGCCTGGGTGACAGAGTGAGACTTTGTCTCAAAAAAAAAAGAAAAGAAAAAAAGAACAACAAAAAAAGATGGGCAGGCCAGGCATGGTGGCTCACACCTGTAATCCCAGCACTGTGGGAGGCCCAGGTGGGCAGATCACAAGGTCAATAGATGGAGACCATCCTGGCCAATATGGTGAAACCCCATCTCCACTAAAAATACAAAAATTGGCCGGGCACAGTGGTTCACGCCTGTAATCCCAGCACTTTGGGAGGCCGAGGCGGGCGGATCATGAGGTCAGGAGATCGAGGTCATCCTGGCTAACACGGTGAAACCTTGTCTCTTTTAAAAATACAAAAAATTAGCCGGGTGTGGTGGCAGGTGCCTGTAGTCCCAGCTACTTGGGAGGCTGAGGCAGGAGAATGGCGTGAACCTGGGAGGCGGAGCTTGCAGTGAGCTGAGATCTCACCACTGCACTCCAGCCTGGGCAACAAAGCAAGACTCTGTCTCAAACAAGAACAAAAACAAAAACAAAAATTAGGGCCAGGTGCAGTGGCTCACGCCTATAATTCCAGCACTTTGGGAGGCCGAGGCAGGCAGATCACCTGAGGTTGGGAGTTCAAGACCAGCCTGACCAACACAGAGAAACCCTGTCTGTACTAAAAATATACCGGGCGTGGTGGTGGGATTACAGGTGTGTGCACCACTATGCCCAGCTAATTTTTGAATTTTTTCAGAGATGGGGTTTTGCAATATTGCCCATGCTGGTGTCGAAGTCCTGAGCTCCGGCGATCCATCCGCCTCAGCCTCCTCAAGCGCTGGGATTACAGGGGTGAGCCACCGTGCCCAGCCTGTAAATTTTTATTAAGACCAAAAAATTGAATTACATTGGAGACATATCTTTTAATAACATGTCTGGAGCTTTTCCCCGCTGACAATTCACTCATGTATCCACTGATGAAAAGTGCTTATTGCTATAATGAGGCAGGTGTATATAAATATTATCCCTGTTATTTCATTAATGTATACATAGAAATAAATAGAACGAGAGGAAGTTTTATTACAACAACCTAACTCTGATTTTTGAACCTCTTTTGATTGCTGCTGTTACAAGGGAGTTGAAAAGCGATCGCAGAGGACACAGGACTGGGATACACGGCAGCAAAGGTAAAGCATCTTGGTCCAACCTGGGCACTCAGTTGAGACCCCAGAAAGGGAACACCTTAGGAGTAAGGGCTTTAGGATTAGGGGGTGTGTAAACTTTACTAGTGTTAAGTTCACCAGTATAAAGAAAAAGCTAAAATATATGAAATGGAGAATTTATCGAATTATCTAAACACCAAACTGGAAACAGCTGAAGACAAGATTTTTCATCTCAAAGTTACATCGGTTGAAATAATCTGAATCAAAATTCCAAGATAAAAAGAAAGAAGGAAAATGAGAAAAAAAGAAAACAGAAATGAATATTAGAGACCTGTGGGACAAGATCAAATGGTTGAATAAATGTGAAATTTGACTGCCAAGAAGTAGGGAGAAAGAAAATAGAGCAGAGGAAATATTTAAAGAGATAATATGTAAGAAGTTTATACATTGGTGAAAATATACCAACCCACAGATCCAAACAGCTCAGCAAACTCCCAAAAAGATACAGTCAAAGAAAAATACATAAAAGCATATCATAGTCCAACTGCTGAAAACCAACGATAATGAGAAAAGTCCTAAAAAGAGGCAGACTTTAAAAGGTACATTACATTCGGCCGGGCGCGGTGGCTCACGCCTATAATCCCAGCACTTTGGGAGGCCGAGGCGGGTGGATCACCTGAGGTCAGGAGTTCAAGACCAGCCTGACCAACATGGAAAAACCCTGTCTCTACTAAAAATACAAAATTAGCCGGGCCTGGTGGTGCATGCCTGTAATCCCAGCTATTTGGGAGGCTGAGACAGGAGAATCGCTTGAACCTGGGAGGCAGAGGTTGCAGTGAGCCGAGATCGCACCATTGCACTCCAGTCTGGTCAAAAAGAGGGAAACTCCGTCTGAAAAAAAAAAAGGTACAATACATTCATGGAGGCATCAATAAGAATGACAGCTGACTTCTCATCGAAAGCCATGGAAGCCAGAAAACAAAGAACTGACATCCGTAAAATGCTAAGAGTAAAACAAAGTCATTGAGATCAGAATTGAATATCTAACAAAAATGTTCTTCAAAAATTGGCTGGGCATGGCTGGGCGCGCCTGGGATTACGCCTGTAATCCCAGCACTTTGGGAGGCCAAGGCGGGTGGATCATGAGGTCAGGAGATAGAGGCCATCCTGGCTAACATGGTGAAACCCCGTCTCTACTAAAAACACACAAAAAAATTAGCCGGGCGTAGTGGTGGGTGCCTGTAGTCCCAGCTACTCGGGAGGCTGAGGCAGGAGAATGGTGTGAACCCAGGAGGCAGAGCTTGCAGTGAGCCGAGATCGCACCACTGAACTCCAGCCTGGGCAACAGTGCAAAACTCCATCTCAAAAATAAAAATAAAAAAAATTGGCTAGGCGCAGTGGCCTTTAATCCCAGCACTTTGGGAGGCCGAGGTGGGTGGATCACCTGAGGTCAAGAGTTCGAGACCAGCTTGCCCAACATGGTGAAACTCCATCTCTACTAAAAATACAAAAATTAGCCAGGCGTGGTGGTGCACACCTGTAACCCCAGCTATTTGGGAAGCTGAGGCAGGAGAATCACTTGAACCTGGGAGGCGGAGGTTGCAGTGAGCAGAGATTGTGCCACTGCACTCTAGTCTGGGCGACAAGAGCAAAACTCTGCCTCAAAAAAAATAAAAATTAAGGAAAGGTGGCCAGGTGCAGTGGCTCACTCCTGTAATCCTAGCACTTTGGGAGGCTGAGGTGAGAGGATCACCTAAGCTCAGGAGTTGAAGACCAGCCTGGGCAACATAGTGAGACCTCGTCTCTATTAAAAAGAAAAAAGAAAAAATTAAGGAACGGTAATGAAAGAAATTTTCAGATCAACAAAAGCTGAAAATTATCACCAGAAGATTCAGCCTTCAAAAAAATACTAACAGAAATTATTATATAATTTATTCCTTTTTTTGTTTTTTAATTTATTTTTTATCATGGAGTCTCGCTCTTGTCGCCCAGGCTGGAGTGCAATGGCATGATCTCGACTCACTGCAACCTCCGCCTCCCAGGTTCAAGCGATTCTCCTGCCTCAGCCTCCTGAGTAGCTGGGATTACAGGCACCTGCCACCACGCCTGGCTAATTTTTGTGTTTTTAGTAGAGACAGGGTTTCACCATGTTGGTCAGGCTGGTCTCAAACTCCTGACCTCGTGATCTGCCCGCCTCGGCCTCCCAAAGTGCTGGGAGTACAGGCATGAGCCACCGCACCCAGCCCTTTTATTTTTTTTTTGAGACAAGAGTCTCGCTCTGTTGCCCAGGCTGGAGTGCAGTGGCTCACTCGGCTGACTGCAAGCTCTGCCTCCTGGGTTCACGCCATTCTCCTGCGTCAGCCTCCCGTAGCTGGGACTACAGGCGCCTGCCACCACGCCCAGCTAATTTTTTTTTTGTATTTTTAGTAGAGACGGGGTTTCACCATGTTAGCCAGGATGGTCTCAATATCCTGACCTCGTGATCCGCTCGCCTCGGCCTCCCAAAGTGCTGGGATTACAGACGTGAGCCACTACACCTGGCCTATTTTTTATTTTTTATAGGGACGAGGTCTCACTATGTTGCCCAAGCTGGTCTAGAGTGATCCTTCCACCTTAGCCTCCCAAAGTGCTGGGATTACAGGCATGAGCCACCACGGCCAGCCAACAAACAGAAATGCTTCAGACCAGAGGAAAATGATCTCCAGTGGAATCCCAGTGCTGCACCAAGAAATAAAGAACGCCTGGGAAAGTGGCTATGTGGGTAACTATAAAAGAGTTTTGCTGTTGTTGTTGTTTTTGAGATGGAGTCTCGCTCTGTTGCCAGGCTGGAGTGCAGTGGTGCGATCTCAGTTCACTGCAACCTCTGCCTCCCGAGTTCAAGCAATTCTCCTGCCTCAGCCTCCCAAGTAGCTGGGACTACAGTTGCACGCCACCGTGCCTAGGTAATTTTTGTATTTTTAGTAGAGACGTGGTTTCACCATGTTGGCCAGGATGGTCTGGATCTCTTGACCTTGTGATCTGCCCACCTTGGCCTCCCAAAGTGCTGGGATTACAGGTATGAGCCACCGTGCCCAGCCAAAAATAATTTATTTAGACCAGGCACAGTGGCTCATGCCTATAATCTTGGCACTTTGGTAGGCCGAGGCAGGAGGATTGCTTGAGCCCAGGACTTTGAGACCAGCCTGGACAACATAGTGAGATCCCATTTCTAAAAAAATAGAAAGCCAGGTGTGGTGGCGTGTGCCTGTGAGGCAGAAGAATAGGGGACGGAGGCAGGGAACCTAAGGCTGATTCATGCTGACTTCCTAGAACTAAATCAAAAGTAAAACCCCAACTTCCCACACCTGAGTAACAAAAGGACCAGAGGCTACTCCCTTTGCAAACCCTTCCCTGCTTTCTGCGTGGCAGATGGAAAATTGGAAGTCCTTCTGATTGGTTGCTTTCCGAAACAGATCAAACTGATCACAGGCTGCTACTTCATTTGCGTGGAGTGTACACCAAGTGGCCAATGGAGAACCTCTAAGGGGTACTGGACCCCAGAAGATTCTGTAACCACGGCCCTCGAGCTGCTACTTGGGCGCCCCCACCCTGTGGAGTGTACTTTCATTTTCAATCAACGTCTGCTTCATTCTATCCTTGCTTTGCTGTGCGTTTTGTCCGATTCTTTGTTCAAAACGCCAAGAACCTGGACAACCACAGGTAACACCTGTAATCCCAGCTACTCAGGAGGCTGAGGCAGGAGGATCACTTGAGCCTTAGAGGTGGAGACTGCAGTGAACAGTGATCACACCACTGCACTCCAGCCTGGGTGACAAAGCAACACTGTCTCAAATAATAATAATAATAGGCTGGGCACAGTGGCTCACACCTGTAATCCCAGCACTTTGGGAGGCCGAGGCAGGTGGATCATTTGAGGTCAGGAGTTCAAGACCAGCCTGCCCAACGTGGTGAAACCCCATCTCTACTAAAAATACAAACATTAGCTGGGTGTGATGGCGGGCACCTGTAATCCCAGCTACTTGGGAGGCTCAAGCAGGAGAATCACTTGAACCTCGGAGGCGGAGGCTGCAGTGAACCCAGTTCATGCCACTGCACTCCAGCCTGGGCGACAGAGTGAGACTCCGTCTCAAAAATAATAATAATAATAATTGGCCATACGGCGCCCCATGCCTGTAATCTCAGTACTTTGGGAGGCCAAGGTGTGTGGATTGTTTAAGTTTAGGAGTTTGAGACCAGCCTGGGCAACATGGCGAAATGCCATCTCTACTAAAAAAAAAAAAAAAAAAAAATTGCTGGGCATGGTGGCAGCGCCTGTGGTCCCAGCTGCTCGGGAGGCTGAGGTGGGAGGGACGATCGCTGGAATGTGGGAAGTGAAGGCTGCATTGAGCCGAGATCGCACCACTATACTCCAGCCTGGTCACAGAGCAAGATCCTGTCTCAAAAAATAAAAAATAAAATAAAAATAATTATTTTAAAGATTACTGAATGAATGCTTCAAGCAAAAAAAAAATTTTTTTTTTTTTTTGAGACAGAGTCTCACTCTGTTACCCAGGCTGGAGCACAGTGGCACGACCTGGGCTCACTGCAACCTCGGCCTCCTGGGTTCAAGCGATTCTCCTGCCTCGGCGTCCCGAGTAGCTGGGACTACAGGCGCGCGCCACCACACCCAGCTAATTTTTTGGTATTTTTAGTAAAGACGGTGTTTCACCCAGTTAGCCAGAATGATCTCAATCTCCTGACCTCGTGGTCCACCCGCCTCGGCCTCCCAAAGTGCTGGGATTACAGGCGTGAGCCACCGCACCCGGCCCATTATTATTATTTTAGACAGTCTCACTCTGTCACCCAGGCTGGAGTGCAGTGGTGCAATCATGGCTCACTGCAGCCTGCGCCTCCTGGGCTCAAGTGATCCTCCTACCTCAGCTTCCTGAATAGCTAGGACTATAGGAGCACACCACCATACCCAGCTAATTTTTGTATTTTTTTTTTTGTAGAGACAGGATCTTGGTATGTTGTCCAGGTCTTGAACTCGTAGGCTCCAGTGATCTACCTGCTTCACCCTCCCAAAGTGCCAGGATTATAGGCATAAGCCACAGTGCCTGGCCTTATTATTATTTTTTAGCAGAGGGTCTCTCTCTCTTACCAAGGCTGGAATGCAGTGGCATGGTAATAGCTCACTGTATCCTAGAACTCCTGGGCTCAAGCCTGCCAAGTAGCTGGGACCACAAGTGCCCACCATATGCCCAGCTATTTTTAAAATTTTTCGTAGAGGCCGGGAGCGGCGGCCCACGCCTGTAATCCCAGCACTTTGGGAGGCCAAGGCGGGCGGATCACGAGGTCAGGAGATTGAGACCATCCTGGCTAACACGGTGAAACCCCGTCTCTACTAAAAAATACAAAAATATTAGCCGGGCATGGTGGCAGGTGCCTGTAGTCCCAGCTACTCAGGAGGCTGAGGCAGGAGAATGGCGTGAACCCGGGAGGCGGAGCTTGCAGTGAGCCGAGATTGCGCCACTGCACTCCAGCCTGGGTGACAGAGCCAGACTTCCTCTCAAAAAAAAAAAAAAAAAAAATTTTGTAGAGATGGGGTCTCACTATATTGCCCAGGCTGGTCTTGAACTCCTGTGCTCAAGCAATCCTCCCGCCTCAGTCTCCCAAAGTAATGCTGGGATTATAGGTATGAGCCACCACACCTGGACTACTTTTTTTTTTTTTTTTTAATTGAGACAGAGTCTTGCTCTGTCACCCAGGCTGGAGTGCAGTGGCGCAATATCGGCTCACTGCAACCTCTGCCTCCCGGGTTCAAGTGATTCTCCTGCCTCAGCCTCCCGAGTAGCTGGGACTACAGGGGCCCGCCACAGTGCCCGGCTAATTGTTTTATATTTTTAGTAGAGATGAGGTTTCACCATGTTAGCCAGGATGGTCTATCTCCTGACCTCGTGATCTGCCTGCCTTGGCCTCCCAAAGTGCTGGGATTACAGGTGTGAGCCACTGTGCCCGGCCACCAGCTCATTTTTTTGTTTTTGTTTTTGTTGTTGTTGTTGTTTGTTTTTTGTTTGTTTTTGTTTTTGTTTTGAGAGGGAGTCTCGCTCTGTCGCCCAGGCTGGAGTGCAGTGGTGTGATCTCGGCTCACTGCAAGCTCTACCTCCCAGGTTCACGCCGTTCTCCTGCCTCATCCTCCCGAGTAGCTGGGACTACAGGTGCCCTCCACCACGCCCGGCTAATTTTTTGTATTTTTAGTAGAGACGGGGTTTCACCGTGTTAGCCAGGATGGTCTCGATCTCCTGACCTCGTGATCCACCTGCCTTGGCCTCCCAAAGTGCTGGGATTACAGGCGTGAGCCACTGCATCCGGCCATTTTTTTGTATTTTTAGTAGAGATGGAGTTTCACCGTATTAGCCAGGATGGTCTTGATCTCCTGACCTTGTGATCCCCCCGCCTCAGTCTCCCAAAGTACAGCACCCAATTTTAAGAGTTAATGTAAAGCTATAGTAATTAAAATTGTGGAATACTGGTAAAAGAATGGTATAATAATACTGGTATAAGAACTAGCTCAGTGAGCCCAGGCACAGGGGCTCATGCCTGTAATCCCAGCACTTTGGTAGGCTGAGGCAGGTGGATCACGAGGTCAGGAGTTCAAGACCAGCCTGACCAACATGGTGAAACCCCGTCTCTACTAAAAATACAAAAATTAGCCAGGCGTGGTGGTGCACGCCGGTAATCCCAGCTACTCAGGTGGCTGAAGCAGGAGAATCGCTTGAACCTGGGAGGGGGAGGTCGCAGTGAGCCGAGATTGCGCCATTGCACTCTAGCCTGGGCGACAGAGTGGGACTCTGTCTCAAAAAAAAAAAAAAAGAAAGAAAGAAAAAAAGAAAAGAACTAGATCAGTGGAACAGCATGAAAAATCCAGAAATAGACCCCCATATACAGAGTCAATTGATTTTTGACAATAGTGCCAAGGTTGTTCAATAGGGAAAGCAAAGTCTGTTGAATAAACAGTACAGGGTATCTGATTACCAATGTTGCCCAATGCCAGGGGTTCGGCCAAGTCCAGTTGCTCACCAAATGGAAAGCCAATCATGGAGACAACGAGTATTGCCAGGGAAGAAGGCTTTATTGCAAGTGATGTCGTGATGTCAGCAGGTGACGGGAGACCAGTCTCAAATCCACTTCCCCAACCCACTGAAGTTAGGGTTTTAGATAGCAGGGAAGGAAGGTAACTATGGGTGGGAAATTAGGAAGTAGGGAGGAGTAAGGAAGAAGAGGTGGTCAACAGGCTGCTGGGGGTGGTCGGATTTAGTGTTCTGGAAAGTTTCAGCTCCCCGATACTATCTGGAAGGCCTGAGGATTGGATTCCAAAGAAAAGAACTCAGATAAAACAAATGTTAATTTTCTCAAGCTTCAAGACCAAGAGGGTCAATGTCTATGCTTAGCCAAACAAAACAAAACAAAACACTGTAAACAGTTCTATAGGAAAATTGGGCTTGTTTTAACAATAATAATAACAACAAAAGCACTAATCCCTGCCTTATGCCATACATAAAAATAAAATTCAGATGGACCTATATGCAAAGGCTAAAATTATCAAGCTCCCAAAAATAAAACATAGGAGACTGTTGGTTGGGCATGGTGGCTCACACCTGTAATCCCAGCACTTTGGGGAGGCCAAGGTGGGCGGATCACCTGAGGTCAAGAGTTCAAGACCAGCCTGGCCAACATGGTGAAACCTCATCTCTATAAAAATATAAAAATTAGCTGGGCATGATGGCGGGTGCCTGTAATTCCAGCTACTTGGGAGGCTGAGGCAGGAGAATCGCTTGAACCTGGGAGGTGAAGTTAGCAGTGAGCTGAAATCGCGCCATTGCAATCCAGCCTGGGTGACAGGGAGAGACTCCATCTCTAAAAAAGTAAAAAGTTTTTTAAAAATTAAAAAAAAAACATAGGAGACTGTCTTTGTTCCTTTGAGATAGGAAAAATTTTCTTAAGACCTAAAAAGTGATAACTATAAAAGAAAAAAATGATAATTTTATAAGAAAAAATACATTTTGCTCATCAAAACAATGAAAAATATGAAAACATGAGCCACACATTGAGAAAATATTCACAGTACATGTATCTGACAAAAGTATCTAAGCGGAATTTTTAAAAACTCCTGTAACTCCGTAATGAAAAGACAACTTAATTTTCAAAATAGGCAAGAGACTTGAAAAGCTACCTCACAAGAGAATATATATAAATAGCCAATAAACACAAAAGAAGATGTTCAATGTCATTAGTCATCAGGGAAATGCAAATTAAAACCACAGGAAGGCCAGGTGCAGTGGAGCCAGTCAGTAGTTCCAGCTACTCGGGAGGATGAGGTGGGAGGATCACTGAGGCCAGTTCAAGCCTGCAGTGAGCTATGATTGTGCCACTGCACTCTAGCCTGGGCAGCAGAGTGAGACCTCGTCTCTTAGAAAACAAAACAAACAATAAAATAAAACAGGCCGGGCGCGGTGGCTCACATATGTAATCCCAGCACTTTGGGAGGCCAAGGTGGGCGGATTACGAGGTCAGGAGTTTGAAACCAGCCTGACCAACATAGTGAAACCCTGTCTCTACTAAAAATACAAAAATTAGCTGGTCGTGGTGGTGCGTGCCTGTAGTCCCAGCTACTCAGGAGGCTGAGGGAGAAAAATTGCTTGAACCCAGGAGGTGGAGGTTGTGGTGAGCTGAGATCGTGCCACTGCACTCCAGCCTGGGTGACAGAGCAAGACTCTATCTCAAAAACAAAATAATAATAATAATAATAATAATAGGGCCAGGTGCAGTAGCTCACGCCTGTAATCCCAACACTTTGGGAGGCCAAGGCAGGCAGATCATGAGGTCAGGAGATTTAGACCCTCTTGGCTAATACGGTGAAACCCCATCTCTACTAAAAATACAAAAAATTAGCTGGCTGCGTTGGCACATGCCTGTAGTCCCAGCTACCCCAGAGGCTGAGGCAGGAGAATCGCTTGAACCTGGGAGGCAGAGGTTGCAGTGAGCCGAGATGGCACCACTGCACTCCAGCCTGGGCGACAGAGTGAGACTCTGTCTCAAAATAATAATAATAATAATAATAATAATAATAATAATAATAATAATAAATAAAATAAAATAAAAAATAGGCTGGGTGCGGTGGCTCACGCCTGTAATCCCAGCACTTTGGGAGGCCGAGGCAGGTGGACCACCTGAGGTCAGGAGTTTGAGACCAGCCTACCCAACATGGCAAAACCTCATCTCTACTAAAAACACAAAAATTAGCTGGGCACGGTGGCAGGCACCTGTAATCCCAGCTACTTGGGAGGCCGAGGCAAGATAATCGCTTGAACCCGGGAGGCAGAGGTTGCAGTGAGTTGAGATCACGCCATTGCACTCCAGCCTGGGTGGCAACAGAGCGAGACTCCATCTCAAAAAAAAAAAAATGAGCAAAAAGCCCTCACCAGTAACCAGGGCCATGCCCTTGAACTTCCCAGCCTGCAGAACCACGAGCTACATCAACCTCTTTTCTTTATAAACTACCCAGTCTCCAGTATTGTTATAGCAACACAAAATGGACTAAGTCAGCCATCCATCTCAAAAAAATAAATACATAAAAATTAAAAAGTTAAAAATTGGTAAATGTTTTATTTTTATTTCTTTATTTATTTATTTGAGATGGAGTTTTGCTCTTGTTGCCCTGGCTGGAGTGCAAGGACATGACCTTGGCTCACTGCAACCTCTGCTTCCTGGGATCAAGCGACTCTCCTGCCTCAGCCTCCTATTACAGGCGCCGCCACCACAGCCAGCTAATTTCTTTTTTTGTATTTTTAGTAGAAACAGGGTTTTACCACGTTGACCAGGCTGCTCTCAAACTCCTGAGCTAAAGTGATCCTCCTGCCTTGGCCTCCCAAAGTGCTGGGACTACAGGCGTGAGCCACTGCAACTGGCCAGTGAGATCTTTTAAATCTCACCAGATTTCAGGAACAAGTGAGATTTATAGATAAATAATACATATATTTCTTTTTCTTTTTTGAGACAGAGTCTCGCTCTGTTGCCCAGGCTGGAGTGCAGTGGTACTATCTCGGCTCATTGCAAGCTCTGCCTCCCGGGTTCACGCCATTCTCCTGCCTCAGCCTCCCGAGTAGCTGGGACTACAGGCGCCCGCCACTGTGCCTGGCTAATTTTTTGTATTTTTAGTAGAGACGGGGTTTCACTGTGTTAGCCAGGATGGTCTTGATCTTCTGACCTTGTGATCCGCCCGCCTCGGCCTCCCAAAGTACTTGGATTACAGGGGTGAGCCACCGCGCCCGGCCGAATAATACATATATTTCTAGTTGAATTTCACTTTAAACAAATGAGAGCTTCAGCGATAAATCTCATAATACCTATTTTTAAAAGAATATACTAAGACAATGTTGTTTATTTTTATAATTTGTAGAGATGAGTTCTCACTGTGTTGCATAGGCTAGAGTTGAACTCCTGGGCTCAAGTGATCCGCTTGCCTCGGCCTCCCAAAGTGCTGGGATTACAGGCATTAGCCATCTTGCTTGGAAAAGAAAATGTTTAAATTTATTGATATTAACTGGATCTGAAAGGAACTATGGTTTTGAGGCCTCCTGCACCTGAACTTCTCCGCAGACCTTCAGGAGCTCCTGGAGCTGGAGAACCTGTTCGTAACGTGTGCCCTCCAAGGGACCAGGAGGAGGCTGACCCCAGTGTCCCAATTTTAGCTGTGTCCTAGGAGGCACACAGATGAACTCCAGTCATATTCAGGTTACACAAATTGACCTTCTAAGTGAATGCACCGTGTCTGGAAGAGCCTCCTCAGGATGTGTCCTGGAGTGCAGGCAGGCGCAGCAGGAGCTCCCCTGCAACCTCTGTGTTCTGAGCCACGTGCATCTGAGTGTGAGAAGAGCCTCAAGGACAGCCGGGGAGGGGAGCTGAAGCTTCACGGGGGCACGAGGCTCGGGGCCTCCCTCGCAGCGCCAGGCGTCCCCTGGTGACCACGTACAGAGTTCTCTAGCTGCTTCAGCCTGGTGGTCTGGGCTGCCCTTCTGAATCTCTGTGCTCAAACTGGTGTTCCCCAAAGCTCACATGGAAAAACAGATCCACATGCAGCACACAGACAGTCGGACAGACTCTAGCTTGACAGTGAAAGGCTGTTTTTAAACGGAGCGGCCCGTGTCACCTCAGCTCGGGGCCTCCGCTCCCCAGAACCTGCACCCCCGGGTGCTCCTGCGGATGCTTCGCGTTTGTGGTGGCGTCCCTGTTCCTCCCACCTCCTAGGCTCCAAAGCTCAGGGCTGCCATGTACTCATTTGCTCGTCCAGGACACTTCCCTCCTCCATTCTCATGCTGGGCACTGGGCCGGATTCCAGGGCCCACTTGAGCAGAGGGGCACAGACCCCACCTTCATGAGGCCAGGGGGAAAGCAGCCGTGACTTGGGTCATCATCACCCGGGACCTGCACCCAAATTCCTCACACACTGCCAGCCCCATTCCCCAGGCCCCCTGCCCACCTGTGCGCCTCAGCTCATGACCCCGCCCACCAGCCTGCAAGACCTGCTCCCACAGCCCCTCCGTCAGCCACCCGACCACCTACTACTGCACAGTGAGGGTTACTGCTTCTCCTGAGTGGCTGCCCTGCCTAGCATCACCTCTGCAGCTGAGAGTCTGGGACAGTCATTTATTTACACACACATTCTCCCCAACAGACTCTGAGCTCTGAGTGGGGCTTGGGATCAGGGTCAGCACTTGTCACATGCAGAATCAGGCTGGAGAAATTTCACAAAAAATTAACGTTCCAAGCAGTTACTATTCACTGACTCGTGCAAAAACCTATTCTGAGCTTCTGTGAAGCACAGAGAATCAAGATGAAAATCCCTCTGCTGGGCGTGGTGGCTCACGCCTGTAATCCCAGCACTTTGAGAGGCCAAGGTAGAGGATCACTTCAGCCCAGGAGTTTGAGACCAGCCTGGCCGACAAAGTAAGATGCTGTCTTTTTTTTTTTTTTTTTTTTTTTGAGACGGAGTCTCGCTCCGTTGCCCAGGCTGGAGTGCAGTGGCGCGATCTCAGCTCACTGCAAGCTCCGCCTCCCGGGTTCACGCCATTCTCCTGCCTCAGCCTCCTGAGTAGCTGGGACTACAGGTGCCCGACAGCATGCCCGGCTAATTTTTTGTATTTTAGTAGAGATGGGGTTTCACCATGTTAGCCAGGATGGTCTCGATCTCCTGACCTCGTGATCCACCCACCTCGGCCTCCCAAAGTGCTGGGATTACAGGCGTGAGCCACCGCCCCTGGCCAGACACTGTCTTTACCAAAAAAAGTTTGTTTTTAATTAGCCGAGCATGGTGACACGTGCCTGTAGTCTCAGCTACTTGGGAGGCTGAGGGAGGAGCTCACTTGAGCCCAGGAGTTTGAGGCTGGCTGCAGTGAGCTGAGATCACACCACTGCAGCCTGGCCTGGGTGACAAAATGAGATCCTGTCTCTAAAAAAAAAAGAAAAAGAAAGAAACCAAACAGTTCTAGACATGCCTGCGTACACGGGCCAAGTGCACACACGTTTCCTGGCTCAGTCCCCTGAGATGCCGAGAAATGATGACATTCCAGTAGCAACGTGCACGGCCAGTGCCCAGATGTTGATTCCTAACACCATTCTTCAACAAAATCGCCAGTGCTCCTTGGACAAATGTTAAGAAACTGCCAAACCTTTCCAAAGTGACTGCCCCATTCTGTACCCCGCCAGCCATGTAGCAGGGTCCCACTTGCTCTTCCCAACTCTTGGCATGACCACACTTCTTTTTTTTTGAGATGGAGTTTTGCTCTTGTTGCCCAGGCTGGAGGGCAGTGGTGCAATCTCAGCTCACTGCAACCTCTGCCTCCTGAGTTCAAGCGATTCTCCTGCCTCAACCTCCCGAGTAGCTGGGATTACAGGCACCCACTACCAAGCCCAGCTAATTTTTGTATTTTTAATAGAGACGGGGTTTCACCATGTTGCCAGACTGGTCTCGAGCTCCTGACCTCAGGTGATCCGCCCGCCTCAGCCTCCCAAAGTGCTGGGGTTACAGGGGTGAGCCACCGCACCCGGCCATGACCACCCTTTTCTTTCATCACAGTCACTCCAGTGGGTACGTGGTGGCATCTCATTGTGGTGTTATGCTGGGTATCTTTTTTTTTTGGAGACATGGTCTTACTCTGTCACCCTGGCTGGAGTGTAGTAGTGGTACGATCTCGGCATACTGCAGCCTCAACCTCCCAGGTTCAAGCAGTCCTCCCACCTCAGCCTCCCAAGTAGCTGGGACTACAGGTGTGCACCACCACGCTCGGCTAAATTTTGTATTTTTTGTACAGATGCGGTTTTGCCATGCTGCCCAGTCTGGTCTCAAACTCCTGGCCTGAAGTGATCCGCCAGCCTTGGCCTCCCGAAGTCCTGGGGTTGCAGGCGAGAGCCACCGTGCCCGGCCTGTGCATCTTTTCATGGGTTGACTAACCATGATCACAGCACAGGTTTTTTAGTCCCCGCTGTCTACAGAATCAGAGAATGTGAGTGTCCAGGCTAGGGGACTTGGTAGAGGGAAGAAAGCTGGAGACTGAGAGTCAAGGTCTTTGCCTCCACTGGGGGTGGAGGTAGAGGGTGGGGAGGCAGGACCTGGGACCCAGGTCTCCACTGGCTATTGCCAACACTGCATGATCAAGTCTACACCTCTTGCTCCTGCTACCAGTGACTCCACACCTCCACAGCCATAATTTTAGAAAAATCTTTTGGCTGGGCGCAGTGGCTTATGCCTGTAATCCTAGCACTTTGGGAGGCCGAGGAGGGTGGATCATTTGAGGTCAGGAGTTCGAGACCAGCCTGGCCAACACGGTGAAACCTCGTCTCTACTAAAAATACAAAAATTAGCCGGGCGTGGTGGTGAGCACCTGTAATCCCAGCTACTCGGGAGGCTGAGGCAGGAGAATCGCTTCAACCTGGGAGGTGGAAGTTGCAGTGAGCCGAGATCACACCACTGCACTCCAGCTTGGGCGACAGAGTAAGACTCCCTCTCAAAAAAAAAAAAAAAATTTTTTTTTTGGCTGGGCACAGTGGCTCATGCCTGTAGTCCCAGCTACTCACGAGGCTGAGGTGGGATGATCCCTGGAGTCCAGGAGTTTGAGTTCACCTGGCCAAAGAGGCTGGCTGGGAAGATCTGAGGCCCAGCCATAGGGCCCCAGGTAGGGCAGTGTCCACCCTGCCTCCTGGGGAAGCACTGGAGGAGGCATGGGGGTTGTGCTGGGCTCTGCAGTCCCTTCGACCCAGCTATGCTATGGCCAGCTGCCACGTGCTCACCTGGCCAGAAATTGACCCACGGGGCTCCTGACCACTAGCCCCAGGCAAGAGGAGCACACAAGGCTTGGGGAGATCAAGCTTTGAAATACTTCCCAACACACAGTCTGGAACATTCTCCGAACATCTGACTCCCATAGTGTGAGCAGAGAACCTACTCTTGAATGCTGGTCAGGATGGGAAATCCCTCCTGGAGGGCAGATTCTATGGAGCTGGTCCCTGCCCCACAGCAGAAATTTTGCTGCAGTGAACCATTTCTTGGAATGCCTGTGCTTGCAGGGCACACGCCTGTGGCAGCACCAACTGTGATCCCTGGAGTGTGAAGTCACATCAAGGCTTTGCACATCTGAAACATATGCAATTGTCCTGAGAAATTCTGGAAGTTCCAGAAGAAATAACACACAAATTGCTAATAACACAGCAAAAGTAGCTGAAGAGATGTGTGTTCTCAGGACAGAACCCCTTCACACACTCGCAAGTCAGTATGTGTGGTGTATTGTTATTTTGTTTATTTATTGATGGAGTCTCTGTCTGTCGCCCAGGCTGGAGTGCAGTGACATGATCTCTGCTCACTGCAACCTCCACTTCCTAGGTTCAAGCGATTCTCCTGCTTCAGCCTCCCGAGTAGCTGGGACGACAGGCGCATGCCACCATGCCCGGCTAAATTTTTGTATTTTTTTTTTTTTTTTTTTGAGACGGAGCCTCGCTCTGTCGCCCAGGCTGGAGTGCAGTGGCGTGATCTGGGCTCACTGCAAGCTCCGCCTCCCGGGTTCACGCCATTCTCCTGCCTCAGCCTCCCAAGTAGCTGGAACTACAGGCATCCACCACCACACCCAGCTAATTTTTTGTATTTTTAGTAGAGACGGGGTTTCACCACGTTAGCCAGGATGGTCTTGATCTCCTGACCTCACGATCCGCCTGCCTTGGCCTCCCAAAGTGCTGGGATTACAGGCGTGAGCCACCGCGCCCGGTGAATTTTTTGTATTTTTAGTAGAGATGGGGTTTCATTGTGTTAGCCAGGATGGTCTCGATCTCCTGACCTCGTGATCCGCCCACCTCAGCCTCCCAAAGTACTGGGATTACAGGCGTGAGCCACCGCATCCGGCCAGTGTATTGTTATTTTATTACACAATTGTGGAGCTCAAGACAAAGTACTGTATCACAACAGAAATTAAAAACACTAATGGTCAAAACCATGAAGGAAAAGAATCGTCGTAACTAAAAAAATATGGAGAATGAAAATGACGATACAGACATTATGAGAGAACACACCAAACAGAAAGCAAAGATGCAGAAGGGAGCTGAAGGTCACAGACAGGAAAACCACAGCTGGTCCAGTCAGCAGGACACACACTGGGCTGGCCACAGACACACCCACAAATTTGCTGGTTTCAGTACCACGCTGTCTCATTACACCTGTTACGACGAGCAGTAATTCCACTCAACACTTTTTAGTGGAAGATTTATTGTTCAAGATTCCGATCCTGCAACTTGCACTTAATCAACTAAAACACATCAGACAAAACAGATGCTTCTCAAAACATTTTGAAACCATTTTTTTTTTTGGAGACAGAGTCTCGCTCTGTCACCCAGGCTGGAGTCCAATGGCACCATCTCGGCTCACTGAAGCTCCGCCTCCCGGGTTCAAGCGATTCTCCTGCCTCAGCCTCTCGAGTAGCTGGGATTACAGGCGCCACCACGCCGCGCTAATTTTTTGTATTTTAGTACAGGCGGGGTTTCACCATGTTGTCCAGGCTGGTCTTGAACTCCTGAACTCAGGCAATCTGTCCACGTAGGCCTCTCAAAGTGCTAGGATTACAGGGGTGAAACACCACTCCCGGCCAAAATAGGTTTTTTTAAACAGAAAAACTGCCACCTGATGTTGGTTAGTCTTTCCTAAGACTAAACATTGCCTATGTTGTTTGGTTGTATAGGTTTTTAAACCAGACCGACATTACCTACATCAGGGAGTCTTTTACATAAATGAATACCGGTTTTTTTTTTTTTTTTTTTTTTTGAGACAGAGTCTCACTGTCACTCAGGCTGGAGGGCAGTGGCACGATCTCGGCTCACTGTAACCTCCGCCTCCCAGGTTCAAGTGATTCTCCTGCCTCAGCCTCCCGATAGCTGGGATTACAGGCACACACCACCACGCCCGGCTAATTTTTGTATTTTTAGTAGAGACGGGGTTTCACCATGTTGGCCAGGATGGTCTCGATCTCTTGATCTTGTGATCCACCCGCCTCGGCCTCCCAAAGTGCTGGGATTACAGGCATGGGCTACCGCGCCCGGCCCCATCAGTGAGTATCTTGAGAACCCTCAACAATCACAAAGGCTCCGCATAGCACACGAAGGATTTGTGGACTTGAGTCACACAGAAATCACGAACAGAATGTACGTGGTGTCATTAGTGAAGAAGAGTGAATAGTAAACATGGAAGTCAGCCTGCGTTTCTCCGGAAATCACAACGCTGGAAAGCTGGTATTAAGCCGCTCTGGGCCGGGCGGGGTTGCTCACACCTGCACTCCCAGCGCGTAGGAGGCCGAGGCGGGAGGATCCACGGAGCTCAGGAGTTCGAGACCAGCGTGAGCAACAGTGTGAGACCCACCCCCCCACCCACCCCCAGTCCTCTACCAAAGACAAAGGAAAAACGCTACCGGGAAGACGCGCGGAATTCCGGGCCAGTCACTGCGCGGGGCACTTGAAATGCCTGAAATCCTTCCCGTCACATAGGAGAGGTTGGGCCAGATCTGACAGCAACCCTCAAAGTGTCTAGAGCGTTGCCAAAGAGAATACACAGTGGACAGAAGCTTTTCTAAATGCCCCATAATAACAAGCACGTTTACATCCACCGGGGGAAAGGAAAGAAGGCCCTTTCTATTCTCTCCTAAAAGCAGCACCTTCAATCATCGCCGCGTCAAGCGGCAGAGCCTGCAGCCCGCACTTTAGGGCACCGCGTTCGTTTCAGGCGGGACTGGGGAGTTCTCCGAGCGCGGGGGGTGTGGGCGCCGCCCGTTCCCCGGCGACCACATTCGAATACCCAGCGTCTCACTGGGTTTCCTAAGGAGAGGCGCGGGCTGCTCAGCCCTCACGTGCTCGGACGCGGCCCCAGCGTCCCGAGCCTGTCCCGAGCGCCGAGGGAGGGCGGCGGGGTCTGGGTGGGTGGGAGGGAGGCCGGCGGGGTCTGGGTGGGAGGGAGGTCGGCGGGGGTGGGAGGGAGGCCGGCGGGGTCTGAGTGGGAGGGAGGCCGGCGGGGTCTGGGTGGGAGGGAGGTCTCCCGCCCCGCCGCGCTGTGGAGGACAACTCGCGCCTCCTGCTGCGCATGCTCGGACTGCGCACTCCCGTGAGGGCCGGGGCTGCGCGCGAAGGCGTCTGCGAGCAGTTGACAAACCACCCACGTGACCTCCCACGTGACGGCCGGCGGCTCCCGCGGAGGAGCAAGAACGGTCAAGGAGCGGGGCCCTCGCCTCCGCCTTCAGAGGCGCCAGCTCCGTCCGCAAACCCGGGGGGAAGCGGGTGGGGACCTGAGGCGGCGCCTGCGATGCCGCAGCTTCGTAGTCGGGCTTCCGCGCCGGGGATCTGCACGAGCAAACGCTTCCGGCGCGCGCGGCTGGCGCTGGCCCGACTGACGCTCGGGCATCCCGGGTAGAAGCCGTGGGCGCATCTGCCAGGAGCGTGGGAAAGATGCTGGTGCCGACCTCCCCCTCTAAGGCTGTGTGGAGGAGGACGCCCGATGCCCCTCTTTTGGGCCAGCTGCCTCCGGAGGGCGAGCGGCTGAGAGGAAAATCGGTTTCCCACCTGCACGGGCCCATCACCTGTTGCTGCCATCGTGGGCTGGCGGGCGTCGTGCAGGGGCAGCGACAGTGGGTTCCTGCAGGGACGCAGATACGACCAGGTCCAGCCTCAGGGTCTTTTCCGGCCTGGCCCCTGCGCCTTCCACAGAAGGATGAGTGAGGCCACCTGTCACCAGGTGCGGGCTGCCCCACCCCACTAGTATTGCGATGTGTGGTTGGTCGCTAAAATATTTTAGCAGGAGCCCTTGCCCGGGCAGGCTTGACGAAGAAAGAAGCCTGGGCGTGCCCTCCTTCCGTGTTCTCATGACCATTTTGGTCCGAGGCCATAAAACAAGCATCACTAAGGTGGCTGGAGAGTCTGGCCGTCATGTTTAGATTGCTTCGTACACCCAGAAGAGTAGGGACCATCTCTTCTCAACTTCTGGGCCTGTTGCAAGAAGTCCATCCACATACCTCATCAGCAAGCCTTTGACACCAACCCTCCAATCTGGTTTTGAGCCTAGCAGCTTGGCCAAGCCCTGGGACAGTTCTGAGCTGCTCAGAAGGTTCCCTCTGTCTTCTCCCAGTCGACACCTTTTCACCTCTGTGCCTGTACCTGTGTGCTTGGGTCTGTAAGACTCACACAACACCCATTAGACTGCGGAGGTGAAGGTTTGCAGTACAGGCCTGTGGGTGCAGCACAGGGAGCCTCACCCCATCGGCAGCCCCCAGTCTGGAGGTTCTGGGCCCAGGGCTGCACCCTGTGCCCTGCCAGGTGCCAGCAACATCACGGAGCTCCCTGGCTGCAGGCTCTGCCTCAGCCTCCCCTCCCTCCCGTGCTCTTGGCAACGTGTCCATACATGTAGGGCCACACCTACTTCCTGTAGTGCTTTGGGATGTGTCCTCTAGGCCCACCTCCGCCTTTCTTACCTGAGGCCGCCTGGAAGGCAGAGGGCAAGACAGCTAAGCGGCTGCAGCCAATGGGAGGCACGGGCAAGGAGATTGGAGGGTGGAGGAGAGAGAGGCTTGGGTATTCCCCAGCTCTTTCTCTGCCTGGCCTAGGGTCGATGGCTCCTCTCAGGGGAGCCATGCCTCCTGTTTGGTGGCCCATCCCATTAGCTCCAGCTCTCACAGGGTCCAGGCTCCTGGGAAGGATGCACCCTGCCCTGAGGGCTCAGGCCTCGGTGCTGACCGTGGCTTGTGTCGAGATGCTCCTCACAGACAGTTCATTAGACTAGCTGCAGCTATCTCCTTTGAGTGTCCCGGCTCATACTTTCAGTTGGATCCCAGGAGTTTCAGTCTTTTTTTTGTTTTGTTTTTTGAGACTGGGGTCTGGCTCTGTCACCCAGGCTGGAGCGCAGTGGCATGATCTTTGCTCTCTGCTTCCTGGGCTCAAGCGATCCTCCCACCTCAGCCTCCTGAGTAGCTGGGACTACAGGCGTTGGCTGCCAACCCCTGGCTATTTTTTTTTTTATTTTTATTTTTTGTAGAGGCCGGGGGGGGGGGGTCTCCCTGTGTTGCCCAGGCTGGTCTCAAACTCCTGAGCCTCAGCCTCCCAGAGTGCTGGGATTACAGCGTAAGCCACCATGCCCAGCCAACTTTTTTTTTTTTTTTTTGAGACAGAGTTTCACTCTTGTTGCCCAGGCTGGAGTGCAGTGGTGCGATCTCGGCTCACCGCAACCTCCACTTCCTGGGTTCAAGCAATTCTGCCTCAGCCTCCCGAGTAGCTGGGATTACAGGCATGCGCCACCACGCCCGGCTAATTTTGTATTTTTAGTAGAGACAGGGTTTCTCCATGTTGGTCAGGCTGGTCTCGAACTCCCGACCTCATGTGATCTGCCTGCCTTGGCCTCCCGAAGTGCTGTGATTACAGGCGTGAGCCACTGTGCCCGGCCTCCAGCCAATGTTTTAACAGCAGAAAAGGACATGAATTCAGAGAGTTTTATCTACAAGAAGTTGAGAGAGGAGGAGTAGGCTTATAATTGAGCATGTGCCTTGCCCAGCCAGTCCTCTGTTGGCCCCTCTTGGCCAGTAGGGGTCGCCGCCTGCAGGGAGATGACTCCTGTGGTCATGATCTGACTCAGGCTCCCCCCTTATAGCCAGCAGAGTGGCGCAGCGGAAGCGTGCTGGGCCCATAACCCAGAGGTCGATGGATCGAAACCATCCTCTGCTATAGACTCCCTTTTCTTTCCTGACTGGGCAGCCTGTGGCCCATAATTCTTCTCCAGGCCCCAATAACGTCCCTGTTTGTGTCAAGGCACGGAGGACAGGCAACAGCAGCAATCTGAGTTCAAATCTTGATGTGAGCATACCTTGCCTCATAGCTTTGTCCCAGAAATTGTGGCAGTTGTGGGCTCATTGCCCTCTGCATTCCCTGGCTTGGGCAAAATGCCTCCCTGGGAGCAAGGGAGGGGTTTTGCACTCCTCAGTCCTCTTCTCTGTGTGTCCACCTGGCCCGGGACCCCCCATCAGTACCTGCTCCTGGCTTAGAGAACAGGGTCTGGCACAGGACATGCATCCTTTGTCTGCAGCATTTTCGAGGCTTTGAAACCTCCCTGGCCACACTTAGGTCTGCTCCTCCACGTGGCCGAAGGTGCCTGCAGAGGCTGGCATTCTTCTCCCTGTCTGGCTGCCAGGGAGCCTCCTGCCATCAACCGACTCACTAGAGACCCCTCCAGGTAAGGAACCCAGCAAGTGTTTTCCTGACAAAAGGGTCTGGCTGGATCCCCATCCTCTCTTCCCTTCCTCTCCTGAGGGAGTGGGCTTAGGGGTTCCTGCCTTTTCTTTCCCTCTTAACGTTTCTCTCTCTCTCTCTCTCTCTCTCTCTCTCTCTCTAGTTTTCGCTAGAAGATCAAGGCCAGGTGCAGTGGCTCACACCTGTAACCCCAGCACTTTGGGAGGCTGAGGCAGGTGGATCGCTTGAGGTCGGGAGTTGGAGACCAGCCTGGGCAACATGGTGAAACCCCGTCTCTACAAAAATATACAAAAATATTAGCTGGGTGTGGTGGCTGGCGCCTGTAGTCCCAGCTACTCGGAGTGTGAGAGATCTCTTGGGCCTGGTAGGTCGAAGCTGCAGTGAGCTGAGATTGCACCACTGCACTCCAGCCTGGGTGACAGAACGAGAACCTGTCTCAAAAAAAAAAAAAAAAAAAAAAGGGCTGGAGTGTCACGGCCCTCTGGGTTGGCATTCTCGCTCCACTGACATCATCAGAAGCTGGAGGTGAGAACCTCCCTCCAACAGGAGAGAAATGCAGCCGCAGTACTCACTCCCTGTACATCCCAGCACCAGGTCCTGGCATCCCACGTGGACACACAGTGCCCATGATGATGCACTGACATCCCAAAATGCCAGTGCTGCCGCCTGGCTGTGTCCAGACTGGCTCAGGGACAGAATCTTCAGGTGCCACAGCCCAGGACACCGGGCCTGGAGTGGGGAAGGAGTGCCAGCTGCTACATGGTCTTTCCTTTACAGGGCAAAAACGAGTGGGGAAATAGCAGGACACACGCCCTGATGGTGGCTAAAGCCGAAGACAGAGGAACAGGAGGATTCTGCCAAGATTGATGCGAGACAAAGGCTTAGGGGCAACAGAGAGCAGGCGAAGTGTTACTTAACTTACCAGGACACCTAGCTGGTGCAGAGGCAGACCCAGCACACACCTCAGATGAGGGCCACATTGCTGCTCAGACCATGGCATCCAACAGCGGTCCTGTGTCCTGGCTTGATGCAAGGTCTCCCGATTCCAACTAGGATATTGGATGGCAAATGCAGCCACCCAAAATGCACTTCTCTGCCCCTCTCTGAGGCCCTCCGTGTGGCTGGGCACAGTTAGGATGAGATGCCCAGAGTTAGCAAAACAGACGCTGACGCCACTGTGCCACCCAGAGCAGAAGGCTAACCCGCCACAAAGAGCTGGCAGAGTTATGAAAAGTAAGGTTGGAGGTTTTTTTAACTGTAACTTTTACACTTTAAGAAAGCGTTCAAGGCTATGATTAACATAAATCAAAGGACAGTAATCCTATGAGTCACTATATTTGCAATACGTCCAAGCAGTCGGGGTGAGAGTATCTGGAATCTGGTGACGGGCTCGCCGGGTCAGGCCCATGGTTGGCAGCCACTGCTCCCGCTCCAGTCCCCCCTCCCAAATCCACTGCCACTCATCCACACTCACCATGCAGATGCCATGTCTGTCACTCTGGCTTGCCAGGTTTTCTTTCTTATTCTAACCAAATTTCAAATCAGGCTGGTGTGGTGGCTCACGCCTGTAATCCCAGCACTTTGGGAGGCTGAGGGGAGAGGATCACTTGAGCCCAGGAGCTCGAGACCAGCCTGGGCAACATGGCAAAACCCTGTCTGCACAGAAAGTACAAAAAATTAGCTGGGAGTAGTGGCGCATGCCTGCAGTCCCAGCTATTCAGGAGGCTGAAGTGGGAGGATTGATTGAGTCTGAGAGGTTGAGTCTGCAGTAAGCCATGATGGTGCCATTGTACTCCAACCTGGGTGATAGGGCCAGACCCTGTCTCAAAAAAAAAAAAAAAAAAGTCCATGTCAGGACATAAACATCTATTTTATACTTTAACCACTCCTAGAACCCCCAGGATGTCCTGACACTTGCCCCGATGGGCTTTTAGTTCGGTGTTGTAGCTTGTTTACACCAATGCAGACATAGAACAGATATTCTCCAGGTCCTGCGCACTGGGCACCTGTGAGGTGGACTGCTCCAGGGAAAGTTCCTAACAGCTAAACTATACGACTTTCATCAAGTTGGGGCGTTACTGCCAAACTGCACTCCAGCCAGCAGTCGTGAGCACCCCCTCTTCTTACTCAGCTGAATACTTAATAAAAATCTTTGCCTATTGGACAATTCGCATTACAACTTTGAAGTGTTCAGCCCTGGCACCTGCTCTCCTTGATTTCAGAACACAAGGCTCATCCTCAGAACGCAGAGCCGGCCTCTATCCAAAACCCACAAGGCTCATCCTCAGAATGCAGAGCCGGCCTCTACCCAAAACCGACAGCTCGCCCCCTGCAGCGGCGGACTGAGGGCTCCTAACCATGAGATGAGGGTTGATCTGCTTTAGACAGATGCTCTGTTCGAAGTGGAAACTTAAACACCGGGCCCCATCTGGAGGCCAAGTGGCCTTGGGCAAGTCAGCCCCTGCCTGGGCCGCAATTCCCTCCTCTGACATCTCTGGCCTAGACTCGGCGTGAAGGTCACACGACTGTGGCAGGCCATGTGTCCAGACGCCTCAGTTGCTCAGCTCTGGGCCCGCAGATGAGGCCATGGGACACCCTCAAAGCCGGCACACACCCAAGGGTTCACCCTAGATCTACATCCCAGGCAAGCGGCAAACCAACAGGCAGGCACAGTGGATGAGCCCATTTGCAACTGCAGCAACACTAAGGACCAGTGCGGACAGTCTACACTGGCTGCGACGAGTACAAGCTCTCAGGCCAGGTGGAAATGGAATTGAGAAACCTAGGCGCTGCCCATCAGACCACAGGCACCGAACAGCAGATCTGTTCACTGGGATGGCAACACGTTTATCAGCTCAGACGTGTTCCGGTCCCCTGCAGTACATGGCAGCACCAGAGCACACATGGCCATGTTCCTACATGGTGGTGCCAGCACGGGATGCCACCCAGGGCTCATCTCGTCCTCCTCCTCCTCCTCCTCCTCACACCAGGACCAGCCTGGCTCACTAGTGGGCATGGGCCGGGCACACCATCCCCCCAGGTCAGCCTGGATCACCAGCGGGCACGGGCCGGGCACACCATCCCCCCAACCAGCGTGCTGCCTCATGCCAGGACCAGCCTGGCTCACCAGCAGGCACGGGCCAGGCACACCATCCCTCCCGACCAGTGTGCTGCCTCCACATCTAGGCGCCTTGGCCTGACGGCTAATACCGTTCCGGTTACAATGAAGGAAATCTCGCCACTTTTCTCCTGTGCAGAAGAAAATGCACACAGTCCCCATGGCTATAACCCACCAGCAGGCACGGGGGACCTCTGGTGTCTCATGTTGGTGCCCAGTGCCTCAGCCTGGCCTCCCCACGCGACCTGCAGGGGCGGCTTCACGGCAGGCCAGCTGTGGTGCCCTGCGCAGTGGTTACTGCAGGAGGTGATCTCTTCACTGTAGCTGGACAAGGGTGGCCCTCTACCGACTTCTGGTGTTCTAGGCCTGGTGAGCAGCTTCCTGGAGGGAGACAGAGGACTCTCCTGACTCCACACCAGGTGGTGGCTCAGAAAGCACAGGGCGAGGCCACCTGGCGTGGCCGCAGTGAGGACGGCAACACACCACAAGATGTGGCCCTGCTGGGGCAGCAGGTGGCTCGGCTCACTCAACCATTCACTCAGACACGCTGCAACTGTTTATTCCAGAATCAGAGGTTGGAAACCCAACTGTATATAGACTGAAAGCAAAACAAATACACAACTGAACACAATATATGCAGTTATCCAGCAAGACAGGCAACGCAACACAATATATGCAGTTATTGACAAGACAGGTGCACAGGCACAGCACACAGAGTGAGATGAAGGCAGCCTAGCGAGCAGAGGCTCTGCAGCACGGAGGGCTGGGAAGGCCATCGCTCGAGTTAATCCAATCCCAGTGCTTCAGGACACCTTGGGCCACGTTGACATCTCTCTTTTCCTGGGAGGAGCCCTAGGGTACAGCTGCATGGTTCCATGGAGTTTCAGGCGTCTGCCAGCTCTGTTTCACTGTTTGTGGTTAAACTGCTTTCTCCTTTTTAAAAAAAAATTTTTTGCCAGGTGCAGTGGCTCACGCCTGTAATCCCAGCATTTTGGGAGGCTGAGGTGGTTGGATCACCTGAGGTCAGAAATTCCAGCCTGACCGGCCCGATCAACATGGCGAAACCCGTCTCAACTAAGAATACAATTAGCCAGGCGCGGTGGCGCGCGCCTGTAATCCCAGCTACTCCAGAGGCTGAGGCAGGAGAATCGCTTGAACCCAGGAGGCGGAGGTTGCTGTGAGCCGAGATCACGCCACTGAACTCCAGCCTGGGTGACAAAGTGAGACTCTGTCTCAAAAAAAAAAAAAAAATTTGTAGAGACAGAGTCTCCCATGTAGAAACTCCTGGACTCCAGCAATCCTCCCACCTTGGCCTCCCAGTGTGCTGGGATTATAGGGCACGAGCCACCGTGCCTGGCCTCTCCTTTCTTTTTAAGGCAAGCTCATGCCCACAGTGCAGTGCCAGAATGGAGGGGGCTCCATCACCCTGAGCACAGAGGGCTTCATGGCGAGTGGATGGGCCAGGGCCGTGTGAGAAGAAACCTGTCTGCCAAGGGTGACAGGGAAGTCTTCTGCGGGAGGCTGGACCACCTGAATATCCTCAACCCCTCAGGGTCAGACGGAACCTTTACCCCCGACTCCCACCCCACGACAGTGCTGATGATGAGCTGGGGCCCCCTGCACCCACCCAGCTGGTGCGGGCAGCCTTCTCAATTTTCCATTCTCGTGTCTGTCACCCTTGCCCCAGTGCGAGTCCGACTGAAAGACTGAATGTACAAGTTTGAGTTGGGGCCTGGGTTGCCAGGCCTCCAGGGCCCTGAGTATGGTCCAGGAGGGTGGTGACTGGCTGTGAGGAATGGCCCAGGGCCGAGTGTGGTCCAGGAGGGTGGTGACTGGCTGTGAGGAATGGGAGGAGGGTGGTGACTGGCTGTGAGGAATGGCCCAGGGCCGAGTATGGTCCAGGAGGGTGGTGACTGGCTGTGAGGAATGGGAGGAGGGTGGTGACTGGCTGTGAGGAATGGGGCCTACTGTTGTCAGAAACTACAGTTTTTCTAAGAAAAGCTGAAAATCCAGATTTGTACGTAAGTCTCCTGATTCTAAAAGGCTGACAGTTATTAATGTTCTGGCAAAAACATTTTCAAGGAAAATATGAGTGGGTAAAAGAAAGAGCCAAAATGGGCAGGGATCTGGGACTGTGGACTGCCTGCCCTAACAACCCCAGGGCCACAGGAGTCCACAGGCACAGCCACCCCACCCTCTGCCCTCACTCCCACATCAAATCACCTTCAAGTCATGTGCATTAGAACCTCTGGGGGTCCTAGCTCTTCACAGGACACTTTCTGGATTTTTCTTTTTAAACCTAAAATACAGTAGTCTGTCTCCATTCCCACTCTTTGGGACTTTTTCACAATCTTAGGATGAAGGGATAAATTGGGGAAGTGCTCCTCTCATGTTAAAACGTTCCAATCTGCCAGGCACGGTGGCTCATGCCTGCAGTCCTGGCACTTTGGGAGGCCAAGGCGGGTGGATCAGGAGGTCAGGAATTCAATACCAGCCTGGCCAACATAGTGAAACCCCATCTCTACTAAAAATACAAAAATTAGCTGGGCATGGTGGTGTGCGCGTTAGTCCCAGCTACTCGGGAGGCTGGGGCAAGAGAATCGCTTGAACCCGGGAGGCAGAGGTTGCAGTGAGCTGAGATTGCGCCATTGCACTCCAGCCTGGGTGACAGAGTGAGACTCCGTCTCAAAAAAAAAAAAAGAAAAAAAAAGTTCCAATCCCACACCTATTATGAAGATAGCACCACATGAAACTGCCTGAGGGGCCTCCAATAAACGGGGTAGCAGGGAACTCGGAGAAACCAAAGTAATCCATTGAGCGGTTTTCTTAAGTGTCTTTAATACTCCACTCAGGGCAGCCCCTCCCTCTACTGAGAGGCTCTTGGCTCTGGCCCCAAGAGCAGCTGGAAGGCCCTGGCCTGACTTCACCACTTGATGTCCAGGCTGTGTGTGCCACGCTCCTGGCTCTGGTACGTGGTATGCAGCACCTCTCGGGCCTTGGGGGAGTTGATCCCCTCCAGCCACTCCTGGTACAGCTCCTGCACGTGTGCACTGGACTCCGGACGCCGCACAGGGATGTCAGCGTAAATGCCTTCCATCTGCCGCAGCAGGGCCTTATCCGCATGTCCGTCTGGAGTCTGGGCTTGGCCTCTGCCATTTAAGCATCCTGAAAGATAAACACAGGTAAGTTTATCCTGGGCTCAGGCGATCTTTCTGCCTTAGCTTCCTGAGCAGCTAGAACTACAGACACACACCACCTTGCCCGGCTGATTTTTAAATTTTTTGTAGAGATTGGGCGGGAGGGGCGGGTGTTGCTATGTTGCTCAGGCTGGTCTTGAACTCCTGGCTTCAAGCGGCAATCCTACTTCGAGCTGGGACCACTGGCGTGAGCCACCGCACCCAGCCGGGATAGTCTTAAGGAAGTTTTGCCTCACAGGGAAGAGTTGGAAGCAGGAGAGGAATAAAGGGGACGTGGAATGTTGTGTGGCCTAAGGCTAGGGCTGGCTGAACAGGCCAGGGTCTTCCTCAAGGCTGTCAGGGACACTGATCCCAGACTCACAGCCCCGTGTGCCTCTCATTCTTCTTTTTTTTTTTTTTCGAGACAGAGTCTCTCTCCATTGGTCAGGCTGGAGTGCAGTGGCCTAATCTCGGCTCACTGCAACCTCCATCTCCTGGGCTCAAGCGATTCTCCCACCTCAGTCTCCCAAGTACCTGGGGTTACAGGTGTGTGCCACCACGCCCGGCTAATTTTTGTATTTTTAGTAGAGACAGGGTTTTACCATGTTGGCCAGGCTGGTCTCAAACTCCTGACCTCAGGTAATCCGACCACCTCGGCCTCCCAAAGTGCTGGGATTACAGGCGTGAGCCACCGTGCCTGGACCCGTGTGCCTCTCATTCTTACCCATTTACATCACCCATAAAATGGTTTTACCTAAAACCTAAGTTGCCAACCTTTTAGAACTGGGTGGCTTCATATGCAAATCCCGATTTCCAACTTCTCTTGGAATTTGGCAAAACCAGGATAGCACAGGAATTGTGAACAAGCAGTTAAACCACTCCTGCCTGCACCACACGTGTTAGTGTGCTGGGCCCTGCCTGGAGGCTGCACCAGAGGCAGCTAAGCTGTGAGCCCAGCCATGAGCCCACACACCCAACACTGGCCTGAGTAAAAATGTGTCTCCTATCTATTAATGCTACTTACTCTCCAACGTGTTAGATGATGTCACTCTTAGTAGTGTAAGAGTTCATTTAAAACAATCTGGAGCAAATTTCCCTGGTTAAACCTCACTCCCCATGGGTTCCAGGGTGGCACCCCAGCTGGTCTCCAACCTCCACTTTCCCAGGGGGCTGGGCTTGCACCTTCTCCTTCCTCAGGCCCCAGCTCCACCCGCTTGCACACAGAGGCCCTCCCAGAGGCCCTGCTTCACGGCCCACCTCCCGGCTGCTCCTCAGCCCAGCTGTGGGACTGACCCTTCCGTGCCCCTGGAATGCTCAGTGAGGCCTCCAAGGCCACAGGCTCCCCTCTCTGCCCTCACCCTCCTCTTGTCAGTGCTGGCTGAGGCCTCCCCTCCTCTACGAGATCCTTTGTGTTGAAGGACACACCCTTGTCTGTGCCCTGCCCAAGGGCCCCTCCCATCCTGTGGCTTCACACCTTGTCCCACTTGTCTAACATCAGTGGAGCCGCTCCTCCAACTGACCTGCACCCGGCATTTCCACTCGAGTCCCTCGTGGTGCCCCCCCCGACTCACAATGGCACAAAGGTCCTCAGTTCCCCACCAGGGGCGCAGATGGACCACCATGGGTCAGGGGCAGAGGGTCCCCTTCTTCCCTGACACACCCTCAGCAAGTCCTTCCCGGAGACCCCCACCGTGTCCTGGCCTCCTCTCATCCTCTCACTCCCCCTGCCCCAGGTGGGGATCCTTCCTCACTTGCCTGGATGATCACAGCCCACAGTGGCCCACCCTCCCTCCACGCAACAAGGGAGCCCCTCAGGCCCAGGCTGGGTCACACCCCTTCCCGCTTCCACCTCTCACTGCTCTCTCCCATCACTCAGGACAGAGAAGGCTCATGCTTGGTGCCTGGCACGGGGCAGGGGTGTTTCTCCTAGGCAGGGCAGCCTCAACTCTTGTGATTTGTTCTCTAAGCCAGCCGCCACGGGCTGACTCTCACCTGGTGCCATGTTGGGCCTCCTGAGGGCACGTCCCCAAGAGAATGCCCACATGCTACATGGGGTGAGGAAAAGAGCAAAACCAATGGAGCCTAGAATGTCCCAGCACAAGCCCCACGGGAGCATCCATACCCTACAAAGCTCTCAGGGCTGAGAGAGGCTCTGGGTGGCCAAGAGCACCATCTCTCTGGCAGCTGCAGGACCAGTGTGGCCTGAGCACCCGTGGGAGACAGAGCCAGGTGCTGCTCTTGGCGCCTCACCTCCAGCACAGGCGAGGACCTCCACAAAGTGGAATGGGAACTTGCCCTTCTTAAGCTTCAGGATCATGTTCTGGATGTTTCGAAAGCCATAGGCTGCAGCAAAGCGTAACACCACCTCTCCGTTCTTCTCAAGGGTGACCTCTTGGAAGTCTTTGTTTCTACAAAATGAACACAGAGAATTTTGATCCATCAAGTCCTTTATCTGTGACTTAAGAACACTTCCTTTTTTTTTTTGAGACGGAGTCTTGCTCTGTTGCCCAGGCTGGAGTGCAGTGGCACCATCTTGGCTCACTGCAACCTCTGCCTCCCGGGTTCACGCCATTCTCCTGCCTCAGCTTCCCGAGTAGCTGGGACTATAGGCGCTCACCACCACACTCGGCAAATTTTTTGTATTTTTAGTAGAGATAGGGTTTCACTGTGTTAGCCAGGATGGTCTCGATCTCCTGACCTCATGATCCGCCCGCCTCGGCCTCCCAGAGTGCTGGGATTACAGGCACGAGCCACCGCACCCGGCCAAGAACACTTTCTAATGTAAGTTTGGAATGTCAGCAAAATAAAAGGTCTGAATAAACACAAAAAAGTCCTTTTGATTTTGACTAGTGTAAACTCCATCCATAGAACCGCCACATGCACAGATCCATACAGGCACACCATGCACACGTGCTAACCACAGGCACAGACAGGCTGTGGATACTGCCCCACACCTCAGGGCTCGGTAAGTGACCTCCTCCACATCCTCGTTGAACAGCTCCTTGGCCGCATGTCTGAAGATGTGTGCCAGGTGCCCGTCTGAGCTGGCTCCATCATGACGCGTCACTTTGTCCTCCTTCAAGTCTCCAAACCTCACAAGGCAGAGAAAATACAAGTCCTTCATGAATGCTGACGTACAGTGACAGAAAGAGTGAAACCAGACTTCCTGAGGGCATCACAATCCAAGTTCGCCACCAAAGAAGCTAAATCCTGTACAGATGTTTAAACTTTGCAGAAAGTCCCATTCTAGCATCTTGAGGGGTCTTGGGAGGGCCTGCCTGATGCTCGGGCAAGGCGGAGGACTCTCAGTCACGCCGAGCCCATGCACAGGCTCTTGCAGGTGCTCCAGATGCTTATGGTCTTTTTCTTTTGGAGACAGGGTCTTGTTCTGTCTCTCAGGCTGGAGTGCAGTGGCACAATCATAGCTCACTACAGCCCCAGCCTCCTGGACTCAAGTGATCCTCCTACCTCAGCCTCCCAAAGTACTGTGATTATAGGTGTGAGCCACCACGCCTGGCCCCACAGATGCTTAAATTCTGTAAACTTCTATCTTACCTTCCCCCAAAAGGGCACGAATGCAGCACCTGGGATGCGGACTGTTGGCGAGGACACACGCTGCTGCCTTTGTGGTGCTCTCTGCCCAGTGCCTGGGGTGCAGCAGGAGCCCTGGGCCTTGCTGGGTATCGAGGTCACCGCCCCCAGCAGAACCCAGACTGCCACTCTTGGTGCAAAGGGGCCTGAGGGAGCTGCCCCACTGCCCCATAGACCACACGGAATGTGAGGCACAGACGGCACTCAGGAAGAAGGGGGCTGGTGCACACATGAACAGCCCTGCGCCAGCGAGGACAAAGCTGTTTGTGCATTTTGTCCTTCCTCAAGGGTTTAGGGTGGCAATCACACCATGGAAGCCCGCCAAACCTTCAACTCCCTGGCAGCCCTGGTGAATGGTATCCCATTCAACAGCTATAGGGTGGCTGAGGGTTGTGGCAGGGGCCTGGGGGACTGCATCGCAGTGCTTCACATGGCCTCGTCATAAAGCAGGGCAGCCCTGGGCCTGGCAGGTGGCTGGCAGGGCTGACGAGAGGTCCTGCCCCCCAGAGGACTCTCCCCAGAGAAGCCACTTACAGAGTGTCGACGGCAGCATCTCTCACTGAGAGGTCACCTTGCTCCATTATTTGAGCAATTTCACCTGCAGACAAACGAAGTAAGACACTGAAAAGACACAGGTGGCCACAGGAACTTTTCTTCCCCTGCAGGAGATTTGACATTAGTGACCCTGGGTGACCTCCCTCTTATGAAATCTCCATCACACACAGCAGGAGTCCATCTAAAGGGCAAAGTGAGGCCAATAAAATGAAACACTAATAAAACGTAAGCAGAATTCAATTCTAACTCCTCTTTCCATTCCTCTTTCTGCCCTTGAACTGTGGGATTTATGTAAACAATCTCTCCATGATTTTCCCATGTGGAAAATCTGTAAACTTTTTTGGCCTACTTTGCATGAAACAAACAGAAAACTTTTGTGTATAACAAGCTCACAGAGATAGGATGATGAAATATACACTGGTTGCATTTTTTTTTTTTTGAGATGGAGTCTCACCTCCGCCGCCCAGGCTGGAGTCCAGTGGTGCAATCTTGTCTCGCTGTAACCTCTGCCTCCCGGGTTCAAGTGATTCTCTTGCCGCAGCCTCCTGAGTAGCTGTGATTACAGGTGTGCACTACCACGCCTGGCTAATTTTTGTATTTTTAGTAGAGACGGGGGTTTCACCATGTTGGCCAGACTGGTCTCGAACTCCTGACCTCAGGTGACCAGCCTGCCTCAGCCTCCTGAAGTGCTGGGATTACACGTGTCAGCCACTGCACCCAGCCCTTTTTTTTTTAAGAAACAAGGTCGCCAGTCTAGCCAACATGGCGAAACCCCCTCTCTACTAAAAACACAAAAATTAGCCTGGTGTGGTGGGGCGCACCTGTAATCCCAGCTACTCGGGAGGCTGAGGGAGGAGAATCGCTTGATCCTAGGAGGCGCGGAGGTTGTAGTGAGCCAAGATGGAGCCACTGCAGAGCCTGGGTGACAGAGTGAGACTCCGTCTCAAAAAATAAAAAAAAAGAGACGAGGTCTCACTGTGTTGCCCAGCAAGGTCTCAAACTCCTGGGCTCAAGTGATCCTCCAGCCATAGCCTCCTGAGTGGCTGGAATTAGAGGTCTGAGCCATTGTACCCAGCTACATTTATATGACAATTGTTTATTCTGCAATGAGATCAACTGAAAGTGAGAACCACTTTCTGTATTTCCTTTTACATGAGGATGCCTGAAAAAACCCTTAATAGAAAAACTGAGCCTCTAAAACTATGGCTGTGGCATCACATTAGATGCTGTGAGATGGCTGGAAACACAGGTAAGAAAATAGCGTAATTTCCTATAAATCTGCACTCAGAAAAAAGATGGCTGGACATGGTTCTTCTGACAGCCCACCGCGCATGTTTTATTTTGTCAACGTAAGCAGATGGCCCCTGGGCCCTTCCTCTGAGAGTGAAGGATGGCCGTGCTGAGGACCCTTCTATCCCTCATCCTTCAACACCCCTGCCACATCACCCCACAGGGAGCCTGTGCCTATGGGGTGGGGACCTTTCCAGAGGCGTCTGCGTGCTAGAATTTCAAGTCAGGGGCCTGTGAGGGACATTGGCGCCCTTAAAGATTGTCCCTGAGAGCTGACCTCTCTGCCTCATCTACCACTGATCTAAATACCTGCAGGGACCTGTTTTCAGAGACCAATTAAAACAGTTCCGCCAGAATTTTAACAAAGTCTTAAGCTTCCCCCACCAACTGATGTCAACATTCTTCTGAATGGGTTCTACATAATTCCAGGGAATCACTTCCATCCACAACACACACAGAACTCACTGTAGGCTCTTAACATCTGAAAGGAGTGGCCAATACCGTGGTAAAGGCAATATCACTGGAGCAAACGTGCCTTTTTCATTTTATTCTGAATGAAAAAAACTTCACTTGTGTTTTAAGTGCAGACTTGGTTTGTGATTAGGAGACCCGCTATGGCTATAGACAACTTTCCCACCAAGAGATAAGTACCTTACATGGACTGTAATGTAAAGTTAGGGCCACCACACTGCCCAAGTGGTTCTCCCAGGACCTGATTTATCTTTTTTTTTTTTTTTTGAGACAAAGTTTTACTCTTGTTGCCCAGGCTGGAGGGTAATGGCGCGATCTCGGCTTACTGCAACCTCTGCCTCCCGGGTTCAAGCGATTCTCCTGCCTCAGCCTCCCGAGCAGCTGGGATTACAGGCATGTGCCACCATGCCCGGCTAGTTTTTTGTAGTTTTAGTAGAGACGGGGTTTCTCCATGTTGGTCAGGCTGGTCTCGAACTCCTGACCTCAGGTGATCCACCTGCCTTGGCCTCCCAGTGCTTAGATTACAGGCGTGAGCCACTGTGCCCAGCTGAGACCTGATTTATCTTGAGGAAGATGCACAGAGGAGACAGGAGGCTAGATCGAACATGACCCTTCTCTTCACCTGCAGTTAAGCCCCTAGGACCCTCAGCTGTCAGTAACTTCAGACAAGCGACCACATTGGCAGGCACTGAGATGGCTCTGGGACACAGATCTGCCTGGCTCTGGTGTGTACTGGCCAGTAGGAGATTACCCCAGCGCCCAGGTGCACCCCCGCCCACCTCTCACCTGATGTTAACACGCAGTCAGCGCCCCGGGAGCCATGCAAAGCAGGGGGAAGGCTTTCCTGAAGAGCCTCCAGCTTCTTGTCATAACAAGGGGCCACAATGACGTGGAAAATCTTCTCTGGAGACAGGTTCTGTGGGAGAGGGGCACCCATATTTAGGGCTGGTGAAGAGGTGACGGCAGCTTACGCTTGGTGCCCAGAACAAGAGGGATGGGAGACCGAATGCCCCCTGCTGCTGCCCTCCAGACACTGCATGCTGCACTCTTTTTTTTTTTTTTTTTTTGAAATGGAGTCTTGCTCTGTCACCAGGTTGGAGTGCAGTGGCGTGATCTCAGCTCACTGCAAACTCTGCCTCCCGGGTTCAAGCGATTCTCCTGCCTCAGCCTCCCGAGTAGCTGGGACTACAGGCGCATGCCGCCACGCCTGGCTAATTTTTTGTACTTTAGTAGAGATGGGGTTTCACCGTGTTGCCCAGGCTGGTCTCAAACTCCTGAGCTCAGGCAATCTGCCCGCCTCGGCCTCCAAAGTACTAGAATTACAGGCGTGAGCCATCGAGCCTGGCTGCATGCAGCACTTTCTTGGGGCTGGGACTGTTGTGGGTCTGAGGCCGGGCCCCACAGATGAAAGTGCTGTAGCCACATCTGGCTCCCATCCCCTCTTCAACTCTACCGAGCACCAGCACTCCATCCATGTCTGTCTGCTGCCTCCCTCAGGACTGGGTGTGGTCCTCCCAAACATCTGCAAAGCCCCCCAGCCAGTGGAGCCTCCTGGAAGAACCGGGAAGGCTGAGCCCATTTCCTCCTGAACCTGTGCACATGGGGACAAAACAAGTAAGAGGAAGTCCAGCCGGCGTGGAGCTGTTGCTGGTCCAGCATGGAGCCATTGCAGGAGGCCTGAGTGAGTGTGTGTGTGTGTGTGTGTGTGCGCGCGCTGGCTACTTCACCCACAGACTTTCCTGAATCTTCCCAAGCGATGCCCACCCAAGCTACCCCTCTCCTGGGTCCACACAGAGCAGGTGCCTGTGGCTGGGCCTGAACTGGTGGCAAAGCCAGGAGCCAGCAGTTGCCAAGTGACCCTGTGGTGAGGTCTGGGTGGAAAGGACCCACTCAGGGCAGGGGCGGAGCAAAAGAGGAAACCCGCCCCTGGTTGCAGCTGTGCCAGGTGGTCAGGTGAGAGGCTGCTGGAGGCCGGGTCTCTGCGGCTGCCCCTCATGGCACCTACAGGAGGACACATAGCTCTGGGCTCCATCCAGGGGAGAGGGCAGCACGTGGAAGACCTAGAAACACATGGCTCTCTTCAGGTGGGGGCAGGGCAAGGGACAGAAAGTCCCATAGCTCATTTTTCGGTCCTGCCTAAACTGAACGTGTATACTCTGACATCATGTTTATAATTTGCCAAATTATGACTTTATGGGTAGAAAGAAACTAGATAGAAGGAAAACACTGCCTATTGCTAAAATAACAAGGCTGCCAAATGTGCGTGCCTTTTTAGGCTGACTTCAAATGTCTGAAAGATCCTGATGTTACCCTCTACTCCAGTTACCACAGTGCCTGGACATGGCTGCTTCCCCGGAGGGAGGTGTAAAGTCTGATTGAGAAGAGCAGTGTGGGGCATGCCAGCGGCTGGAGAATAAACCATGGGATTAGGGTCCCTTTGAGGGTGGCCTTGGAGACATCAGGGAGTTCTGGGAGGACCTGGGGGCCGCAGAGGGTTGTGGGAAGGGAGAACACGACGGGCCGAGGCAGGGGGCACGCAGGAGCCTCAGGCCGGGACTCACTCCATCAAGAGGAGGACAGCATCATGGCCACTGTGGAATCTCACAGAAGTGGCTAAGGAAGTCATGTGATGCCCGTGGTCTGAGGGAAAGGCCAGGGCAGAGGCCAGGTTTGGCTCCCTAAATGACAGCTGCCCTCAGCCTCCAGGCACAGGCCACTTTAGGCCTCCTTGGGTGAGGCATCCCAACAGCAGGCAGGCAGCATCTCTGGGCAAGGTCCGGGGCCTCATTCTCAGCAGGGTGGGCAGCATTTCTACTCTACCCCGAATGGGCCCAGGAAAACCACCAGATGCCACAGAAAAGGTTAAGAAGAAAGAAAAAGGTTGTAAGAGGAAGGGAGGAATAGAGACGGGCGTTGGTGAGAAACAGCACTGCTGATGTTTCCTGAAGCCACAGCTTCCTTTTTGCTCACCTGGGGGGCCGTGACCACGCTGGACAGATGGGGAACCTCCCCTTCCTGGGCCCCTGTGCCATGGTCCTCCCTCACCTGCCCTTCCTGCCCTCCAGAGAGGTCAGCTTACCTGCTGTCTGGCGAAATAATCCTTCACCAAAGAGCCCATGACCTGCTGGGGGGACTTGGCGGTGCAGAGGTGGGCAGTGATGGGGCGACCCAGCACCCGCTCGGCGTATCGGACCCAGCCTGGGGAGAGAAGGGATCCACGGTCAGCTCCTTACTGCTTCCTCTGGTCTTCCTGTAACGCACCAGGGAATGCTGAGCTCGAGTCCCTGCCGCCCCAGGGTGAAGCCAGAACACCTTTTCCCCAGGCCTTACCAGGAGCTCGTGCTGGACCCAAAACCCGTCCTCGGTGGCCCGGCTGTGGGTCATGGGAACCTGCAGGCCTGGAGGCTACTGGGAAATGGGAGCATCCCTGCAAGGCCGACAGACAAGTAAGAGTCGGAGTAACAGGTCCCCCAAAAAGGTGAAGGGGAACAAGCACTGAAAGGCAGCAGGAGCAGCGGCCCAGGCTGCACCGTGCAAAATCGCCTGGCCAGCTACAGCGTCCTTACAGCCAGGACACGCAGCTACCGCTCAGGGGAGAGCAGCCACATGCTTGCCCAACTTCTCTCACCGGCGAGAAACTAACAGCCCAACAACTGCACGCTTTTTAAAATATAAGAAATCTATACTCCTCAAGTCGTAATAAATAGCAACATCTGTAGTGTCACTACATGCCCGCACAATCTGAGCACTTTCCTGAGGTTGAGTGCTGCTGTGGTTTCCAGGGTGAACACAAGTCACCACTGCAGCTGACCACACAACAGCAATTCCACCGCAGGAGCCCTGCCTACTCCTTTCCCGCAGGCGTACAGCCCAGTCAGAGTGCATAAGAACATCACAGAACTTGCTGACCTGGCAACTGATTTTAGGACCTGACCCCACAGACACTTGCACACCTGTGTACATGAGAGCCACGCAACCTGCCCTCAAACAGGGGCTGGGTAGATACCTTGGGAGACTCTACTCCTGGCGGGGAAGGTCGCCCAGAGGGTGAGAGGCAGCTCATGTCCCACAGTCAGACATGATAATCCCATTTAACAATCAAAGTTTCACCTATAAAGACGCCCGTGTGTGCTCAGGAAACACCCACAGAGACACAGAAGCAGCCACAGAGAGAAATGCCCCAGGGCCGGGCGCAGTAGCTCACGCCTGTAATCCCAACACTTTGGGACTGTGAGGCAGGCGGATCACTTGAGGGCAGGATTTCAAGACCAGCCTAGGCAACACGGTGAGACTCTGTCTCTAGAAAAATAAAAAAATCATCCAGGCGTGGTGGTGCACACCTGTAGTCCTAGCTACTTGGGAGACTGAGGCAGGAGGATGGCTTTGAGCCCAGGAGTTCGAGGCTGGAGTCAGCTATGATTGCATCACTGCTCTCCAAGCTTGGATGACAGAGCAAGACTCTGTGTTGTTTTTTTGGTTGTTTTTGTTTTTTTTTTGAGACAGTCTTGCTCTGTCACCCAGGCTGGAGTGCAGTCACACGATCTTGGCTCACTGTAACCTCTGGCTCCCGGGTTCAAGCGATTCTTCTGCCTCAGCCTCCCAAGCAGCTGGGACTACAAGTGTGCGCCACCGTGTGTGGCCAATTTTTGTATTTTTAGTAGAGACAGGGTTTCACCATGTTGGTCAGGCTGGTCTCGAACTCTTGACCTCAGGAGATCCTCCCGCCTCGGCCTCCCAAAATGCTGGGATTACAGGCGTGAGCCACCCTGCCTGGCCTGACTCTGTCTTAAAAAAAATAAATAAATATAAAAATTAGCTGGTGGCGCACGCCTGTGGTCCCAGCTACTTGGAAGGCTAAGATGGGAGGATCACTTGAGCCCAAGAGGTTGAAGCTCTCGTGAGCCATGATTGAGCTGCCGCACTCCAGCGTGGGCAACAAAGTAAGATCCTGCTTAAAAAACTGTTGGCTGGGTGGAGTGGCTCACACCTCTAATCCCAGCACACTTTGGGAGGCCGAGGCGGGTGGATCACCTGAGGTCGGGAGTTCTATTCCAGCCTGGCCAACATGGTGAAACCCTGTCTCTACTGAAAATATAAAAATTAGCTGGGCGTGGTGGCAGGCGCCTCTAATCCCAGCTACTTGGGAGGCTGAGGCAGGAGAATGGCTTGAACCTGGGAGGTGGGGGTTGCAGTGAGCTGAGATCTCGCTATTGCACTCTAGCCTGAGCAACAAGAGCGAAACTCCGTCTCAAAAACGCCAGGTGTGGTGGCTCATGCCTGTAATCCCAGCACTTTGGGAGTCCAAGGAAGGCAGATCATCGAGGTCAGGAGATCAAGGCCAGCCTGACCAACAAAGTGAAACCGTGTCTCTATTACAAATACAAAAATTAGCCAGGCGTGGTGGTGCATGCCTCTAATCCTAGCTACTCAGGAGGCTGAGGCAGCAGAATCGCTTGAACCCAGGAGGCAGAGGAGCCGAGATCACGCCACTGCACTCCAGCCTGGGCAACAGAGCGAGACTCCATCTCAAAACAAACAAACAAACAAAAAAGTGTTAGCTGGGCACAGTGGCTCACTGCTGTAATCCCAGCACTTTGGGAGGCCGAGGCAGGCGGATCACCTGAGGTCAGGAGTTTGAGACTGGCCTGGCCAACATGGTGCAACCCCGTCTCTACTAAAAATACAAAAATTAGCCGGGCATGGTGGCAAGTGCCTGTAATCCCAGCACTTTGGGAGACTGAGGCGGGCGATCACCTGAGGTCAGGAGTTTGAGACCAGCCTGACCAAAATGGTAAAACCCTGTCTCTACTACAGATACAAAAATTAGCTGGGCATGGTGGCATGCACCTGCAATCCCAACTTCTCAGGAGGCTGAGTTGGGAGAATCACTTGAACCTGGGGGATGGAGGTTGCAGTGGGCCAAGATCACACCAATGCACTCCAGCCTGGGTGACAGAGCGAGACTCTGTCTCAATAAATAAATAAATAAAATAAAAAATAAAAAAAAGTCTTGACCAGGATGGAGCTTATGTTGAGAAATAAAGTTTATACTTTTTATCTTTTAATTCTGTTCTTCCACAAACTTTTTGCAGTCTCCTTACATTTGTTGATTTCCTTATGAGAGGTCCTACTGGGATGGAACCTTCTCAAGTCACTGAAGGAACTAACTCTGCTGATGTGAATCCTGAGCAGATTGCTGATTTGTATAGAAACGGTGATCCCTCCGCCTGTGGCAGTGAACACAATGCTAGGTAGGGGCCCTGAGAGGTCTCTTCTCAGTGACGGCATTTCTGAGAAATGTGTCACCAAATCCTTTCTCTTCTCCAGCCACTGGCTGCAGGCCAGCCCCTTGCTTCCTATTTTAGCTTGAGATTTGCTGTATGTATGTAGTATATATGTATGATTGACAGGGTTGCTCTGTTACCCAGGCTGGAGTGCGGTGGTGCAATCACGGCTCACTGCAGCCTCGACCTCCTGGGTTCCAGTGAAGCTCCCACCTCAGCCTCCCGAGTAGCAGGGACTACAGGTGCCCGCCACACCTGGCTAATTTTTTGTATTTTTAGTAGAGACGGGGTTTCACCGTGTTAGCCAGGATGGTCTCAATCTCCTGACCTTGTGATCCGCCCACCTCGGCCTCCCAAAGTGCTGGGATTACAGGCGTGAGCCACTGCGCCCGGCCTAAATTTTTTATAATTTAAAAACCACTGCTCCAGGGGCATGGGCCTTAGTTCGTTGTCATTTTACACGGCCTCTTCCTTGGTTGGGGGTGGAACTAAGCAAGTGTGACTGGTGTTGTGAAGCCATGTTGTGTGTGGTATCATGTAACAGGGTCCCAAAAGGAAAGCACTCCTGCAAGGGGACCACAGAGGCAGGCTCAGGCTCAGCACACAAACACCAGGTACTCCCAGGTTGCTGGAGTCCAGGCAGCCCCAGAAACCATCAGGTGTGGAAATTATCCCTTTACACCTGGAAACACACCCAAAATGCCACAAGAGCTGAATGTAACACCCACAATCTAGTAAAAGGCTGTATCTGGCGTCAAATGGCTTATACTTCGACCTCTGATACAAAAATCTGTGAATCACTTACAGTAAGGCAAACCATACAGCTGAAAGAAGTCACTAACATCCCTGTCCCCATCTGGAGCTGAGATCACAGCAGGCTGTGGGTTGCTGGTGAACGATACAGCTCAAATAACGAGCCAACCAATGCAGCCCATGGAACAGATGGTAAATTTCCTCTTTATATTTTATAAATGGCTAGAGAGTAAGTCCGTATTCTAAGCAACCACGATGTCAATGTTCCATCTTATTAATTCATAATCCTAATGACTAAAGGTTGACATGTAAAATGCCAGAAAAATTTGAAACCATTGTAGGGGGAGCATAAATTAAGAACTGAAACGTGAACCAAACCCTAAAAATTATACAGCCTACGACTAGCTTAGATAGAGCTCTCCTATGCTCCCACAGGCCTCATGTAGTAGAATAATTTTTAACTAGTGTTGTTTGCCAGGATAGCCATTCCTTCCTTATTCCCTTATGCATCATCGAAGATTTCTTAACCCAAACTCTCTATTTTTCCAGAATTGAAAAGCATGTGACAAATCTCTTCTATAACTCAGGCATCCAAAAACCAATTAAAGAGTGGTTTAAACAGTGCGCCCTGAGAGTATCTGAATATCAATGTAAAGAAATTTTCTTATTCTGTATTTTTTTTAAGCTGGCAAAAGATACATGCACGTTTGCCATATTATTCCATAATTATTTGTACATCTGAGATATGTTGTACTTTCAAGAGAAAACGGATTTTCTTAAGAGACAGGACCTCAGTCTTTCGCCCAGGCTGGAGTACAATGGAGGAGTCATAGCTCACTGCAGCCTCTAACTCCTTGGCTCAAACACCTCAGGCTAGGATTCGTAGTAGCTGTGATTACAGGTACTTGCCACCACCCCTGGCTTTTTTTTGTTTTTTTTTGCAGAGACGAGGTCTCACTATGTTGACGAGACTGGTCCCACACTCCTGGGCTAAAGCAATCCTCCCACATCAGCCTTCTAAATTGTTGGGATTATGGCTGTGAGCCACCATGCCTGGCCTATTTTTCTTTTCCTTTTAAAAAATATTTATTTAAAAAATTAGAGGACGGGTGTGGTGGCTCATGTCTGTAATCCCAGCACTTTGGGAGGCCAAGGCGGGCAGATCACTTGAGGTCAGGATTTCAAGACCAGCCTGGGCAACATGGCGAAACCCCATCTCTACTAAAAATACAAAAATTAGCCAGGCGTGGTGGCGCTAGCCTGTAATCCCAGCTACTGGGGAGGCTGAGGCATAAGAATCGCTTGAACCTGGCCAGGCACAGTGGCTCACGCCTGTAATCCCAGCATTTTGGGAGGCCGAGGCAGGCAGATCACGAGGTCAGGAGATCGAGACCATCCTGACTAACACGGTGAAACCCCGTCTCTACTAAAAATACAAAAAGAAATTAGCCGGGTGTGGTGGCAGGCGCCTGTAGTCCCAGCTACTCGGGAGGGTGAGGCAGGATGCACTCCAGTCTGGGTGACAGAGCGAGACTCTGTCTCAACAACAAAAAAAAAAGAATCGCTTGAACCTGGGAGGTGGAGGTTGCAATGAGCCGAGATCACACCACTGCACTCCAGCCTGGGCAACAGACTGAGATTCCGTCTCCAAAAAAAAAAAAAAAATAGAGACATGTTGCCCAGGCTGGTCTCAAACTCCTGGGCTCAAGAGATCTGCCTAGACTGGGCACAGTGGCTCACGCCTGTAATCCCAGCACTTTGGGAGCCCGAGGCAGGCAGATCACCTGAGATCAGGAGTTCAAGACCAGCCTGGCCAATATGGCAAAACCCCATCTCCACTAATAATACAATAATTAGTTGGGTGCAGTGGCGTGCACCTGTAGTCCCAGCTACTTGGCAGGCTAAGGCAGGAGAATCGCTTGAACCCGGGAGGTGGAGCTTGCAGTGAGCCGAGATCGTGCCACTGCACTCCAGCCTGAGTGACAGAGCGAGACTCTGTCTCAAAAAAAAAATAATAAAAATAAAATAAAATTAAATAAATAACCATACTGGCCTTTCCAGTGTGGCACCTCTGATGAAAAACTAAATTGGCTGTCCCAAAACATCAAACACCCTCTGTGAATCAGGCCAAGCTCTTCCCTCCTGGTCTACAAGGCTGGGTGGGATGGGTCTGTCTGCCTCCAACCTCATCTAGAGCCTGCAGAATCTTGTGAAACCTCTTTTGGCACCTCAGGCCAACAGAGCGGGGGTCCAGGGGCTCACCAGGACAGGCAGAGGTCAGCATGGGCAGGGTGCGTTCCTCCTCACTGTGCTGGCGATAGCGACGCACGAATTCTTTTTGACTCTCCAGGATACTAAAATCCGCAGCTATCGTCGTATCAAATACATAGTGCACCCCTGCAGGAGAGAGGAGCATATTCAGCTTAAATCACGTACTAAAAGATCTACTTTTAGGCTTCCTCTTTTTTTTTTTTTTTGAGACGGAGTCTCGTTCTGTCACCCAGGCTAGAGTGCAGTGGCATAATCTCGGCTCACTGCAACCTCCGCCTCCCAGGTTCAAGTGATCCTCCCACCTCAGTCTCCCGAGTAACTGGGATTACAGGTGCCCGCCATCATGCCTGGCCAATTTTTGTATTTTTTAGTAGAGATGAGGTTTCACCATGTTGGCCAGGCTGGTCTTGAATTCCTAGCCTCAAGTGATCTACCCACCTTGGCCTCCCAGAGTGCTGGAATTACAGGCGTGAACCACTGCATCCAGCCAATACTTCTTCATTCTTACTCATTTTTGCTTTCTCACGTTTAAGAGACAAACTTAAAGCATAGATTCTACAGGCATCCCTCCTAAGATAATAAAATCAGTCTTGGTTCTTATCTATTCCTAACGGCCTAAGTTCAAGACCGTGTGCTTTACCTTTTATTTTGTAAACAATGAGCGTGTATGATTTTTCACAATGAAATATGTATGTTCTCTCTCATGCTTCTTCCCTCTCTACATTTTAAAACACCTTACTCCATATATAAATTAATGAAATATTACAACGTACCCACAGCATTCCCTTCCAATTCACAGGCAAATTAAATTTCAGTCTGTGATGGTTCTTGATGTGTTTAAAAGTAGAACGTACAGTAAAAGTATAGAATGGCTGGGCATACTTTTTTTTTTTTTTTTGAGACGGAGTCTCACTCTTTCGCGCAAGCTGGACTGCAGTGGCGCTATCCCGGCTCACTGCAAGCTCCGCCTCTTGGGTTCATGCCATTCTCCTGCCTCAGCCTCCCGAGTAGCTGGGACTACAGGCGCCCACCACCACGCCCGGCTAATTTTTTGTATTTTTAGTAGAGATGGGGTTTCACCGTGTTAGCCAGGATGGTCTCGATCTCCTGACCTCGTGATCCGCCCGCCTCGGCCTCCCAAAGTGCTGGGATTACAGGCGTGAGCCACCGCGCCCGGCAAGGGCATACTTTTATAATGGCTTAAATTTTTATACTGAATTTTTTTTTTTTTTTTTGAGACAGTGTCTCGCCCTGTTGCCCAGGCTGGAGTGCAGTGGCGTGATCTCGGCTCACTGCAAGCTCCGCCTCCCAGGTTCACACCATTCTCCTGCTTCGGCCTCCCAAGTAGCTGGGACTACAGGCGCCCGTCACCACGCCCGGCTACTTTTTTGAATTTTTAGTAGAGACAGAGTTTCACTGCGTTAGCCAGGATGGTCTCAATCTCCTGACCTCGTGATCCGCCCACCTCGGCCTCCCAAAGTGCTGGGATTACAGGCGTGAGCCAACATGCCCAGCCTTTTTTTTTTTTCAGACAGTCATGCTCTGTCACCCAGGCTGGAGTGTGGTGACGCAATCTCAACTCACCGCAAACCTCTGCTTCCTGGGTCTGAGCGATTCTTGTGCCTCAGCCTCCCGAGTAGCTGGGATTACAGGTGTCTGCCACCATGCCAGGCTAATTTTTGTATTTTTAGTGGAGATGGGGTTTTGCCATGTTGGGCCAGGCTGGTCTCAAACTCCTGACCTCAGGTGATCTGCCCCCTCGGCCTCCCAAAGTGCTGGGATTACAGACATGAGCCACCACACCCGGCCTGATTTTTTTAATTTTAAATTTTTTGTTTCTCCCCCTCCCCAGGTAACAAAGCTGAGAGAAAATGCAACTAGCTATAATAAATATTAGGCTGGGCACGGTGGCTCACCCCTGGAATCCCAGTACTTTGGGAGTCCAAGGCGGTTAGATCATGAGGTCAGGAGATCGAGACCATCCTGGCTAACATGGTGAAACCCCATCTTTACTAAAAATACAAAAAATTAGCCGGGCGTGGTGGCGGGCGCCTGTAGTCCCAGCCACTCGGGAGGCTGAGGCAGGAGAATGGTGTGAACCCGGGAGGTGGAGCTTGCAGTGAGCCGAGATGGCGCCACTGCACCCCAGCCTGGGTGACAGATCAAGACTCCGTCTCAAGAACAACAAAAAAAGAAATATTATAAATTTTAAAATATTACATTAAGAAATCCATTTTACTGTGGATACATTTTATTGATATATAACATTCCGTTACATCATTTTAAGAATCTAGCCCCAAATAAGGGCTTTCATCGTGAGAATATATAGCATTTGACAACTCTGATCTTCAGTGTAACTAACCTAACCCGAGGCTTTATGATGACAAGCATGAAGGAGCGACCTAACGTGTGGGCACCTGTCGCTGTAGCTGGGTTTCAGCTGCAGCACATTATGTGCTAGATGACCAGGTCTTGTTAGAGCCCAGGCGCCTAGGGCACAGGGAGCATCAGGACCCCCAGGCTGCTGCTTAGACTTCAAGCCTGTCCTGATGATCCTTATTCCAAATATCATTTTATTTCACCAGTAATCCCCAATATATCTACATTTATGTACTTATTTAGCAGAGATAGGATCTTGTTATGTTGTCGAGGCTGGTCTCGAGCTCCTGGCCTCAAGTAATCTTCTGGTCTTGGCCTTCCAAAGTGCTGGGATTACAGGCATGAGCCACCAAACCTGACCAATATTTATAATTTTTAAAAGCCGCTGTAGAATAATAAAAACTCTTGGCCAGGCACGGTGGCACATGCCTGTAATCCCAGCACTTTGGGAGGCCAAGGCGGGTGGATCACGAGGTCAAGAGATTAAGACCATCCTGGCCAACATGGTGAAACATCATCTCTACTAAAAATACAAAAATTAGCCGGGAGTGGTGGCGCGCACCTGTAGTCCCAGCTACTTGGGAGGCTGAGGCAGGAGAATCTCTTGAACCCGGGAGGCGGAGGTTGCAGTGAGCCAAGATCGCATCATTGCACTCCAGCCTGGGGCACCAAGAGCGAGACTCCAGCTCAAAAAACAAACAAACAAACAAACAAACAACAAAAAAAACCTCTTATTTGGCAACTCGCTCATTTTCCCTTTCTGAACTTGCACACTGACCATCATGCTATGAGGATGCTCAAGGCTGTAAAAGCCCCTCTATAAGCAAATGGAGGGAGGCAGTTCCCCTTTGACCAAAGCAGAAGACGCAGAAGCATCATCCATCAACATTTCAGGTAGTACTATTCCAGCGTTGACATCCGAGTTCTTTTATTATATTCTTAAATTTCTACCTTTCATTCCTCAAGTAAAGAACACAAGCCCATTCCCTTTCTGCTCTGCTCTTCAGAGAGCTTCTTGGGAAACCAGATACTAATCATTTCAGAAGTGACTGTTTATCAAATGCACACCCTCTGGGGGTAAGGGGTGACTTGGAGGTTGCTGGGCCAGTGTGGGAATCTCCCAGTGTCCTGTCCGTGTTGTCAGAAGGTGGTCACTGTTTGGTCCCAGAGGGGTCAGCTCCCACTGTGTAACAAAACACCTGTCTGTGCACAGCAAAGGAGAAAAGTGACACTCGTCTACCATCGATCAGAGGCTGGGTTTCATGACACACGGGACATGGTCTTTTTACGTTCCAAGAGACTCTTTTGGAAGTTGCTTATCTACCCTGCGTCCTTGAAAAACGAACTTTAGAGATTAAAAAGGGCGCTTATAAACTCAAGTTATACATTCCCAATTTATCAAAAGATGACTCACCAAGACTTTTGAGGAAACCACAGAGTCTTCTGGATGCATCAGTTACACTGAGGTTGAATTTAGCAGCAAAATAAGGCAAAGATTGAGGACACACAGACACTACCAGCACTTTGTGCTTTGAGGTATCACATTTCTAGAAGGAGAAATAGAGAATGTTAGGTATCTGCTGATTACACAAGGAGTAAAAGTTACACACCTTAATGAGAAATTCAGAACAACGTTAATAGATGGTCTATGCAAAGACTAATAAAATAGACAAACACTGGCAAACATAATTAAGAAAAAGGAGAAAAAAAATCAGGATTATGGTGAGGTTTGGGCTTCTGGTAAATATTTTTTTAAAAGTCAGGATTTAAAAAATGAAACATGAGCTGGCTTCAGTGGTGCATGCCTACAGTTCCAGCTACACAGGAGGCTGAAACAGGAGGATCACTTGAGGCCAGGAGTTTGAGACTGCAGAGCGCTATAATCACACTTAGGAACAGCCATAGCCACTGCGCTCTAGCCTGAGTGACAGAGTAATACTCTGTCTCAAAAAAAAAAGAGTTTCACCCTTGTTGCCCAGGCTACAGTAAAAAAAAAAAAAAAACAGAGTTTCACCCTTGTTGCCCAGGCTACAGTACAGTGGCGCGATCTCAGCTCGCTGCAACTTCTGCCTCCCAGGTTCAAGTGGTTCTCCTGCCTCAGCCTCCCAAGTAGCTGGGATTATAGGGACCTGCCACTACACCCAGCTAATTTTTTGTCTTTTTGGTAGAGACGGGGTTTTGCCATATTGGGCAGCCTGGTCTCAAACTCCTGACCTTGTGATCCACCTGCCTCGGCCTCCCAAAGTGCTGGGATTACAGGTGTGAGCCACCTAGCCTGGCCAATACTCTGTCTTAAAAGAGACAAGACTACAGATCTAAAAGACTTTGTCAATTTCAAGAACAATGTTATATCAGTAAATGTGAATATCTGGAAAAAATAAATAATTTTAAAGGGAAAATACAAATTACAACATTGGCCAATGAATAAGTGAAATTACTACACAACAATAAAAAAAACAGACACACTAAAATGGTATCCAGAGATGCCTCTTAAAAGTCATCAGCCCGGCTGGGCATGGTGGCTCATACCTGTAATCCCAGAACTGTGGGAGGCTGAGGCAGGCGGATCATTTGAGGTCAGGAGTTCAAGATCAGCCTGGCCAACATGGCGAAACCCATCTCTACTAAAAATACAAAAATTAGCTGGGTGTGGTGGCATGTGCCTGTAATCCCAGCTACTCGGGAGGCTGAGGCAGAAGAATCGCTTGAACCCGGGAGGTGGAGGTTGAAGTGAAATGGAGGTTGCAGTGAGCTGAGATTGCTCCACTGCACTCCAGCCTGGGCGACAGAGTGAGACTCCATCTCCAAAAATAAAAAATAAAAAAATAAAAAAAAAGTTACCAGGCCTAAGATGTTTTGTGAGTAAGCCTCATCTACAAACTGTTCTAAAAAAATACTGCATAAACTAGCATAAACTAGATGTTGGCAGCGCAATAGAAGACAGGTTCAGATATAAGAGTCAAGGGCCAGGCGTGGTGGCTCATGCCTATAATCCCAGCACTTTGGGAGGCCGGGGCTGGTGGATAGCCTGAGGTCAGGAGCTCGAGACCAGCCTGGCCAAAAGGGAGAAACCCCATCTCTACTAAAAATACAAAAGCTAGCCAGACATGGTGGTGTGCACCTGTAATCCCAGATACTCAGGGGGCTGAGGCAGGAAAACTGCTTGAACCCAGGAGGTGGAGGTCGCAGTTAGCCAAGATCGTGCCACTGCACTCAAGCCTGGGCGACAGAGTGAGACTCCATCTCAAAAAAGGGTCAAGAAATAGACACGCAGTACAAGGGTGGGGTGGAAGTAATGGGGAAAAAAAAAAAAAAGAAGGCCAGGTACGGTGGCTTATGCCCGTAATCCCAGCACTTTGGGAGGCCAAGGCAGGTGGATCACTTGAAGCCAGGAATTCAAGACCAGCCTGGCCAACATGGTGAAGGCCGAAAAAAAAGAAACAAATGGATGCACATCTATCAATATATAAGAGAGGTAGGATAATATTTCAGGTCAACAGGGGAAGAACAGAAGATGCTGGAACAATTTGATTTTTTCAAATAGAAAAGAATGTATCTGGCCGGGTGTGGTGGCTCACGTCTGTAATCCCAGCACTTTGGGAGGCCGAGGCGAGCACATCACTTGAGGTCAGGAGTTCGAGACCAGCCTGGCCAACATGATGAAACCCCATCTCTACTAAAAATGCAAAAATTAGCTGGGCATGGTGGTGCCTGCCTGTAACTCTAGCTACTTGAGAGGCTGAGGTAGGAGAATTGCTTGAACCCAGGAAGGAGAGGTTGCAATAAGCTGAGATCACGACACTGCACCCCAGCCTGAGAGACAGTGAGAGACTCCATCTCAGAAAAGAAAAAAAAGGAAGAAGAATGTATTCACATCGCACACCGTACTAAAATATAAGTTGTAGACTGGACAAGCAGCATAAGATAAAATATAAACTGTCAATAAACATCATCTAGGGTAACCAACTTCTCTAAATAAGCAAGAAAATGCAAATGAGATACAATTCTCTATGTATCAGGGGGGAAAAAACTGAATTTGATATTGAATGTGACCAGGATGGCTGCACACAGCTGTTTGCCCCTATCACTTAGGGAAGCATAAAGTGACACAGACACTTTCAAGGGTTTTTGCAAAAACCGTTGACACCACAGAATTAAGTCTCTAGTAGTCTGCAAAGCTGTATCCACTAAGTCTGTTCAACGTAACAAAATGGCTGAAGCCATTCTGTTCCCTGAAAGGCCAAGGGTGAGCAGGTGGGGACGGGTATGCATGGCGAACCTGGCTGATGGGTGGGGGGCATCTCCTGGTTCAGACCATCCTATCCAGGCAGCCTGCTGCTTGCTAACGGAGTTCCCGTGCAAGTGCATATAAGTCAGGGTACACCCAGACACAACTAATGCTGGCAACACAGAGGACATGTGTCTCTATCTGCAATTGTGATCTAGGTCATGGGTGGTGGCTGATGCCTATAATCCTAACACTTTGGGAGGCTGAGGCTGGAGGATCGCTTGAGCACAGGAGTTCAGGACCAGCCTGGGCAACATGGCAAAACCCTGTCTCTACAAACAATACAAAAATTAGGCAGGTGTGGTAGCACGCGTCTGTAGTCCCAGCTGCTCTGGAGGCTACAGGGAGCCTCCAGAGGTGGGAGGATCACCAGAGTCTCCCCACTGAGACTCTCTCCACTGCACTCCAGCCTGGGTGAGGCCCTGTCTCACAAAGAAAAATATTGTGATCTAATTGCTGCTGGATGACTTGTCCAGAAGCCATGGGGGTGAATGGCAAACGCTGAGAAGGCTCCTTGGCTGTCCCCTATGCCACCCACTTGTGCCAGTCAGTGTTTCTTGAGGCCCCTACCTTGCTCTAGCACACTACCTACTGTGAATGGGCTCCTACACCCTGGGCAGGGTAGGATGCCGGTGCTTCCCGTGGAGGTGACAGCATGGAAACCAAGAAGTGCTTTTCAGCCTCATCTGCCTTTGTCTCTTTCTCTTTCACCTGTGATATGGTTTGGCTCTGCGTCCCCACCCAAATCTCATGTGAAACTGAAGGCTGGGCCTGGCAGGAGGTGACTGGGTCATGGGGGCGGATCTCCCACTTGCTCTTCTCATGATAGTGAGTGAGTCCTCACAAGATCTGGTTGTTTACAAGGGTGCAGCACCTCCCCCTTTACTTGCTCTCTCCTGCTGCCACGTGAAGACATGCTTGCTTCCCCTTCACCCTTCCGCCATGGTTGTTCCCTGAGGCCTCCCCAGCCATGTCTCCTGTAGATCCTGTGGAACTGTGAGTCAATTAAACCTCTCTGCTTTATAAATTAGCCAGTGTCACGTAGTTCTTTGTAGCAATGTGAGAATGGACTAATACAACCTGTCTCACGGAAAGACAAGTGGCACCTCTCGTTCTGTATAGGAGGTCTGCAGGGATGAGCTGAAGGAAGGAGCTTTGGGAATTTTTACTTCCTTGGAGTGTCTCTGCCTTGCCCCAAGCTGATCGGTCTATTAGAACATAACTCTCGTGTCCGAAAACGTGCAGCCGAGGCAGAACAGCAGGAGCTCCGGCTCTGTGCTGCCCGCATGATCACCAACACCCGTGTTACCTGACCTCACCAGGCAGAGGCCCCGCTTAAGCCACAGGAGCCTGAGGGGTGATGCCAGCCCCCCACCACTGCCTGAGCATTATTAAGGGAGCAGGAAATTGTGCGGGGATTTTGCTCTTGATGGAGAGGTTTGGAAGGTCAAAGCAGGATGTTAGCAACACCAGGAAAAGGCTGAGATGTGCATCCGATGTCCCAGCAGAGGCTTCTGTGCAGGAAGCCAGGCCTCACCTCCACTTCCTCCAGGTCAGCTCCCCAGCATCAGCAAATGCCCCGAATGCCTTACCTTGTTAAGGTTCAGAACGCGGAAGAAGTCCTTGGCATTTTGCTGGGAAAGTTGGACTCCTTCCTCTGCAGTCATACAGCTGTCACATGCCAGGCAGTCGCTCAAAAATATCTTGGCATCAGCCAACTTGTGGAATTCTCCCTTCTATGAAAGATGACGTTTCAGCATGATTATTCAACAAATACTCTTTAATGTGCTTCTTTAGAGAGGGTAACACCCATATACAGAATTCACAGTAAACATTGGAGATAATACCAGGGTCCAGGCCTGGTGCTCAAGGGGCTGGAAGCAGGACAGTCTCTGCCACTGAGCAGCTCAAGGTGGTGAAGGGACACAGGACACAGGGCCCAGCCCACAATGACACTAGGGAACCATGCAGATGACAAGGGTGGAACCCAGCCCTAGCACTGTCACGTGGTAGGAAGTAAATGACCCCTGTGTTCTGGAAGCTCACCCCACTGCTAGACCCCTTCCTCCTAGACCCCTTCCTCTTTGGTGCCTGTGATCCAGCCCTCTGACTGCTCCTCTAGCTCTGTGCCCCCTCTTACCATCCCACGGCTCCCTGAGGCCACCCACAGCCCTGGCCTCTCCCTTGAGGCTCAGAACTTTACAACTCAGTGCTGGCTCTGGGTTTGCACTCGGACATGTAACAAGATGCTTATCCTGACCTGGATGTAGAGTCACTCTTTGATCCCCTCCACCCTCTCCTTCCTGACTGGCCCTTGTGCTCCCCGACATCTGCTAAAACATAAACCACACCTCTGCTCTGCTCAGACAGCTGCCCCTCACACAGAGGGCCTGGGCAAAGCCAGTGGCCCCTGTCTGCCCGGGTCCCATCACAGCCCCCTTGGTCTCCACACGTCCAGCCCCACTGGCCCTTGCTGCTCTCGCCATCCTTCTGCATGAAGCAACCTCTAAGAGCCCCAGGCTCACCCTGGGTGGCCTTCAGCAGAGACGATGTCCAACACCTGCTAAAACAGCACCACCCCCTCACCCGTCTCTTCCCTCCCCACCCATCTGTACTTATGTTGCTGACTGCTAGCAGGAGTCTGTCCCTCCTCGCTAAAATGTAAGCTCATGAGAGCTTGAACACTGTCTTGTTCTCTTGTTCCTCAGCACTTCCAAGAGGTACTGCACACAGACAGTGCTCAATAAATAACTGGTGGATGAACATATGAATACTCTGAAGCTTACAGGAGTAATGTCAATAAATTACAGAAGCTCCTCAGGTAGTCCATGCATTCGTTTTTCTTTAAAACTTGATTTGACAGGAGACGGCTATGGATGTGCCTCCTCCTTCCACAGCGTGCTACGAACCGCAGCTCGGGTGTCACCTCTGCCTCCTGCCTACACATGACCCCATGTCTCTGTGCAGCCCACTCAACCTGGGATCTTGTTCTGCTGCAGATGGGCACTCAGGAGGTCCGCATGGGGCTCAAGAGTTTGTGCTTCTAACAAGTTCCCAGTGGGTCAAAGCCACAGCTCCACTCCAAACATCTGGTGCCCATAGCTGCATGAATTGTGCCTCCACAGCCCATCCCCACTGAGATGCCCATGACCAAACTGCCCCCCTCACCCAGCAGTGCCTCCTCCCTGCCTTGCCACCAGACATGCTGTGTATAACCCAGTCCTTCCATAAGTTTTCATGGTCCAGGTCTGATTCCCTCCTCACCCCTCACATTCTTTCTTCTTATTCCTCCTGCCTTCCACACTGATGCATTCTACAGAAGTCCTGTTCCCTTTTATCAGGCCTGCTGGCCTCACTCAGCCCAGGGCAGCCCTGCCACCTGCACTTCCAGCGGAGTGCTCTCACCAAACCCCAGACTCACACACCGTAGAAGGCCCAGTGTCTGTGGAGCTAAAACTGCACTCCCTTCCCTGCACTACGTCCTCTGTTCTGTCTCTATCACTCTGGTAGACTTGCCCAGGCCCACCACCTCTGCCTAGGCTCTCAAAGCTGCCACCCAAGTGGCTTCCTGCAATTCTTCCCCTACTCTAGCCAGCTTAAGTCGGTTACCTCCATCACCTGCCCTAAAACAAACACCTGAGTCACCCCCTCACGGTCTCCACAGCTCTGCACTGTCATTGACCTGGCCAAGGGGAGCCACTGTCTCTCCCTAGAGCACGTCTGTCCACACCCTCCTCTTGCCTGGTGTGCCAGTGCCCTTCCCTACACTCCCACCCTGAATTCTGACCACTCTTCAGGGTCCACTCCATTAACCCCAACCCAACTCCTCTCACCCTGTGTCCATCACTGACCTGGCAGGGCGCCCACTTAGGCTGTGTACACACGTTATCTCATCCTCACCACAGTCCTGGGAGGGAGGTAACCCTACTCCCCAGGCCTCTGATAAGGAAACGAGGCTCACAGGGCTTAGATATCTGTCTACAACGACACAACCAGAGGGCAGGTGAGGGAGGCCCCTGGGGTCGGCCACTCAGGCGCACTGGCCCCAGCTGCCTCCAGGGCTCCAATGCACCCTACCTCTCTTCTGCCTGTGGCCAGCTCTTTGGCTGCTTGTCTCAGGCCCTGTTGCTCCCTAAGCCCCACAGTCCCCACAGCACTGGCACACAGGGCAACCGGGAGAACACCTGTCAGATTAAACATGTCAGGACTACTAAACTTAAGGAAAAAATATGCTTCTGCCATATTGCCAACTCTCCATTTATAAACTGGTACTAGTACTTTCTAAGGGTAGACTGACCTTAACCTCTCCCAACACCCTTCACTCAGTAAAACAGGGATAATGGCCAGGCTTACATGTAATGTTCCTTCTGGGCGTGAAATGAGACTGCATGTAAAATGACATTCTTTTTTTTGAGACGGAGTCTCACTCTGTCGCCCCAGCTGGAGTGCAGTGGCGTGATCTCGGCTCACCTCAACCTCCGCCTCCCGGGTTCAAGCAATTCTCCTGCCTCAGGCTCCTGAGTAGCTGGGATTACAGGCATGCACCACCACGCCCAGCTAATTTTGTATTTTTAGTAGAGATGGGGTTTATCTATGTTGGTCAGGCTGATCTTGAACTCCTGACCTCAGGTAATCCACCCACCTCGGCCTCCCAAAGTGTTGGGATTACAGGTGTGAGCCACCATGCCTGGCTGTAAAATCACATTCTTGAGAGCCAGGCTCAGGTTATGTATCCAATAAACAGAGACCATAGCTACTAGCTAAGGAGAATTTAAAAACAAGAACTGAATTAGAAGAGAGGCCAGGTGCAGTGGCTCACGCCTGTAATCCCAGCACTTTGGGAGGCTGAGGCAGGAGGATCACTTGAGCCCAGGAGGTCAAGACCAATCTGGGCAACATAGTGGAACTCCATTTCTACCAAAAAATAAAAATAAAAATAAATTAGCTGAGCATGGTGGTGCATACCTGTAGTCCCAGCTACTAGGGAGGCTGAGGCAGGAGAATCACTTGAGCCTCAGAGGTCAAGGCTGCGGTGAGCCATACAGTGAGCCACTGCACTCCAGCCTGGGTGACAGTGAGACCCTGTCTCAAAAGGGGAAAAAAAAAATTAAAAGAAGAAATCCAGTATTACACCACGTTTTCTTTGTTCCCAATGCAGTGTGTTTTGGTGTAGTGTGTTCTGAGAAGACAGGCCTTGTGCCACTGATGGACTGTCTCACACATGTCTTTATTAGCCCCTTCAAGTTTATTTCAGTCTCGGAGACGGAGTCTTACTCTGTTGCCCAGGCTGGAGTGCAGTGGCGCGATCTTGCCTCACTGCAAGTTCCGCCTCCCAGGTTCACGCCTTTCTCCTGGCTCAGCCTCCCGAGTAGCTGGGACTACAGGCGCCCCCCACCACGCCCGGCTAATTTTTTGCATTTTTAGTAGAGATGAGGTTTCACTGTGTTAGCCAGGATAGTCTCAATCTCCTGATCTCATGATCCGCCTGCCTCGGCCTCCCAAAGTTCTGGGATTACAGGCATGAGCCACCACGCCTGGCCTATTTCAGTCTTTTTTTTGGGACAGAGTCTCACTCTGTTGCCCAGGCTGAAGTACAGTGGTACAATCTCAGCTCACTGCAACCTCTGTCTTCCAGGGTCAAGCAATTCTCCTGCCTCAGCCTCCTGAGTAGCTGGGATTACAGGCGTACACCACCATACCTGGATAATTTTTGTATTTTTAGCAGAGATAAGGTTTCACCATGTTGGCCAGGCTGGTCTCAAACTCCTGACCTCAAGTGATCCGTCCACCTCGGCCTCCCAAAGTGCTGGGATTCCAGGCGTGAGCCACCATGCCCGCGTACTTCAGTCTTCTTTAAAGCAGTGATGTGCACGGTGCTGTGAGCCCCCAAAGAGAAAAACAGCAGCAGTAGTTTACTCTGGGCTGATACAAAACTGAAAAATCTACTTGCCTCTCCATTTTCCTGGGCTGGACTCGGTGCATCGGCTGACACATTCTCTTGGTCATCAGTTTTTGTTTTCTTACTACATTCCTTAAAAAAGCAAAGGAACATTATCAATGAACTTTTACTTCGTCTCCCTTAAGAAAATGTGCACATTCTGACCAATGAAGCTCATGTATTTCTATCCTTTCTTTTAGTTTATTTATTTATTTTTTTAGACGGAGTCTCGCTCTCACCCAGGCTGGAGTGCAGGGGCGCAATCTCGGCTCACTGCAGCCTCCACCTCCCGGGTTCAAGCGATTCTCCTGCCTCGGCCTTCTGAGTAGCTGGGATTACAGGTGTGCGCCACCACACCCAGCTAATTTTATATTTTTAGTAGAGACTGGGTTTCGCCATGTTGGCCACGATGGTCTTGAACTGCTGACCTCAGGTGATCCACCCGCCTCGGCCTCCCCTCCCAAGGTGCTGGGATAACAGGCTTGAGCCACCGTGCCTGGCCTTCTATCCTTCTAACCCTTCTAGTGAAACAGGTACTGAAGGACACACACACATCTCTATTGTTTACAATAATAAAAAAGCAGAAGCAACTGTAGCCTTCACCCCACAGGCGAATTCCCCTGGACACAGGTGTACTTAGAATAGGACGCAGCCACCACCGGGGATGAACGACCCATGGAATGTTAGGAAGCCTCCTGCCACGGCGTCACGCGCAGAAGTGCCAGCCACAGAGCAGCATCCACAGGAGCCCATTCCGGCAATAACAGCTACAAAACCCCCCTGCGTGCGCTGCGCGGTTGTTGCCATGGCCTGGAGACAACCGCGGAAGGCGCCGGTCAGCAGCCGTCACCCGCTTCCGCCCCTGCACCGGCTGCTCGGTGACCCTCAGAGGGGCAGGTTCGAAAACGCCTAAAACCCTCTCGAAACGCTTCTGATCATTCCCGCCACGACCGCTGTTTACTCGGACTGTGGTGCGCGGCACGAGAGGCTCGGTCTCCGTGCGTTTCCGCGCTTCGCGGGCGTGGGAAAGATGGACAAGTTCAGGGAGAACCGCGAAGACCGAACCCGCCCTGCAGAGCGCAGCGGACCCCGCGCCGGCCGCCTCCACGCCGAGCGGGCCCAGGGTGCCGAGGCCGGGGGCGCCTTGAAGAGCCCTGAAGCGAGCGAGCGGCGGGCCCGGACCGCCAACCTCGGCCGCCCAGAGCCCCACAGGACAAGCACCAGGCGCGCGCCTCCCCGGCCCGCGGCGCTCACCTTGCGCGTGCAGTGCTCACACTTCATCTGGAGCGCGGCGGGCGGGAGGCCGGGCGCCTCAGCCTCAGGGAAGCACCGGGAGACTGGGACACCACTGCCCGCCGCCCGCGGCCCTTTGTTGTCCTCCCCCGACGCGGCCTCACCCCCAACGGCCGCGCTCGGCCAATGAGAGCACCGGGAGAGGACAAGCCGCACCCCTGGGCCAATAGGATTCCCCACCCTTACGGCTTTGCCTAGGCCAATGACAGTGTCGGGAAGGGGCGGGCCAGGCCCCAGAGCCAATCGGAGCGCGCGGGGCGGACCGCAGGCTCACTCCACGTACGGCGCCGGGGGGACCGGGTCCTTGCGCCGGTTTCCGCTTCTCGTGGGTCCTGCGGCGGCGGCGGCGGCCAAGCGGCGTTCACCAGGGAGTCGGTGAGCGCGCGGACTGTCCCGAGGCCAAGCTGGGGCCGTTCCAGGGTGCTCGGTCCGGTGGTCACGGGGCCTGGAGGCCCCTGGGCCCGCGGAGGCCGCGGCCGGGCTCTGTCAGCCAGCTCGGCGTTGGACACTCGCCTTACTCGCGGCTCCTAACGGGGCGGGCCGGGGGCACAGCCCTCGTCCGCCGCCATTGCCACTTGACGTCGTGTCACGTAGGCTCGGCGGAGTAGCAGCGCGCATGCGCGGCCTGCCTGTCAGTAACCACGTGATGGACCCGGAAGCCCGAGGGCAGATGCTAAATGATGGCCATTTGACATTTGCGTGTGTTCACTATGGATAGTTTTACCAAGTACATTGATTTGGGCCCTTACAGCTTACAAAGTAAAGATAACACTTACTCCTCCAAGAAATTGATTTCAGCTAAGCAAAACATTGATACAGGGCTATAATGGAAGTGTTGGACTCATAAACGTTTTATGAAATCAGTGTGTGTGTATTACAGAAATCAGAAATGAGAAGTAAGAACATGTCTGGGAGAGTGTGACATAAGAAAAATAACTTGTAGGCGTATTTAACAGACAGCAGCAGTTCTCAGGATTCCCCATGTTAGAGCCTTCCTTCCTGTCCTCTGAGAAATGAAAATGAAATCCAAAGACCCCCAACTGACTACACGAACCCCCTACTGGCTAAGGAGATCCCAGGGTTGCCTTGAAGGCAGTTCTCAGCCATGACAGATGGGAGGTGAGACACCTGTTATTAAGGCCAACCCTTGGCTAACTACCATTAGGTTTTCTTGGCTAAGAGCTTAACGGAAACCAGCGCTTTCGAAAGACTCCACCGCTGATAACAACTCTCTCATTTGCAGTTTCGGCCCAATTGACCAGTATTCCTTACTGATAAGAGACACTGACCATGGAGTGGTTCTGGTGAGATGACATGACCCTCGTGAAGGGGCCTGAAGCTTCATTGTGTTTGTGTATGTTTCTCTCTTCAAAAATATTCATGACTTCTCCTGTAGCTTGATAAATATGTATATTTACACACTGCACCTCATAGATTCCTGTTCCCTTTGCCCCTCCCTGGAAGTGTCTGTTTCTGGCTTCTGGCCAGAGGCAGTGCTTCCCTGTCTGTCAGAATGGCCACCCTGCAGGCTGAAACCCTTTATGAGAAGTAAAGCTCTCCTTTCCAGATTTATGAATCTCATCATTCTTCAGCTTGCCATTGCCCATCGGGTTCTTCCTGCCCACTGCACAGACAAAAAGTCAATTCATCAAGATTGCAGCAGGCCGGGAAAAGAGTTTAATTGACACCTGGCAGGCCACACAGGAGACAGTTACTACTCAAATCAGTCTCTCCAAAGGCTCAGCAGTTAGGAGTTTGTTTTTTGTTTTTTTGTTTTTGTTTTTGAGACGGAGTCTCACTCTGTCACCCAGGTTGGAGTGCAGTGGCACAATCTCGGCTCACTACAACCTCCACCTCCCAGGTTCAAGCGATTCTCCTACCTCAGCCTCCTAAGTAGCTGGGACGACAGGCACACGCCACCACGCCTGGCTAATTTTTGTATTTTTTAGTAGAGATGGGGTTTCACCATAATGGCCAGGCTGGTCTTGAACTCCTGACCTTGTGATCCGCCTGCCTCGGCCTCCCAAAGTGCTGGGATTACAGGCATGAGCCACCACGCCTGGCCGCAGTTAGGGTTTTTATGGACAATTTGGTGGGCAGGGGGCTAGGGAATGGATGCTGCTGATTGACTGGGAATGAAATCAAAAGGGTGTGTGGAAAACGGTCCTCAAGCACTGAGTCTGCCTCTGGGTGGGGCCACAGAAACCAATTGAGTCCTGAGTAGCAGGTTGGGGTGGGTTCACTCTGAAAAACATCTCAAAAAGCCATTCTTAGGTCCTGCAATACTGATATTATCTATAGGTGCAATTCGGGAAGTTGCAAATTTTGTGACCTCTGGCCACATGAGTCCTGAGCAGTGAGGGACTGTAGAAACTAGGCCTGCATTTTAGCAGAGTTCAGGCCACTCCCACAATCCTAACCTTGTGGCCTTTCATTAGCTTTACAAAGGCAATTTCAGCCCCAGAAGTGGGAGGTGATAGTTTTAGGAAGGGACTATTATCATCCTTGTTTCAAGGTTAAACTGTAAATTCCTCCCAAAGCTCCTAAAATTAGCTTGGCTTATGCCCAGGAACAACTGGACAGCTTGGATGTCCAAAGGAAGACGGAATTAACTGTGTGAAATTTCTCTGTCTTTTTTTTTTGAGACAGGGTCTCACTCTGTCACCCAGGCTGGAGTGCAGTGGCGTGATCACAGCTCACTGCAGCCTCAACCTCCTTGGATCAAGTAATCCTTCCACCTCAGCCCCGCGGGGTAGCTGGGACTACAGGCTCACACCACTGTGCATGGCTAAGTTTTAAATTTTTTGTAGATACAGGGTCTCCCCATGTTGCCCAGGCTGTTCTTGAATTCCTGGGCCCAAGTGATCCATCTCAGCCTCCCAAAGTGCTGGGATTACAGGTGTGAGCCACTGCACCCAGCCTCTATCACTGCCTTAATCTTTGCAAAGGCAGTTTCAAGTTGACACTTCAAAGTTGAGCTCAGGCATGGTGGCTCATGCCTGTAATCCCAGCACTTTGGGAGGCCGAGGCAGGCGGATCACTTGAGGTCAGGAGTTTGACACCAGCCTGGCCAACATGCTGAAACCCCATCTCTACTAAGAATACAAAAATTAGCCAGGCATGGTGGTGTGTGCCTGTAATCACAGCTACTTGGGAGGCTGAGGTAGGAGAATCGCTTGAACCTAGGAGGTGGAGGTTGCAGTGAGCCGAGATCGCACCACTGGACTCCAGCCTGGGCGACAGAGTGAGACTTCATCTCAAAAAAAAAAAAATTATTATTTATAGTTTTCATTTTGTATAGCTTTTTACAAATGCAACAATGAAATTCTGGAAGTCTTAACCCTCTAGATTACTCAAATTCAAGTCAGCATCTCTCAGAAAATATCTCCCCTCAACTTCAGTTTAAATAAAAGGATAATTTTAGGTTGTCATTTGTATAGCTTTTTTGTTAATGTTTTACAAACATAACTGGCCAGGTGTGGTGGCTCACGCCTGTAATCCCAGCACTTTGGGAGGCTGAGGTGGGTGGATCACCTGAGGTCAGGTGTTTGAGACCAGCCTGGTCAACATGGTGAAACCCCATCTCTACTAATAATAGAAAAATTTGCTGTGTGTGATAGTGGGTGCCTGTAATCACAGCTACTCAGGAGGCTGAGGCAGGAGAATCACTTGAACCTGGGAGGCAGAGGTTGCAGTGAGCCAGCACCATGCCATTGCACTCCAGCCTGGGCAACAAGAGCAAAACTCCATCTCTAAAATACAAAAAAAAAAAAATGAAATAAAAACATAAGTGTAATATGTTTGAAAGAACAAATTACGGCCGGGTGTATTGGCTCATGCGTGTAATCCCAGAACTTTGGGAGGCCAAGGTGGGAGGATTGCCTGAGCTCAGGAGTTCGCAACCGGCCTGGACAACATGGTGAAACCCCATCTCTAATAAAATACAAAAAATTAGCTGGGCATGGTGGCACGCACCTGTAGTCCCAGCTACTCAGGAGACTGAGGCAGGAGAATTGCTTGAACCTGGGAGGCAGAGGCTGCAGTGAGCCGAGATTGCATGACTGTAGCCTGGGCAACAGGGCGAGACTCCGTCTCAAAAAAAAAAAAAAAAAAGAACAAATTATAATCACTTAATTTTTTTTTTATCAAATAGCCAATGTCCAGTTTTCCCCATTGTCTCATATTTTTTTACAGTTTGTTTAAATCAGGATCTAAATAAGGTCTAGTATGTTTTAATAGTCTATATTACAATTGGTTCATATGTTTCTTAAGTCTCTTTTTCTATGAACTTACGGAAGACATTGAAAAGTCTCTCTTTAAAAATAAAAACTTGTTCTCCCTCTCCCTCTCCTCTCTTCTCTCTTCTCTCTTCCCACAGTCTCCCTCTGTTGCCGAGGCTGGACTGTACTGCCGTGATCTCGGCTTGCTGCAACCTCCCTGCCTCGGGCTCCCATGATTCTCCTGCCTCAGCCTGCCGAGTGCCTGGGATTGCAGGCATGCGCCACCACGCCTGACTGGTTTTTGTATTTTTGGTGGAGATGGGGTTTCGCTGTGTTGGCCGGGCTGGTCTCCAGCTCCTGACCTTGAGTGATCTGCCCGCCTCGGCCTCCCGAGGTGCTGGGATTGCAGACGGAGTCTCTCTCACTCAGTGCTGCCCAGGCTGGAGTGCAGTGGCGTGATCTCGGCTCGCTACAACCTCCACCTCCCAGCCGCCTGCCTTAGCCTCCCAAAGTGCTAAGATTACAGCCTCTGCCCAGCCGCCACCCTGTCTAGGAAGTGAGGAGTGTCTCTGCCCGGCCACCCATCGTCTGGGATGTGAGGAGCGCCTCTGCCTGGCTGCCCCGTCTGGGATGTGAGGAGCGCCTCTGCCCGGCCGCCACCCTGTCTGGGAAGTGAGGAGAGCCTCTGCCCGGCCGCCACCCTGTCTAGGAAGTGAGGAGAGCCTCTGCCCGGCTGCCACCCCGTCTTGGATGTGAGGAGCGCCTCTGCCCGGCCGCCCCGTCTGGGAGGTGAGGGGCGCCTCTGCCCGGCCACCCCATCTGGGAGCCTTTCTGCAGGTGTACCCAACAGCTCCGAGGAGACAGTGACCATCGAGAACGGGCCATGATGACGATGGCGGTTTTGTCGAAAAGGAAAGGGGGAAATGTGGGGAAAAGAAAGAGAGATCAGACTGTTACTGTGTCTGTGTAGAAAGAAGCAGACCAAGGAGACACCATTTTGTTCTGTACTAAGAAAAATTCTTCTGCCTTGGGATGCTGTTAATCTATGACCTTACCCCCAACCCCGTGCTCTCTGAAACCTGTGCTGTGTCAACTCAGGGTTAAATGGATTAAGGGCGGTGCAAGATGTGCTTTGTTAAACAGATGCTTGAAGGCAGCATGCTCGTTAAGAGTCATCACCACTCCCTAATCTCAAGTACCCAGGGACACAAACACTGTGGAAGTCCGCAGGGACCGCTGCGTAGGAAAACCAGAGACCTTTGTTCAAGTGTTTATCTGCTGACCTTCTCTCCACTATTGTCCTATGACCCTGCCACATCCCCCTCTCTGAGAAACACCCAGGAATGATTGATAAATACTAAAATAAATAAATAAATAAAATAAAAACTTGATTTTGACATAACTTGAGGCGTACTTAGAAGTGGCAGAGTTCAAGCTGGGCATGATGGCTCATGCCTGTAATCCCAGCACTTTGGGCAGCCAAGGCAGGTGGATCATCTGAAGTCAGGGGTTTGAGACCAGCCTGGCCAGCATGGCAAAAGCCTCTCTCTACTAAAAATAAAAAAATTAGGTGGACGTGGTGGTGTGTGCCTGTAGTCCCAGCTACTTGAGAGGCTGAGGCAGGAGAATTGCTTGAACCGGGGAGGCGGAGGTTGCAATGAGCTGAGATGGTGCCACTGCACCCCAGCCTGGGCAACAGAGTGGGACTTTGTCCAGAAAAAAAAAAAAAAAAAAGTTGCAGAGTTCCTGATCTTAAAGTTGTCATTTTTCAAATTTGTAGGTTCTATCCATATCCTTCTCTTTGTATATATCATTTTAAAAATCAGGTCATTTGCCTGTAGGATTTCCCATGTTGTCAAAAAGAGTCAAACTGAAAAATATTTTAAGAGATTCTGAACCAAATATGAGTGACCAAGGGCCAGCGACACAGCCCTTAGGAGATCCTAAGAACACGTACCCAAGGTGGTTAGGCTACATACATTTTTGGAAGACATAAGACAGTCAATACACGTAGATGTACATTGGTTTGGTTCAGAAAGGTGTGGCAACTTGAAGTGGGGGGGCTTCCAGGTCATAGGTAGATTCAAAGATTTTCTATCTGGCAATTGGTTGAAAAGGTTAAGTTACTGTCTAAAGACCTAGAATCAACAGAAGGGAGTTTTTAGGTTAAGATAAGGGTTTGTGGAGACCAAGATTTCCATTAAGCAGAGGAAGTCTCCAGGTAGCAGGCTTCAGAGAGAATAGATTGTAAGTGCTTCTTATCAGAGTTCTCCCTGAAGCAGGAAAAAGACCTGGAAAGGAACGGGGATTCGCTACAGAATGTAGATTTTCTTCACAAGGGACAGCTTTGCAGGGCTATTTCAAAATAAGTCGAAGAAATTTAATGTGGGGTAAAGTACTTCCATTTCTTCCAAGGCTTCCTATCTGTCATGTAGTCCTATACCAGAGTCAGGCTGGAATTTGGCGTCATTGCTACAGAGTCTACTTTGTCAACTTCAAGATCTGTTTTTGTTTTGTTTTGTTATTTTTTATTGAGATGGAGTCTCACTCTGTTGCCCAGGCTGGAGAGCAGTGGCACGATCTCGGCTCACTGCAAGCTCTGCCTCCCGGGTTCACGCCATTCTCCTGCCTCAGCCTCCCGAGTAGCTGGGACTATGAGCACCCGCCACCACGCCCAGCTAATTTTTTTGTGTTTTTAGTAGAGATGAGGTTTCACTGTGTTAGCCAGGATGGTCTCAATCTCCTGACCTCGTGATCTGCCCACCTTGGCCTCCCAAAGTGCTGGGATTACAGGCGTGAGCCACCGCACCTGGCCACCTCAAGATCTGTTTTAATGTGAATGCTGGTCAGCTGTGTGCCTGAATTCCAAAAGGGAGGAGGGAGTGAGGTATGTCTGTCTCCCCCTTCCCATCACTGCCTGAGCTAGTTTTTCAGGATAACTTGGGAATGCTCTTGGCCAAGCGGAAGGGTCCATTCAGATGGTTGAGGTTTCGAATTGCTGACTGTATCCTTGTAGAATCCTTTAGTACAGTCTTGTCTTCCACATTTCCAGTAATTCACTCTAGAAGCTTGTTCACATTCAGGTTAAATTTTTTCTGGCAAGACTACTTCATAGTGTTGTGTACTTCTGATATCTAACTGACCTTTTTGCGATGTTAATTAGCAGTCATTGATGACATTGCCTAGGTCCGTTAATTCATAGGGTGATGTTTTAATCCTACTGTTTCTTCTTCATTTATTAGCGGGAAAACTTCTATAATGAGAAATTCTTCTCATGCAGTATTTGGTTACTCTGCTGTAAATTTCATAAAGGCAGGACAAATGCTTGATGCTTTCCTTTTATTAACCAGGCCACAAACTGGGGTGAGCTTACCAGCATCCTCCAAAGGTGAACAGAGTTAAAAAATACATTATTATGAATTACAGACTGGAGCATCTGAGGATTTTAAATTCACTCGAATTCCTGTTCTTATTCATGCTCAAATCTTCTTTTTTGGCAATGAGAACCGCTTCAGTTTCGCTTCTATGTTAGCAAGACGTTCATAGTCCTTGGTAAGTTCTTTGCTGTCGGATACGTTTCCCCGCACGTTTCTTTTTTTCAAGAAAACTGGCTTCTTTAGCAGGAACCACCCGCCTCCTCCTGCGGCTCCGCCCGGATCCCGGAAATCCGCTCGGCTCCGCCCCATCCAGGAAATGCTTGCGGCCCCGCCCCAATCCCGTAAGCGCGCGCGGCCCCGCCCCCAATCCCGGAAGCGCGCGCGGCCCCGCCCCCGAAAGTCGGCTCGGCTCCGCTCCAATCCCGGAAGTGCGCGCGGCCCCGCCCCCGCCGGTTCGCGTCTCTCTGCTGCGGCGCGGGGACCGCTGTGCTCTCGGTAGGCGGCTGGGCTGGGTGGGCTCCGCACTTCCTTCCCGCTCCGTGCCGCGCGTCCCGGCACCCTTAGGCCCACTCCGGGAGGGGTCTGCGTCCTGGGCCCGCCTGCCGGCTGTTCCGTGTCCCGCCGTGCCCGTCGCGGGCGGCCTCGCGCCTGTTCCGCTGCAGGTTGGCCCCGGCGGCGGGAGCGCCCCCGATCCGGACAAAGAAACGAGCGCTCGGTGCGACTAGCGGCGCGGGCGGCTTTGCCAGCGCGCGTGTGCTTGTGTCCGCGAGTGTGCGTGTGTGTGTGCATTTGGATGTGGAATGCCGGGTGTTTCGGGAGCAATGAGGCAACTGAGGCCCGGGAGGGAGCCCAGTCATATACCAGCATCTAGGATTGGTTTGTGTGATTTGAACCCACTATTTTTTATTTTTTTGAGACACGGTCTCACTCTGTCACCCAGGCTGGAGTCCAGTGGCACGATTTCTGCTCACTGCAGCCTCCACCTCCCGGCCTCAGGTGATCCTCCCAGCTCAGCCTCCTGAATAACTAGGACCACAGGCGTACACCACCACACCGGGCTGTTTTATGTATTTTCTGTGGAGACGGGGTTTCGCCACGTTGCCCTGGCTGGTCTTGAACTCCGTGACTCAAACAATCCGCACGCCTCGTCCTCCCAAAGTGCTGAGATTACAGGCCTGAGCCACCGCGCCCAGCCTGAACCCCCTACTTAATGTCAGAAATTTGATTTGACTTCACAGGGAAAGCCCTGAGAAACTACCAGAACGGGGTCCCTGGGGCCAGTGTTGGGAGCGTACGGTGAAGTGGCAGGGCTGCTGCGCCCGTGCGGAACTCCGCTGTGGAAGATTAGCCCCTTTGGTGACTCGTCGGTTCTGGCCGCTTTGGGACCCTCTACTGTGCAGTCTGAACTTTCAGCAGGTGGAGGAGGGCAGAGAGAGAGCTGAGATCGTTGGTCCATGCCAGTGCGAGAGCCAGTACGGCCGGAAGCCATGATGGGACTTTCAGTTCCTTTCTTGGTGGAGGCCAGCACAGGGGAGAGGGGGTGCCCACAGATGCTAGAAGCTTAAAGGCTGCTGGGGGCTAGCGGCCTCAGGACATAAGGTTTCCAGACAGGACGGGGCAGGTGGTGATGCAGCTGTAGCTCGTGAGTCTGAGCGGGAAACAGCCCCCGCGCAGTCGGTGTCGCTGTGAACGGAAAAGGGCCTTCCTTACACAGGAAACGGGGTCTCTGGGGGATCCAGTGACGTGCCCAACCACAGAGACCAGGTGAGACTGGCTGATGGTGTCTGGGGCTGCAGGTGACTTAGTTGGGGGACCTGCTCTTGGCCTCCAGACTGGGCCTGATGGCGTGGGCGCCTGCCTGTGTGCAGGCCCAAGGGCTCAGCTGCCTCTGTCTGTTCCCAGACCCCTCCTCCTGTAGAGAGTGGTGCTGCCCTCTCGGGATGTACCTGCAGGTGGAGACCCGCACCAGCTCCCGCCTCCATCTGAAGAGGGCTCCAGGCATCCGGTCCTGGTCCCTGCTGGTTGGTAAGGCTCTCCACGTCCCTCCCCAGAACCCCAGAACCGGAAGCCTGACTTTCAAAAAGGATGAAAATGAAACAAAATATTTTCTCTTTTTTCTATTACCTTGAAATCTAATGGCTATTTTGTTTCTTTGTATCCATTCAAATTCTATCTGGTGTACTTGGTTTTACAGATAATGCATGTCTGTTTTGTCCCCTTTTAATCACTAACACCCAGCGTATTTAATATACTCTATGAGCTTTTCTGAGGTCACCATATTTTCCTTTGTACTTGTTTTGAACCACGTGATGGGTGATCGTGGGTTCCCATGTCTCCTCCTCCCTGGTCCTCAGACCTCTTCGTAGGACTCACAGTCCACTAACCACGTGATGGGTGATCGTGGGTTCCCATGTCTCCTCCTCCCTGGTCCTCAGACCTCTTCGTAGGACTCACAGTCCACTAACCACGTGATGGGTGATCGTGGGTTCCCATGTCTCCTCCTCCCTGGTCCTCAGACCTCTTCGTAGGACTCACAGTCCACTAACCACGTGATGGGTGATCGTGGGTTCCCATGTCTCCTCCTCCCTGGTCCTCAGACCTCTTCGTAGGACTCACAGTCCACTAACCACGTGATGGGTGATCGTGGGTTCCCATGTCTCCTCCTCCCTGGTCCTCAGACCTCTTCGTAGGACTCACAGTCCACTAACCACGTGATGGGTGATCGTGGGTTCCCATGTCTCCTCCTCCCTGGTCCTCAGACCTCTTCGTAGGACTCACAGTCCACTAACCACGTGATGGGTGATCGTGGGTTCCCATGTCTCCTCCTCCCTGGTCCTCAGACCTCTTCGTAGGACTCACAGTCCACTAACCACGTGATGGGTGATCGTGGGTTCCCATGTCTCCTCCTCCCTGGTCCTCAGACCTCTTCGTAGGACTCACAGTCCACTTAGCCTCCCGTCCTCCATCGCTACCCACCAGTAGGGTCCTGTACCCTTGGGGACAGCTGCACTTGTGTTGACGGGACACCGTGTGAGGAGTGGTGCTGGCTGTACCTCAGCAGCTGGGGCCCACCTTTTTTGTGACACGCCACAGCCTCCTGTGTGTTTTGCATGACACGCTGTGTTGTAATTTCTTTGTGCACAGTCTTCAGGCCTCACCACGTGCTACTGGAGTAACACCCGTGTCAGTTATGGAGCCTCACACAGCAGATGTGTCTAGTAAATACTGTGAATAGCGTATACTGTGTTTTGCTTTTGTTTTCTTTAGTAATGAGGTCTCGTTATGTTGCCCAGGCTGGTCTCAAACTCCTGAGCTCAAGCGCTCTTCCTTCCTCGGCCTCCCAGGTAGCTGGGATTACAAGTGTGTGATACTACGCCCAGCTATACTGCATTATTGAACCAGCTTCCTGGCTGTTTCCCCTACTCTGAACCTGGTGGTCTGTAACCCCTGACCACAGCTGTTCCTACAGTGGGAAGGGCCTGCTCATCAGGGGCTGTGGCTCCTGGTCCCGCTGCACCAGGGAGGTGGGGTCTTACCGGGATCAATAGGCAGGCAGTCACTTTCTCTTCATAGGAATCTTGTCGATTGGCCTGGCTGCTGCCTACTACAGCGGAGGTAAAGCACCCCCCGCCCCACCCCCCCATGACTGTCTCAGCTGTTTGGAAAACAGAGAAAAGAAGGAAAAACTGTCATTTGTGACTGTCCATGGGGCGGCCTTTAGGATCGGCACCTCTGCCCCTTGATTGCTGGCGGGCACCGCGCCCTCCATGCGCTGCTGTTCTTCCGCACGCCCATCCTGCCCAGCGCTCAGCCCACATTTCACTTCTTTTTTTTTTTTTTTTGAGACGGAGTCTCGCTCTGTCACCCAGGCTGGAGTGCAGTGGCGGGATCTCGGCTCACTGCAAGCTCCGCCTCCCGGGTTCACGCCATTCTCCTGCCTCAGCCTCCCAAGTAGCTGGGACTACAGGCGCCCGCCACTACGCCCGGCTAATTTTTTGTATTTTTAGTAGAGACGGGGTTTCACCGTTTTAGCCGGGATGGTCTCGATCTCCTGACCTCGTGATCCGCCCGCCTCGGCCTCCCAAAGTGCTGGGATTACAGGCGTGAGCCACTGCGCCCGGCCACATTTCACTTCTTAAGTCTTCTGTGTTTTTGGGTCATCAAATATTCCCGGAGAGATGCTCTTGAGGATCTAAGATCCAGCTGTGGGATGAGGTGTACTTCCCACCCTGCCACAATCACTGGGCCTGCCCAGACGGGCAGAGGCCCTGTGCGCCCCACCTGCCTCTCTCACGTGGACTCTGGGGGTCAGAGCTGGGTGGGGTGTGCCGCGTGTGGGTCCTGAGTGGCCAGGGCAGGGTCAGCAGCACAGGAAGCTGCCCAGGGGGTCCTTGCAAGCGTGGGCTCTGGCCAGCGTCTGGGGGAGGCTGTGCTAGGCGGGGCCTCCCGTGGGCATGTCCCTGGAGCTCACAGGCTGGCGCCCTATGCCCATCTCCAGATAGCCTGGGCTGGAAGCTCTTCTACGTCACAGGCTGCCTGTTTGTGGCTGTGCAGAACTTGGAGGACTGGGAGGTAAGGCCGGCTCGGGTGCGGGACAGAGTCCAGGGCTGTTCAGCTCCTGGGTTTTTTGCAATGGGAATGAAAGGAGGAGGAAGGGCCCTGGGTGGCCTAGCGCCTCCCCGTCCTGAAGCGTTGGTCCCTGCTTGGAGGTCTCCGTTCATCAGGACATGGCCCCTGCACTCATCTGGGACCGTTCTTGGCCAAGGAATTCCCCGAAGGCATTTTTCTCTTAGAAGCTCTCCATGACTATCTTCACCAAAGTGCTTTCTTCCCAGAGTTGCCACAATGGGATGCGAGTCAGCTTTCCCCGTGGCCGGCCCTCCCACCTCGGAGCCCCTCATGAGTCCTTTCAGCCTGGCCCAGTGCTGCCCTCTGACCTCCATGCCCTCGTTTGCTGGTTCCACTGCCTCCCTGCACTTGTTTTGCCTGCAGGGTGGAGCAAGCGCCTGCTGCACCTGCCCACCTCTCCATTTCCCAACAGGAGTCGGGTTGGCTGCCGATATCCGGCTCTGACAGAGCAGCACCTGTGGCTTCAGGGGTTTGGGTTCTGACTGGGAGGGTCCCCAGCCCCCCTTCTTGAGTGTCCACCCTGGTGAGGGTGGGGGTGAGGCCCCAGCGGCCACGGGGCCCCCGTTCCTGGAGGTTCATGGTGGTCAGTGCATGTCGGTTTCCAGGAAGCCATCTTCGACAAGAGCACAGGGAAGGTTGTTTTGAAGACGTTCAGCCTCTACAAGAAGCTGCTGACTCTTTTCAGAGCTGGCCACGACCAGGGTGAGTCGTGGGGAGCGTGGGGACATGGGACACGGCCACAGAGGCGGCGCACTTGGGCGTCTGGGTGACTCACGGGGCCTAGAGGGGGGCCTGGAAGTGCCTTTGGTCCAAGCTCACCTGCTTGGTGACCAGGGTTGTGTCCTGCCCGCTGGAAGCAGGATCCCACGGATACGCCCCACCTGCTCACCTGCTCAGCAGGGTCCTAGAGCCTCCTGGGTTCTTTAGAGGTTTGGCCCCTGGGGAGAGTGGGAGGAGCAGGGGTCTGAGGAGCAGGGGTCTGGCAGAGCAGGGGTCTGAGGAGCAGGGGTCTGGCCCACCCGGGCTCGGGCAGCCTCTGTTTAGCTGCATTCTCCCGTCTGCCTGGCAGCCACTTGTCCGCAGGTGCAGTCTGGCCCCAGCGGCAGGTCACAGGACGGGGCAGGGAGAGCCATGGCAGCCCGTGGGCGTTCTGGAGTGGGGCCACCTGGCTTCTTGCGGGCCTTGGCGCTGCTCCAGCTTTCCTGTGGGTTCTACTGGGCCTGCAGTAGGGGCTGGATGGTCCGAGGAACTCCCCACCCTTGAGCCTGGGCACTGGCCCAGCTGTGGTCAGTACCAGTTTCCTGTAGATGCTGCCGCACAGACAGACAGAGGCCCCGGGGTCCGGCCGCCCATGCATAGCCCCAGAGGGGACAGATTCTGGCGACCAGAGTTGCTGGGCAGTCTTGGGTTTAGTGCCGCAATGCTGCACTTCTGACAGGCTGCTTCCTGGATCCCTGCAGGGACCTGGCCAGGGCATTGGCCCCAGGTCACCTGTGGCTTTGGGGAGAGCAGTTGCAGGGCTGGCCTGGGCTGTGGGAGGCAGCTGTGCCGTTTTCTGACAGCCATTGGGACCGCCCCAGTACCCGAAGAGGTGGCTGCCCTGAGTTGCCACGGGAAACTGCAGGGTGGCCCTGGCTCAGCAGCCAACCTTGGGGAGACCTGGAGGAACAGTGCAGTGTAAAGATGGCCTCGCGCTGAGCGGGTCCCCGCAGTCGGCACTCCCAGGAGAACCAGCGGGCTGTGCATGTGACCCGCCAGCCTGCACCGCGGGCACGTCCTTCCCACCCAGAGGACCCTGCACTGCCTTCAGGGCCACAGCAGTCCTCCGGGGCCCAGCCTCAGGCAGGAAACAGCAAATGCTTTTGCTGCCAACCAAGTGTGGCTGTCGCTTTCGATGATGCCAGTGGCGCTGGTGCGACTGCCGGGCAGCATGTGTGGGCGGGGATGGCTCGGCCACTGACCGTCTCCCCGCAGTGGTGGTCCTGCTCCATGATGTCCGTGATGTGAGCGTGGAGGAGGAGAAGGTCCGGTACTTCGGGAAAGGCTACATGGTGGTGCTCCGGCTTGCGACGGGCTTCTCCCACCCCCTCACGCAGAGTGCAGTCATGGGCCACCGCAGGTAAGGCTGTGGGACTTTGATCTGGCCGGAGCTGCAGCCGTAGCAGGTCACTCCCGTTCCTGACTGCCCAGAGCTATGGGGCAGCTGGGAGAGGAGATGAGTTTGTGGACGGGACACAGAGGGGCCCACGGGAAGCGTGTGCAGGCTCAGGGGCAGCCCCACTGTGACGGGGAGGCTGGGAGCAGGCCAGGAAGTGCTGGGTCCAGTTTGGGAGCTCCAGGGTCTGCGGGAGGTAGGTGGTCGAGGAGGAGACTGCTGTGGGGTCTCACGGTGCCCTATGCCGAGGTGACCTGACCTTCCTCCCGTTGCCGGCCTCGCCCAGTGATGTGGAAGCCATCGCCAAGCTCATCACCAGCTTCCTGGAGCTGCACTGCCTTGAGAGCCCCACAGAGCTGTCTCAGAGCAGCGACAGTGAGGCCGGTGACCCTGCAAGCCAGAGCTGACAGCCCCACTGTGCCTGAGCCCGTGCACCGCCCACAGGACCCATGGCACATTCCCGGTGTGCCTGAGCCCGTGCACCGCCCACAGGACCCGTGGCACATTCCCGGTGTGCCTGAGCCCGTGCACCGCCCACAGGACCCGTGGCACATTCCCGGTGTGCCTGAGCCCGTGCACCGCCCACAGGACCCGTGGCACATTCCCGGTGTGCCTGAGCCCGTGCACCGCCCACAGGACCCGTGGCCTTGGCTTCAGTTGGTGCCTCCAGCCGAGTTGGCCTATTGCCTGCTCATGCTGCTGCTTGCACACTGCATGAAACAGCAGGCCAGACCAGGACATCCAGACTTTCTCCATCGTGAGGCCTGGGCCTGCCTTTCTGCAGCCGGAGGTCTCGCCAGCCCTGGACTCCTGCTTTGGGCCACAGCAAGACCTCGGGCGAGTGGAGAGGCGGGGCCAGGCCGGGCCCTTGTGGGTGCTGATGCTGCATGTTGTCCCCGACACAGCGTCCTCTCCCTGGTGGACATCCCCAGCGGTCAGGTGCTTCCCCAAGGGCAGTGAGGGGTGAACATCCAGGGCCTACCTGGCTGTGCACGCTGCAGCCACACTGTGGAAGCTGCCCCTCCCCGAGGACCCGCCTCCCTTGCTGATGCCAGGATCTCGGCGCATAGACCACTCTGCCCCAGCGGTCGTCACAGAAAGGTCTCTCTGTTCCTCACACTCAGCTTCAGCATAAGCTGTGAGGCCAGAAAAAAGGTCAGCTCTTCTAGTATCGTGCAGTGCTTAAAAACCGGGAGCTCCAGCCGGGCGCAGTGGTTCATGCCAGTAATCCCAGCACTTTCGGAGGCCGAGGTGGGAGGATTGCTTGAGGCCAGGAGTTCAAGACCAGCCTGGGCAACACAGCAAGATCCTGTCTTTGTAAAAAAACTAACCAAACAGGAAAAACTGGGAGATTTTCTGCAGAAATTGAGTTCCAGCCTCTCTCGAACCTGGGAAGACCTGGCAGGAGGGGGCTGGGCTCTCGGCTACAGACTTCTCCCCACCCCGTAGGAGCTGAACGCCAACCATCCTGACCCGCCAGTGCTCTTGGTCTCCTGAGTGTACCCAGGTCCTCCCAGGTGCGGTGTGCACCGAGCGCGCCTGGCCTGATGCCCTGGCCTGTGAGCTGGGGACTCCTGGGCCCTGTGAGCCCCTAGGCGGCAGGCCCAGGAATGGCTGGGTAGGACAGGGAACACCTTTGCCCCACGTCTGGCTGTGACCTCGGTGAAAGCCGACAGGAGAGAGATGGGACCCTCCTCCTCAGTAGTGGCTGCCAGTCCCTCGTTGCAGGACAGGGTCATCATAACCATAAATAACCCTTCACGTGTCACCTGCAGCTTCCACTCTTTATTTCCAAAGAATCAGTGTCACACATGCAGATCACAAAGCGGGTCTCCCTGTGCTGCTTCCTTCTGTGTTTTCTAGTCTCTCCCCCAGGGGCTGCCCAGGGCCCTCAGGAACTGAGTGTGGGCAAGACACTGCTGGGCCAGAGGGCACGACGCCCACGTGGGCCCGTATTGCCCAGGCCATTTGGCAGTGCAGAGCCCCCCCAGCCTCCAGCAGGAGCCCCCTGGCATGAGCTCTCCCCTCAGGGGTCCTGAGCAACGTCCCTGCCAGGGCTGGTGGGTGGCAGCGGGGGGGCAGACACCTCGCTGAGGTCCTGCAGCAGAGCTTGCAGCCGCTGCAGGCTGGGGTGCACGTTTTCCTCCAGCCACTCCTCCACGGCATCCGGGTAGAAAGCCAGCTGCAGGGCAGCCTCCAGCTCCTGCACGAGGGTGCTCCACTGTGCCAGGAGGCTGCAGGTGAGGGCGCCATGAACGCACAGTCTGCACACTTGGGACTTGCCCTCAGCCCCATGGTCAGTACTGCCCTGTGCCTCAGTTCACCTGTGAAATGGGGCTACTGACCCTACCTCATCGGCATGTCGGGAGGAACAAGTCGGTGACAGCTGCACATCTGAGACCAGAGGGCCTTTTACAACTAGGGGCTCACCCTCTGCTCTCTAGTTGAGGGACATGTCAGCAACAGCAGCAGTTCTCAGGGAACCCATGGCTGCACGGCCTATAAGAGCCCAGGGCCTCACCTGAGCGCTGCGGGCTGGATGTGCTGAACCATGACCGGGTGGATGAGCTTCCGCTGGCGGTGGTAGGGGCTGAACCAGCCAGTGACATACCTGGGGCAAATCCACATAGGGGTGTGCCGCGGGCTACCAAGGCAGCCGTGGGGCGGCTTTGCAGTAATACAGAAAATGTTTAAGAATGGGGTTGACATTTCTAAGTCTTATGTCCCCCAGAAAGTCTTTGTGAAGGATGAGGCTGCCTCCTCCTGTGCCTGGGAGTGGGGGGACTTGTGAACCTGCCCCTCACCAGCACCTGTCCCTACCCCCCTCACCCACACCTGCCTCCCACCCACACCTGCCCCATGCCTTCCCGCTTACCCACACCTGCCCCTCAGCCGCACCTGCCCCATGCCTGCCTGCTCACCTGCACCTGCCCCTCACCCACACCTGCACGCTCACACCTGCCTGTTCACCTGCACCTGCCTCCCACCCACACCTGCCCCTCACCCGCACCTGCCCCATGCCTGCCCGCTCACCTGCACCTGCCCCTCACCCGCACCTGCCTCCCACCCACACCTGCCCCCTCACCTGCACCCGCCCCATGCCTGCCCCCCTCACCCACACCTGCCCCTAACCCACACGCTCACCTGTTGCCCTCCAGCAGCGCATCCACAGAGCTGCGCAGATGGAGGCTGACTTGTGTGACAAGGGCAAGGATGTTGCTGCCAGGGAAGGAGCCGGCCCCCTCCCTGCGGAGAGCCCTGCTGAGAACAGCTGTCTCCACGGGCGGGGGAAGGGGAGGGGAAGAAGGGGACAGGGAGGGCTGCAGGGTGCTTGCCTAACAGGGTCCGTTTTTTCCAGGCTGGAAATCCCGAGAAGGTTCTCCACTTTCGCTTTAACATCTTCATCAAATCCTCCTGAAATCACAAATGAGCGGGGCGGTTGGAGGGGCCTCTGGAGGAGGGGAGGGGGCTACATTGGGACCTGCAGGCCTAGGTACTGGGGCAGTGGGCGGGCGGCAATGGAGAGCCACTGGCCAGGCCCAGCCCCGCGTGTGCCGGCCCCAAGGGGACCTGGGGGCAAATGGGCCTGCTGCTTCTCTTTAAACACGTGAAATACGTTCCTTATTTTAAAAATCAGAAAACAGAAGTAAGACTGTGTTGCCAGCAGCAACACCCGGACAGCAAGTGGCTCTTCCTGCTGGGCGCAGCCCGACCCACACAGGTGTCCAGGGCTCACGCAGAGTTTGCCACTGTGTTTTACACAATCGATGGAATATTCTAGAGCACCCGAAACAAACCCATGAGGCCTGCAGGCACCAGCGTGGACGAATCTCCGACTTGGTGTTCATGGAAATGCTTGCTGCAAGAGGCTGACGGCCAGAGGGCAGGAGGGAAGTGCCCCAGTCACGGGTGGCGGATGGGGCCGTGGGCAAGGGACACTGCAAATACCGTCAATATTAACACAGCTCTTTAGTGTGGGGTACAGGGGTGTCTGTTTTTATCGTTTCTGCCCCTTTCTAAGCAGTTGAGAGTCAGCAACTGAGAAGTCAATCTGATCTCATTCTGCGTCCTCTCACCGGCCGCGTCCCCGTCCCTGGGCCGCCGCGCCTGCGGGTCCCGCTCTCCGCGCGTCTCGGCCATTTTTCTTTCTGCATCAGCACCACGCAGTCGCTAATTTCCCGTGTGGCCTGCGAGTTTCCACACACACAGCTCCTCTGGCCAAGCCCCCTGCCGACCCCAAGGGGTTCCCCGGTGCCTGCCCCTGCCCATGGGTCCCGCTGCTCCCTCAGGAGACCTGGAAGTGTGAGTGCTGGGTCCAGGGTGCGGGGCCTTCCAGGGCCGGGCGCCTGAGCCCCACACCTGCTCGGCCAGGTGGGCAGGACGTGTGTGCAGCAAAGGTGGAGCCGTTCCCCACCTCCGACCTGCGTGCATTTCTGCGGATTCACTGTGTCTGAGGGGTGCCTCCCGCGTCACTCTCCAGCCTGCTTTGGGCTTAGGCCTGGAGACCCAGACACAGGCCCAGCCTGGGTGGACTTCAGGGCAGGTGGGTGGCTGAGCTGGGGCGGTGAGACCATCCTCCGACTGTGAGGACCACCACAGTCCAGCAGGGTGGTTGGAGCACTGGGTGCTTGGCCTCCTGCCCTCCGGGTCTTTCGGGGAGGGGCCGGTGGGGCTTGGGGTGGCCAGACCAGACATACCGCGTAGAAGCAACTGCAGGCAGGCGGCCAGGGACGGGACTCCTGCGGGCAGCAGCTCGCACAGCACAGAGTAGTGGTCGTACCTGGGTCCATGAGAGGGGCGCTTAGCTCCGCAGCCCGCCCCCAGCAGCCTGACGCAGGCGCCCTGACTTCGGACGTCCCTGCTGTTGTTCCAGGGCCTTAGGCTACATCAGCGCTGGGGGCAGCCCGACCCCCTCAACCCATGGGGCCCAGGGTTTCCAAGACAGGTTCTGTGCGGCAGGGCTCTCATGTCAACTCCGTTCTAGAAACCGGACAAGTGAAGAGCGTGGGGATTCCTTGCTGCAATGCTCTCCGGAGCCATGGGAATTCTGGGTGGACCTTGGGTGGGTGGCCGGTCGTTGTCCCTCCCCCCAGCACCTCTGGCCTCTGAGAAAAGGGCTCCTGCTTCTGGGGGCTGCCCTTGACGCCCCCCTCCTAGGGCCTCCGGGCCCCTCCTGCCCCACCCTCTCCCTCGGCTGCCTCCTGTCTGGCTGGTGGGGGTGGCAGCTTTTCCCCAAGGCCCCATGAGGAGGGCGAGAGATCAGGCGTGGCAGGCAGCAGGTCAGGGGCAGCATCTGTCCCAAGCGAGGGCTGGGGGGCCTTGGCCTGGCCTGGGCTTCCCACTGCTGGGTAGGGTGCCTCCACCTGCCCGTGCCTCAGTTTCTTCAGCTGTGAGGTGGGTGACAGACGCTGCCCCAGGTGTGAGCACAGGCGAAGGCTGGGCAATGCCTGACGCCACAGCCCCAGGCTCGCCTGAAGGATGCGCCGCTGCTCTGGGGGAGGAGGAGCCTCGCCCCGCTCTATGGACGATCCTGGTTTATGCAGACAGAGCTGTATCCCAACAGGACAGTGGGAACTATCTAGAAGCTTCTGCAGAGCCGCTGCCAGCTCCGGACATGCATGGTGGCTGTGAGCTGCCCCTCTAGCAGGCTGGCCCACCAGGCTCTGCGGTCCCCACCATGAAATTCTTGACTCCATCTCAATCTGAGCTTTGTGGGTGAGGGCACGGGGCCCCTGGTGGGTCTGGCCTCCAGCCGTTCGCCTAGCCCACATCACCTGCGCCACCTGCCCCCCAACCCTCTAACTTGAGACGAGACCCAAGGTCAGGACTTGGCCGGCGACCAGGGGTTTATCTTAGCTCTGCTTTTCACACAGTGTCGTCAGGGGAGCAGGGGCCTGGGAGCGCCAGGGTGATGCCACGGAGGCCCAGCTCCTTCATGGGACTAACAAGGCCCATTCTTGCCAGGCAGGACCCACAGTCACAGGATTTTTACAGCTGAGGAAGTGCTTAGATACCTGCAGGGGCCACTCCTACAACAGCCGACAGTCCTGGCATCCCCACACCCACGACAGCATGTGCCTTCTAGGTCACCAGAGTTAGGCTTCCATAGGCTACACACTGAAATGTCCAGGACAGTTTTCTTTAAATCATAGAGTAATACATTTTTTTTTTTTGAGACAGAGTTTTGCTCTGTCGCCCAGGCTGGAGTGCAGCGGTGTGATCTTGGCTCACTGCAACCTCCGCCTCCTGGGTTCAAGTGATTCTCCTTGCCTCAGCCTCCCGAGTAGCTAGGATCATAGGCGCGTGCCACCACGCCAGGCTAATTTTTGTGTCTTTAGTAGAGATGGGGTTTCACCACGTTGGCCAGGCTGGTCACGAACTCTGGACCTCAGGTGATCCACCCGTCTCAGCCTCCCAGAGTGCTGGGATAACAGGCATGAGCCACCGCACTCAGCCCCTAGAGTAATAAATTCTGTCACACTATTGGCCCACCCACAGGTAGCACAGCTTAGTGTTTACGTAGACAAGACCCTGATATGAGAAAAACGGAAAACAGAGCTGGGCACGCCTATGCTGGCCTTCCGAGGGCTCCACCTCTGTCACTGGGCACCTTTCAGTGACCCTCCCTCACCACACTTGGCCTTGAATTCTTTCCTGTGTGAGACCCAAGAACCTTCTCGTGGGGTCCGAATTGAGACGGCATTTCTAGCAACAGAGTGAAATCCTGAAAGAACCGAAACCCCTCCTCGTGCCACAAGCAAGACACACACACACACACACACACAGCCTCAGGTGCGGCGCACACGGGTAGCATGGGGGCTGGGGGCCACGTGTTCGTGACCCTGAACACGGGAGCAGCGTCCCTCAGCGGCCGCTCTGGCGTGCAGGGCCCAACCCCACGTGGCTGTTTCTGCAGCTCCTCTTGGAGGCCCGGGCTGCTTCCCCTTTGACCAACCTGGGAAGGCCCTTGGCGGACGCTGCACAGGCCGACGTGGTGGCCACCAGAGCTGCCCTGGACCCTCTGAGGACAGACTGGCCAGGACTTACCTCTGCCAGCCGGTCAGGATGATGCCCTGCAGTGAGTCCGTGGGCCCGCTGCCCGCCACCTGCAGCCACTGCACGTGGTTCCTGAGGTGGTGCTCAACAGGGGGCACGGCCTGGCTGGGCCCCGTGGCACCCTTGAAGGCACTGGCTGCCCACAGCTGCGGAAAGCCGCACCGCCGGTACTTCTGCATGAGGAGGACTGGGTGAGAAAGCAAACAGGTGAGTGGCTCCAGGGGAGGCGGCCAACACGGCCCTGGACACGCCTCCCGGGGCTGTACCCAGAGCCAACATGGGAGCCGCCTGAGACAGCCAGGCCCGGGTCTCAGTGTAGGAGACTCCAGAGTGTATGCGGCCGGCCCGGGTCCCAGTCGGGGAGACTCCAGAGTGTACGTGGCCCCTGGTTCACCTGCTCACTAGGAAAACACTGGTGGAACAGGGAGGGAGGTGAGGCACCGGTGCACGGTGGCCGTCCCGAGGCACCATGGGCTGGGGTCTGCTGGGGCTGTGCCCTGGCCTCTACCCGTGCAGGCTCCAGGCTGGGCAGTTCCGGCTGCAGGGTCACAGGGCCAGGGATGGCCTTCCCAGGCACATGGCCAGGACAACACACCCCCCACAACTTGGCACTGACCCTTGCCGTGCACATCCAGGTCGGCCGTGTAGTCCCAGAGCACCGGCTCCACCAGCTGCGGCACCCCGGACGCTGCAGACAGAGCGGACGTGAGGTTGGTGAGACACCTGGACCACACTCTCAGCCCCTCGGACCCACCTGTTCTCGTTTTGCTTGAAAGTGTGAGCACAGATACCTTTTTAAGACAGACTTGGCACCGTGCTGGGTTTTGACAATGAATGCCACAACCACACACAGTGCCTTTCCAAGCCAGCGCCCGCTGGAGCGACCATGCTCCCACTGCTGCTCTACCAGGCCATGAGCCACAGGCACAGCTGGAGCACGCGGCTGAATGGAGGTCACTCTAAGTCATCTATGTGGCCATGCATGGGTGGAAGCTGCCAGGCCGGCACGGCCCTAGGACACCCTGGCTCCCAGCTCTGCTATGGAGCTCACTGAGCCTCGGGGCTCTGTGTGGAACCAGGCCAGGTGTCTGAGTACCACCTCTTGGCCCAGAAAGGCGCTCAGCAGCTCGTCCCAAAGCCTCAGGCAGAGCGAGCAGGGCCCAGGGGCTGGAGGAGCAGCCAGCGGGAACCTCGGCCCCCAGTCCCAGCAGGGATGGCCTTGGAGGAGGCTGCTGCGAGTGCTGGACACTCCCAAGCCCTCTGGGCCACCAGGCAGGCCTGTGCTCTCCTGCCCAAACCTCCACAGCTTCTAGGGAAACGACTCAGGCCTGGCGTCAAGGGGATGCAGGAGGTGGTTGTGGCGGGTCTGTGCGGGGCTGGGGCTCACCCTGGGGCCCACTTCCTACAGCACCTTCTTTCTTTGAAGCCGCAGGTCTTGGGCAGTTCAGTGGCCCACCCCCTCCCCCAGCCCTGTTGGCCGACCTGCGAGCTGGTCCTCAGGCAGGTCTCGGAGCATGTCGTCCCACACCAGGGGTGTCACGCTGGGGCGCCGGGCCTTCACGCCGCTGGCCACCGCCCGCATGTGTGACAGGCACAACTTCCCCGTGCTGTTCTGCTCTTGCTGTAGCCACCGGCGCGAGGCCTCCCCCTCTCCGAGGTAATAGACCTGCAAGGAAGGAGCAGGACGGGGTTGCCTTGGCAGCCGTGCACACCGGTGGGAGGGTCCGGGGTTCACGCCGTGCCCTGACGGAGAGGGGCCGCTGCCTGTGGGGAGGAGGCCAGGGAGGGGCTCGGAGCCTTTGCTTACCACCCCCAGCGTGTCCCTGTCTTCCTCACTGAGCCCTGAACTTCTACTCAAGGTTTCCTGTGAATGTTCACAGCAGCTCTTCTCACAGCCAACAAAGCAGAGACCACAGGGGTCCATCCCCCATGATGGACCAGCATAGGGCAGCATCCCCCACCATGAACACGGCTCGGCTTCAGCAGACAGCCAAGCTCTGGCAGCTGACAGCCCGGAGGAGCACAGGTCATACACTGTGTGACTCGGTACCCGTGGAATGCCCAGACGGGCAAATCCACCGAGATAGGAAGCAGACCGTGGTCGCCGGGGCCTGGGGGCAGGTGCGGGGCTTGCCCTGGGGTGATTGCCCACACCATGAATGTCTGGAAGAGGTGCTGACGTTTATACTTATTTATTTATTTTGGAGACAGGGTCTTGCTCTGTTGCCCAGGCTGGAGTGCAGTGGCACAATCTCAATCTCGGCTCACTGCAACCTCCACCTCCTGGGTTCAAGTGATTCTCCTGCCTCAGTCTCCTGAGTAGCTGGGATTACAGGCGCCCACCACCACACCTGGCTAATTTTGTATTTTTAGTAGAGACGGGGTTTCACCATGTTGGCCAGGCTGATCTTGAACTCCTGATCTCAGGTGGTCCACCTGCCTCAGCCTCCCAAAGTGCTGGGATCACAAGTGTGAGCCACCGTGCCTGGCCTATTTATTTATTTACTTATTTATTTAGAGCCGGAGTCTCACTCTGTTGCCCAGGCTGGTATGCAGTGGCGTGATCTCAGCTCACTGCAACCTTCACCTCCTGGGTTCAAGCGATTCTCGTGCCTCAGCCTCCTGAGTAGCTGGGATTACAGGCGCCCGCCATCACGCCCGGCTGATTTTTGTATATTTAGTAGAGACGGGGTTTCACCACATTGGCCAAACTGGTCTCAAACACCTGACCTCAGGTGATCCACCCACTTTGGTCTCCCAAAGTGCTGGGATTACAGGCGTGAGCCACCACACCCAGCCTATATTTTAAAATGGTTAGAATGGTAAAGCTTAAGTGTATTTTACATACTCAGGTTTCCTTCAAAAAAAGGAAACTTCTGGGGCTAAAATGTTCAGCTCGGGTTCCCTGTGAGCCACAGCCCTGCAGAACCTCCCAGCCCCGTGGGCACCAACCCCGCCCCTTTCAGTTCCACATCCTGCCCAGGCCCTGACTGAGTTGGAGTCCAGTGAGTGGCAGGAGGGGCAAGGGTGGGGGCTCACTGGGTTGGAGGGGGCACATCTCTGGCACCCCCTGGGGACCACCTTTTCCATTGGGTGCTTCAGGGTCCAAATGCAGAACTTCCTCTCAGCAACAAAAGGGTGTCCCTCGAGTTACACCCTGACTTATGCTCACTGCTGGTCCTGGGGCGTGAACCTGCCCATCACCCACAGGCTTCCGCCAGCCCAGCCGCCCGGGGTGGTCTCGTCTGACACGAGGGTGCCTCCCTCGGGCTCTGCAGGCTGTCCCGTGCCAGGCCGCCCATCCACCCGGAGAAGATGTTGGACGCGTCTGACACGAGGGTGCCTCCCTCGGGCTCCGCAGGCTGTCCCGTGCCAGGCCGCCCATCCACTCGGAGAAGATGTTGGATGGGGTGCCCTGAGGGGAACAACAAGCCTGTCTCTAGGCCTCAGTGCCTGGAAGATTTTCCTATTTAAAAGGACAAGCCATGATAGGGGAGAGTGTCCTGCACAGAGCTGGGGTGACAGTACCCACCTCATCACACCCGATGTGCAGCCGCTGGGCGCCTGGGTGTAGCTCCAGGACCTGGTCAATCATGGCGCCCACCAGCGCCAGGGACTCTGCCTCGTGGGGGTTCAGGGTGCAGGGGAAGGAGCCCACCTCCCGCAGGTGGGCGAAGGCCGTGTGCTTCAGCACAAACTGCGGAGAGACAGAGAAGTTCGCGTTGGGGGCGGAGGAGCTGGACTGATCTCCTTCTGCCCACCTGGGGCTTCTGTTTCAAATCTACAGATAATACAAAAAAATTAGGCCAGGCAGAGAGTCTCAGTCCTGTAATCCCAGCACCTTGTGGGGGCTGAGGTGGGTAGAATGTTTGAACTCAGGAATTTGAGACCAGCCTGGACAACTGGTGAAACCCCATGGAATCTCGCTTTGTTGCCCAGGCTGGAGTGCAGTGGCACAGTCTCGGCTCACTGCAACCTCTGCCTCCCAGGTTCAAGTGATCCTCCCGCCTCAGCCTTCCCAGTAGCTGGGGATTACAGGCATGTGCCACCACGCCTGGCTAATTTTTGTATTTTTAGTAGAGATGGCGTTTCACTATGTTGGCCAGGCTGGTCTTGAACTCCTGACCACAAGTGATTCGCCTTCCTTGGCCTCCCAAAGTGCTGGGATTACAGGCGTGAACCACCACGCCCAGACTAAAAATATATATATAAAAAAAAAAAAAAAATATATATATATATATATATATATATATATATATATATTTTTTTTTTTTTTTCTTTTTTTTTTTGAGATGGAGTCTTGCTCTGCCGCCCAGTCTGGAGTGCAGTGGCATGATCTCGGCTCACTACAAGCTCTGCCTCCCAGGTTCACACCATTCTCCTGCCTCAGCCTCCCGAGTAGCTGGGACTACAGGCGCCCGCCACCACGCCCGGCTAATTTTTGTATTTTGTTTTAGTAGAGACGGGGTTTCACCGTGTTAGCCAGGATGGTCTCGATCTCCTGACCTTGTGATCTGCCCGCCTTGGCCTCCCAAAGTGCTGGGATTACAGGCGTGAGCCACTGCACCCAGCCATAAATTTTTTAAAAACCAAATCGGTTTAAGAAAAAAAAGTGGCCAGGTGTGGTGGCACCTGCCTGTGGTCCAGCTACTTGGGAGGCTGAAGCGGGAAGATCACTGGAGCCTAGGAAGTTGAGGCTGTAGTGAGCCATGATCACACCACTGCACTCCAGCCTGGGCGACAGAGTGAGACCCTGTCTCTGAAAAGAAAAAAACAGAAAAATGTTTATCTATGAAAGACCACTCTAACTTTGCCTAAGAACAGAGACTCTGTGGCCTCGGCCTAGGGCTACTCACTGCCCCCTTCCCCCTCACTGTGGAAACCACAGCTTTGCTGCCAAAGGGGCAGACTTAACTTGAGGCTGGGTTAAAAACCCACCCCTTGTGGGGGCGCTGTCAGTAGAAGCAGCAACTGGAGAAGAGGCCCTGTCTTCCGCTTGCCAGAGGGTGCAGTCCCTGCTGGGGAGAGCCAAGACTGGCTGCAGATTTAATGGGTGACCCTGGAAACAGAAAGCCAGATGGTGCTGCACACTCTCCTCAGGCCTGGCTGACGGGGGCCACACACACGTGCAGGGACCTGTGAGGGCCAGGTGGGAACTGCGCGAACCTAGGGATGCACCCCCCACCGCCCACACACAGCCCCGTGGCAAGGGGAGGAGGTCTGTGGGCTCAAGGTGTGGGAGCACAACCTCTGCCCAAACCCTTGGCTGACCACCAACTATGAAGACAGAGGGATGACCCTAGGAAGCCAGGCTAAAATGTAAAAATAAGAACCAAAAAATCTCAGCACAGACATCAGTGAGTGCACACAGCCAGGGGCAGGTCCTGCAGGTTAAATGCAGGCCATTTGCTAGAAAACAACAAAAAGACCACCACCAGCCACTGGGGAAAAGAGTAAACATTCAGCTTTGCTATAATGTATTAACTGAAATGTTCAGTTCTCAACCAAAAATTTTGAGATGTGCAAATGAACTGGAAAGTAGGATCCAGTTCACAGACTCTGACTCTCAGGGCCCACATGCAGAATTTATCAAATATTTCAAGAAAACTACTATGAATATATTGTAAGAATGAAAGGAGGCCGGGCATGGTGGCTCATGCCTGTAGTCCCAGCACTTTGGGAGGCCGAAGCGGGCAGATCACTTCAGGTCAGGAGTTCGACGAGATCAGTTTGGCCAACATGGCAAAACCCCGTCTCTACTAAGAAGACAAAAATTAGCTGGGTGTGGTGGCGGGCGCTGTAATCCCAGCTACTCGGGAGGCTGAAGCTACTTGGAATGTGGAGTTTGTAGTGAGCTGAGATCACGCCGCTGCACTCCAGCCTGGGTGACAGAGTGAAACTCTGTCTCAAAAAAAAAAAAAAAATTAGCACTTAGGGAGGCAGAGGCGGGAAGATCACCTGAGCCCAGAAGTTTGAGACCAGCCCAGCAACATAGTGAGACCCCACTCTTCACAAAAAGGAAAATGAACAAAAAAAATTAACTCAAAATGGGGCCAGGTGCAATGGCTCATGCCTATAATCCCAGCGCTCCGAGAGGCTGAGGTGGGAGAACTGTTTGAGGCCAGGGGTTCGAGACCAGTCTGGGCAACATAGTGGGACCTGGTATCTGCAAATAATAAAAAAAACTGGCCGGGTATGGTGGCACGCACCTGTGGTCCCTGCTACTCAGGAGGCTGAGGTGCTTGAGCCCAGAAGCTTGAGCCCAGAAGCTCAGGGCTGCAGTGAGCTGTGATTGTACCACGCGCTCCAGCCTGGGTGACAGAGTGAGTCTGTGACTCAAGACAAATAACTTGGATGTTCAAGGGTTCTGGAGAAAGAATAAAAATACCAAACTAAAAATGGATCATAGATCTAAATGAAAAATGCACAGAAGTTAAACTTTAGAAGAAAATACAAGAAAAATCTTTGTGATCTGGTGATCACAAAGAGTTTTTAGAAATGACACCAGAAGCATGTAGCTCTACACTGGGGGAGAATACCTGCAAATTACATACCATCAGAGGACTTGCATCTAGAACATATAAAGAACTTTAAAAACTCAAGTTGAAAAAAAAAATGGGCAAAACACCTGAGCAGTTATTTCTAGTATACCAAGAGGGTATACTGGGCTGGGCACCGTGGCTCACGCCTGTAATCCCAGTACTTTGAGAGGCCGACGCAGGCGGATCGCCTGAGGCCAGGAGTTTGAGACTAGCTTGGCCAACATCTTGAAACCTCATCTCTAATAAAAAGATAAAAAGTTAGCCGGGCATGGTGGGGTACACCTGTAATCTCAGGTGCTCAGGAGGCTGAGGCAGGAGAATCACTTGAACTCGGAAGCAGAGGTTGTAGTGAGCCAAGACTGCACCACTACACTCCAGCCTGGGAAACAGAGTGAGACCCTGTCTCAAAAACAAACACACAAAAAGGGTATACTAATAGTAAATGTACACATGGAGGGTCTTCCTCAGTAAGAAACCAACCCTTCGACACGCTGATTTTGGATGTCTGGTCTCCAGGGCTGAGAGAACATTTCTGTTGTCTTAAGCCACCTGGTTTGTGGCGATCACTTCTGCCCTGACAGCAGTGTCCTTTGAGGAGATGGCGAGTGTGAGTGGTCAGGGCTGTGCTGTGACTTGCTGTGGTGGGGAGAGGGGCACGGAGGGGCAGAGTGGCCCCGGGAGACCCATTAGGAAAGTTTCATGGTGAGTCCATAGTGGTTTAGACAGGGGTGGTGCCTGCATGACAGAGGAAGAGGAGGAGGAGCAGCAGCAGGACCAACATGGGTCAGGGCGTGGCGGGTGGTGGTGCTGACTGTGGCTGGTCTGCTTCTGGTTTGCACACCAGAGGCTGGAGGAGGGCCCTCAATGGAAGCGACCAGCAGGCAGCTGGGGATGAGGGTCTGTAACCCAGGAGGTCTGGAGTTGCTGAGGTGCAGACAGAAGAGGAAGAGGAAGACGAAGAGGAGGACAAAGAGAAAGCAGGAGCAGAAATGGCACCATCTAGAGAGAGAGTGGGAGGTGGGGACAGGGACCGAGAGGAGCCCTGGGGACCGCCAGCTACAGAGAGACAAATGCAAATGGATATCGAGGAGGTGCAGTCAGAGGCAGAGGGAAGCCAGAAAGTGTGGGGCTCAGGAGAGCGGCTGGGGATGCCAGAAGCTACCGAGGGGCCCAGCAGGAAAGGACTAAAACCGTCCCTGGACTTAGTGACCTGGAGGACCCTGGCGGCCTTGGCAGAGACATTCTGTGGATACGTGGCAGGAGGCTAAGAGCGCAGGCCGGGTCCCAGAGCAGAGTACGATGGAGAGAATCAACTAGAAAGGCTGGAGGACCGAGCTGTGGGAAGGAACTCCGGTGGCACGCCCAGAACACCGACATGTGTAAGTGAAAACAACCTTCTTACCCGCGGTGTGTGGAAATAGAAGCCAGAATGGTGTATCTGTTAGAGAAATAAATGGAACCTAAGAGCCATTAAATCGGTGTGGTGGTTAATGCCGCATCACTTCCTGTTTGATGCAGACAGGAAAAAGAATATGTGTATATATATATTTTTTGAGACGGAGTCTTGCTCTGTCACCCAGGCTGGAGTGCAGTGGTGCGATCTTGGCTCATGGCAACCTCTGCCTCCTGCGTTCAAGTGATTCTCCTGCCCCAGCCTCCCGAGCAGCTGGGACTACAGGTGCCCGCCACCATGCCTGGCTAATTTTTGTATTTTTAGTAGAGACGGGGTTTCGCCATGTTGGTCAGGCTGGTCTCGAACTCCTGACCTCAGGTGATCCACCAGCCTCGGCCTCCCAAAGTGCTGGGATTACTACTGGTGTGAGCCACCGCACCTGGCCTGAAAAGCACCTTTTCTTTCCCTAATACTGTGTTTTACCTCACATAATAATATTCTGATGAATACAAGTGAAAAAGGAAACTGCCTCCAGGACCCCTTTTCTGGCTCTTTCCTTCCATTCCTCAGGCAGACAGGCAGCCCCAACCTGCAGCTCTGGCCGAGTCAGGCAGGGACTTCCTAGACCAAAGGCCTTTCCATGTTGTGCTGAGCTGCGCTGCCTGCACCCCAACCATGGGCCCGCTGCACCCACCCCTGGGCACAAGCCTGGCCCAGCCTGCAGCCCCTGGACCCCACACCTGGCACCAGGTAACTTCCATTTCTGCCACTCACCTCCATGTGTCCAAATGTCTGCACCAAGGGAATCACCTCCAGCTCATTGAGTCCAGCCAGATGCAAGATCTCTTTGATTTCAGAGGGGCTGGAGAGACAAAATTCATAGAGAGAGGGTCATGTGAGCAGCACGTGACTTCCACACCCACCCCCCCAGCCCTTCCTCATCAGGCCCTGGGGGGCTCTCCGGGAAACAGTAAGGCCCTAAACTCCACAAAGCTTGACAGGTATCCTGATTTCTGGAAAGGTACCTGCTCCAAAATTTGGGAAGATGATGTTCTAGCACGTCCTCAAGTAATGGTTCGCTTTTCAACCCACGACAAGAGAATGAAGTCATCACATTTTACAAGAAACTACTCAAGGCCAGGCACAGTGGCTCACGCCTGTAATCTCAGCACTTTGGGAGTCCAAGGCCAGCAGACCACTTGAGGTCAGGAGTTCGAGACCAGCCTGGCCAACATGATGAAACCCCGTATCTACTAAAAATACAAAAATTAGCCAGGCCTGGTGGTATGTACCTGTAATCCCAGCTACTCGGGAGGCTGAGGCAGGAGAATCACTTGAACCCGGGAGGCAGAGTTCGCGGTGAGCCAAGATCGCACCACTGCACTCCAGCCTGGGAGACAGAACAAGACTCTGTCTCAAAAAAAAATAAAAATGCTACAGAAGGTGCCACACTCCATCCAGAGCCGGGTCAGCAGCTGCCCGAGGGCAGGTCCACCACAGGGTCCTCAACCTGAAACAATCCTGGGGCGCCCGTCCTCTGCAGAAGGGCCACATCCTGGGAAGGGCTGACTGCCCCGGGTCGACCTCTTCGTTTTTCACAAGCTTTACATGAGCTGTCATTTATGAATTTATCTAAAAAAAAGCTATTTCTAGTTTTTGTATGTGTTTGAACCATCTTAGGCTAATCCGTTCTATAGATTTATGAGTTACATAAAGTCTTTAAACATTCCTGTTTCAAGCTTCGAAGGAACCCTGGTACTTTACTTTTTCACATCAAAAGACAAAATGTCTTCACTGTAGGAAGAAAACTAGAAGAGTATGAAGAAAATGCAAACCCCTGATCATGTCATCGCACTTGATCATCTCATCGCACCTGATCATCTCATCGCACCTGATTATCTCATTGCAGGCCAACACCCTGGCTCACCGTTCATCACTTCTGGTCTAACCACATGTGGGCTGCATGGGGTGCAGGCATTTTGGAGTTTTGACACATGGAACCGAAGTCCTTCCAGAACAGATGTCATATTATGTTCATCAGCAGGTAGTTTTCCTCTTTCTCATTCTCATCAACACAGTCTTTACAATTTTTCATTTATTTTATTTATTATTATTTTGAGACAGAGTCTTGCTCTGTCACCCAGGCTGGAGTGCAGTGGCGCGATCTCGGCTCACTGCAACTTCTGCCTCCTGAGTTCATGCAATTCTCCTTCCTCAGCCTCCTGAGTAGCTGGGATTACAGGTGCGCACCACCACACCCAGCTAATTTTTTTTTTTTTTTTTTGAGACGGAGTCTAGCTCTGTCGCCCAGGCTGGAGCGCAGTGGCGCAATCTCAGCTCACTGCAAGCTCTGCCTCCTGGGTTCCCGCCATTCTCCTGCCTCAGCCTCCCGAGTAGCTGGGACTACAGGCGCCCACCACTATGCCTGGCTAATTTTTTATATTTTTAGTAGAGACGGGGTTTCACCTGTGTTAGCCAGGATGGTCTCGATCTCCTGATCTTGTGATCCGCCTGCCTCGGCCTCCCAAAGTGCTGGGATTACAGGCGTTAAGCCACCGCGCCTGGCCACGCCCAGCTAATTTTTGTATTTTTTTTGGTAGAGACAGGATTTTGCCATGTTGGTCAGGCTGGTCTCAAACTCCTGACTTCATGATCCGCCTGCCTCAGCCTCCCAAAGTGCTGGGATTACAGGCGTGAGCCACAGCGCCCAGCCCAAGTCTTATAATTTTTAAAAAAGGCTTACCAGTTTGGTAGCCAGGATGGTGTTGCATTATTGATTTAGTTTCTTTGATTTGAGTACTATGAGGGTTTAACATTTTCTTTCTTTCTTTCCTTTTCTTTTGAGACAGGCTCTGGCTCTGTTGCCCAGGTTGGAGTGCAGTGGCGCCATCTCAGCTCACTGCAGCCTCTGGGTCCTGGGTGTTAATCCAAACTGCACCATTTTGTAAGCCCCCTGCTGTTTTCCAGACCCAGGTTGAAGTGAAACATTCCACGGGGTTTGGGCTGTGAGGAACATCCTGCCCAACATCCTGACCACACGGCCCAGGAACATCCCGACCACCCGACCACACGGCCCAGGAACATCCCGAACATACCTTGCTGGGCAAAGGCCCAGCTGAAGGAACATCCTGATCATATTCTGCTGGGAACAAGGACCCAACTGCCTCATCATGGGAACATCTCTCAACATCTTCCCAGGCAGAAGCCCTACTGCCCAAACCCCTCCCGTCCAGGCCTGTAAGTACCCCAGCCTGTAAGCGGCGGTGGGCTCTGGCATTAAGCTGGTCCCCCCTCTGTAGGTTTCTGCACTATACCTCTGTTGCTGTAGAGACGCCCTCTCTCTCTCTGTCTTTCTTTAACCCTCGCCTTCCCTTTAAAAAAACCTAACACCAGGCTCAAGCCATCCTCCTATCTCAGCCTCCTGAGTAGCTTGGACTACAGCCCCATGCCACTATCCATGGCTATTTTTTGCATTTTATGTAGAGATGGGGTTTCACCATGTTGCCCAGGCTGGTCTCGAACTCCTGAGCTCAAGTGATCCACCCACCTCGGCCTCCCAAAGTGCTGGGATTATAGGCGTGAGCCACTGCACCCGGCCTAATTTTTGTATTTCACATAGAGATGGGGTTTTACCATGTTACCCAGGCTGGTCTCAAACTCCTGAGCTCCAGTGATCTGCCCACCTTGGCCTCCCAAATTGCTGGGATTACAGGCGTGAGCCACTGCTCCTGGCCTTCACATTTTCTTATATGCTTATTGGCCTTTTTTGTTTCTTCCTTTGGGATTGGCCAGTTAATGTCCATTGTGCATTTATCTTTGGGGCCGTTATTGATTTTCACAGAGACCTGTGATTTTAGCATTAAGCAGGGGCCTCCCATCTCCACCACACCTGATTTTATTGATTTTGATTCTCTCCCCTTTAATTCTTCTCTTCTCTAACTCAAGGCTCAACTGTGGCCTGAAGAGCAGCCCCTCCCTGCGCGGAGGCCTCCTCCAGCATCCTCCAGCCTTCTCTAGCTCAGCCTTCTACAGCCTCCTCCAGCCTTCTCCAGCCTCCTCTGACCTTCCCTGGCCTCCTCCAGCCTTCTCTAGCCCAGCCTTCTCTGGCCTTCTCTAACCTTATCTAGCCTTCTCTAACCTCTAGCCCAGCCTTCTCCAGCCTTCTCCAGCCTTCTCTAGCCTCCTCCGGCCTTCTCTAGCCCAGCCTCCTCCAGCCTCCTCCAGCCTTCTCCGGCCTCCTCCAGCCTCCTCCAGCCTTCTCTAGCCTCCTCCAGCCTTCTCCAGCCTTCTCTGGCCTCCTCCAGCCTCCTCCGGCCTTCTCTAGCCCAGCCTCCTCCAGCCTTCTCCAGCCTTCTCCAGCCTTCTCTGGCCTCCTCCAGCCTCCTCCAGCCTTCTCTAGCCTCCTCCAGCCTTCTCCGGCCTTCTCTAGCCCAGCCTTCTCTGGCCTTCTCTAACCTTCTGTAGTCCAGCCTTCTCCAGCCTTCTCCAGCCTTCTCTAGCCTTCTCCAGCTTTCTCTAGCCTTCTCTAGCCCAGCCTTCTCTGGCCTTCCTTCTCTGGCCTTCTCTAACCTTCTCTAACCTTCTCTAACCTTCTGTAGTCCAGCCTTCTCCCATCAACAGAAGAAACGCCTGCAGGACAGAGACAGGAACTGCAGCTCTTCCCTGTAGGGGGCGCTGCTGATGCTTACTTTCCCTTTAAATGTTTCAAAATTCTCTCCAGTGAATGTTTGAAATGAAACTTTGTTTTCATACAATTAAAGAGATGAATTTAAAAAGACAAAAAAGGAATGTACCCACCACTGTTCAGTTCCTGACTGTGCCACCCGCACCTCCAGGTTGCTGCTCCTCCTGCCCTGCGGAACCCCCCCTTCCCCGCTTTCACGCCGCGCCCCTGTACCTGCCACGGGCAGTGTTACCTGTAGGCGTACTTGGCCCTCAGCAGCCTCAGAGGGCCCTCGTAGGGAAACATGTCTTCATACTCAATGAGGAGGCCGTTTGCACCTAGCGCACGGAACAGAGGAAAAATCTGGGGGGTAAACAGGGAGGGGTTAGGAAGAAGTGGCTGCTGGAGCACGATGTGGCAAGTCCACAGCAGGGAGACGCCTTCCCTTTCAGCCTGTGGAGACTGTGGGAGTTGCTACTTCTATTTCTCCTGGGAACCTTAAATCCGGAATGTGTACTTTACGTTATGCCAAATGAAACTCCCCGTTCCAGTGACTATTTTGCACAGAAGGGGAGATATGCTATGAAACAGGGCTGCTACTCAACGCGCTGGTGGCTCAGCTTGGGAGGGACGGGTCCGGCCAGCAGGGAGCCACCAAGAAGCAGCTCTTCATGCACGGCGGCCCAGCAAGGCAGCCAGGCTGAGGGGCACCAGCAAGGCATGGGGGACAGGGCAGCCAGGCTGAAGGAGAATGGCAAGGCATGGGGGACGGGGCAGGAGGAGCCGGGGCAGGGGGAGCAGGGCTCTGAAGGGTTGGGGTCAGCACCTGGGGGAGGTGAGAGAGGGGTGCAGAACTCATTCGTTCCTGGTCTGTACTCATGGGGTCCCTTCCCCCTTATTCTCCTCCCCACTTCCTTGTCTTTCTCTCTTTTTTTTTTTTTTTTGAGATGGAGTCTCGCTCTCTCGCCCAGGCTGGAGTGGAGTGGCGTGATCTTGGCTCGTTGCAACCTCTGCCTCCCGGGTTCAAGCGATTCTCCTGCCCCAGCCTCCCGAGTAGCTGGGATTACAGGCGCCCGCCCCGATGCCCAGCTAATTTTTGTATTTTTAGTAGAGACGGGGTTTCACCATGTTGGCCAGGCTGGTCTCGAACTCCTGACCTCAGGTAATCTGCCCCTCGGCCTTCCAAAATGCTGGGATTACAGGTGTGAGCCACTGTGCCCGGCCTCTCTCTTTTTTTTAACAGATGGGGTCTCACTCTGTTGCCCAGGCTGGAGCGTGCTGGCATGATCATGGCTCGCTGCAGCACCCAACTCCTGGGCTCAAGTGATCCTCCAGCCTCAGCCTTCCAAGGAGCTGGGACTACAGGCACATGCTAGGCCTCCTGGATGACACACATGCAGGAGAACTAAGGAGCCCCAGCTGACAGTTGGGATGAACTGCCGGACATGGAAGGCCACGCGGACCATCAGAGGTTTCTAGATGTTACGGGGCTGTGACCACCTGAGGGCACCTCGGTCAGAAAAGCAGAATCACGCAGCCAACCCACAGAAACACAAGGGGTGATGAATGGGGACCTCAAGTTTGGGGAGATCTGTCACGCAGCAACAGATGATGGAAACAGGGACTCCAGCTGTGTGTAAGTTGGATCTTCTTTGCCTATATTCAATTGTCAGAACGCCTTTCCTTTCTTTTTTTTTTTGAGATGGAGTTTTGCTCTTGTCCCCCAGGATGGAGTGCAGTGGCACGATCTCAGCTCACCACAACCTCCGCCTCCCGGGTTCAAGCAATTCTCCTGCCTCAGTCTCCCGAGTAGCTGAGATTACAGGCACCTGACACCACGCCTGGCTAATTTTTGTATTTTTAATAGAGACAGGGTTTCACCATGTTGGTCAGGCTGGTCTCGAACTCCTGACCTCAGGTGATCCACCCTCCTCAGCCTCCCAAAGTGCTGGGATTATAGGCATGAGCCACCGCGCCTGGCCCAAGTCAAAATGCCTCTTCATCAGCTGTATGTAAGTTCAGTCTTCTTTGCCATATTCAATTTGTCAGAACGCCTTTTCATCTCTGTTTGCTTTTTTCTTTTCTGTCATCTGTTTCCAAATACTGCACTTTCCATGGTGTCTACTCACTTGTACACTTCTTATAGTTTAGTCTTCATTAAAAACATTGTTTTTTCCTTATAATTCATTTCTGAGCTCCACAGGCAATTTTTTACAACCTCCTTTTGTCTGATTACCACATTTCTGGGCTTTTTTTTTTTTAGACTGAGTCTTGCTCTATCGCCCAGGCTGGAGTGCAGTGGCACGATCTTGGCTCACTGCAACCTCCACCACCCAGGTTCAGGTGATTCTCATGCCTCAGCCTCCCAAGTAGGTGGGATTACAGTTGTGAGCCGCTGAGCCTGGCCTGGGCTTTTCTATTTCTGATTTATGCTGTTCTTTCACAGCTTCCGTCATCTTCTGAGTATCTTTTATCTTGTTATGAAATATTATGGAACAGTGTTTCCTGCTGGGTGGGCCTGTGTGTCTGGAGCACCTTCACTGCTGCAATGCTATTCAGATCATCTTCTTTTTTCTTTTTTTTTTTTTTTGAGACAGAGTCTCACTCTTGTCACCCAGGCTGGAGCGCAGTGGCACAATCTCGGCTTACTGCAACCTCCACCTCCCAGGTTCAAGTGATTCTCCTGCCTCAGCCTCTCGAGTAGCAGGATTACAGGCGCCGCCACCACACGGGGCTAATTTTTGGTATTTTTAGTAGAGACACTGTGTTGGCCAGGATGGTCTTCATCTCCTGACCTTGTGATCCACCTTCCTCGGCCTCCCAAAGTGCTGGGATTACAGGCGTGAGCCACCGTGCCTGGCCTTCTTTTTTCTTACCTATCTTTGTATGATGTTAAACAACACTCTTTTTTGCTTCTTTTTTTCTTTTTTTGAGATGGTGTCTTGCTCTGTCACCTTGGCTGGAGTGCAGTGGCGCAATCTTGGCTCACTGCAACCTCTGCCTCCTGAGTTCAAGCAATTCTCCTGCTTCAGACTCCCAAGTAGCTGGGACTACAGGCATGTGTCACCATGCCTTGCTAATTTTTGTATTCTTAGTAGAGACGGGGTTTCTCCATGTTGCCCAGGCTGGTCACAAGCTCCTGACCTCAGGTGATCTGTCCGTCTTGGCCTCCCAAAGTGCCTGGATTACAGACGTGAGCCACCATGGCCAGCCTGTTGCTCATTTTTAAGAACAGGCTCTTGTGTTTGCAATGGTGACAGGCCAGCCTCAAGGCCCCCTCCTCTACTGCTGCCACGCGGTATTAGAAACTGCAGGCTCTGTGTAGCTGCTTCTGCAGTGTTTTTTGACCTCCACCTCTTCTGGACGCCTTTCCCCAGGACCTTTCCCTTCGCTGTTCCTGCCCAGTTCAATGTGGATGCTTTCCCTGTTTTGTCCTTAGTGGGGGGCGCTGTTCCTCTGGAAGGAAGTTTTGTTACGTATTTCTGAGAGTTTTGCAGCCTTGGGCCTCCCCTGCACCCTCCTGGATGTTTCATTACGTATTTCTGACAGCCTTGCAGCCTCGGCCTCCCCTGCACCCTCCTTTAAGTCTCTTTGCACTCAATCTCAGACGGGAGCCATTAAAACTCTGCCCCACTTCTCGCTATGGGAGACCTTTACTTACTTTTGAGGCTATTTTCTGGGTCCTCTGGTCATAGCACTGTTGGAGTTTCCCTCTTTCCTCTGTTACCTCCTGCTTGGCCACTAACCCCATACAGGTGTTATTCTGTCTGTGGTTTGGTCCCACCCACTTGTAGTTTGGGATCCATGGGGACACCCTGATACCTAATTTTGTTGAAGAGTGTCTTAGTTTTCTAGGGCTGCTGTAATAAATGACCATAAACTGGGTGGCTTGGCCGGGTGCGGTGGCTCACACCTGTAATCCTAGCACTTTGGGAGGCTGAGGCGGGTGGATCACGAGGTCAGCAGTTCAAGACCAGCCTGGCCAATGTGGTGAAACCCCGTCTCTACTAAAAATACAAAAATTAGCCAGGCATGGTGGCAGGCACCTGTAATCCCAGCTACTCCAGAGGCTGAGGCAGGAGAATTGCTTGAACCCGGGAGGTGGAGGTTGCAGTAAGCCGAGACTGCGCCATTGTACTCCAGCCTGGATGACAGAGCGAGACTCCGTCTCAAAAAACAAACAAACAACTGGGCGGCTTGACACAACAGAAATTTATTCTCTCACAGTTCTGGAGGCCCTAAGTCCAAAATCCAGGTGTCAGCAGACCCAGCTCTCCCTGAAGGCTGAAGAGGAGGACCCTTCCTTGCTTCTCTCTAGCTTCTGGTGATCGTCAGCTGTCCTCGGCATCCTGGGGTTCGTGGCACGTCATGACCATCTTGGCTGCTGGCACCGCGGGGCATCCTCCTGGGTCTTCACACTGCCTTCCCTCCGTGTGTCTCAGGCTCTAAATTTCCCTCTCCTCATAAGGATGCCAATCACTGGATTAGGGTTCACCATATTCTAGTACAACTTCATCTTATTTTGATTACATCTGCAAAGATCCTATTTCCAAATAAGGTCTCATTCACAGGTCCCAGGGGTTAAGACTTGAACATATCTTTTTGGAAAGATACACTTCAACCCAAAAGAAAGAAGCTGTGAGTTTCTTTTGTTCTCTGTCTTTTTTTTTTTTCCCTTTTGTCATCCTGGTTGTTCTGTTTTTGTGAGAGGCTATGGAGGAAATTCAAAATCAATGCTGCTGCCACCATCTTGCTCCACCGAGAACCTTGTGGTTGTGTTCTAGGTACCCGTTTCCACAGAACACTGCTCAAAACTTTAAAGAATGAAGCCAAGGCAAAAAGTAATGCTCTAGAGGTAAAAGGGAGTCCTTACCTCTGAGAGGTACGAGACCTTTGGTGGAGCTCCTTTAAGGTCTAAATGAACTAATCTCATCTGAAATGGAGTGGAACCTGACATTTCAATATTTCCTGTGAACTCCTATGGCGAAGTCTCCTTGGGGACTTCTTCCTAGTGGAGAAAATCAAGAGTTATCAACAGGGGCAGAAGCTTCTCCCTTTGCCTTTCTCCTTATACTTTCAGTTTCAGTTCTGATACTGGCCAGTTTTGATAGATTAACTTGGAGGAAACTCATTTTGCTAACATGAAAATGAACTGGAAGTCTACCTCCATGTTAAGATATAGAGACCTCTGCTATGTGTGATTTGTTGCTAAAACAAAACAGCACTAGTTTGTTTATAAGATGGTTATGATCTATAATAACACAAATAACTGCCAAACAACCTTGTTTTAAAGACCTTGTTAAACTAGATGTACTATGCTAGTGAAAACAGTCGGGCAGAAGCCTCTAAACATTTTCTTATCAGGCCGCACAATATGATGCTTCTGTAGGAAATTTATCCAAATTTTAGGTAATATTAAAACTAATTTGTATTTCTAGAGCTCAGATCAGCTTGATTATAAAGAGGAAGAAACTGCAAAACTGACTCCAGGTTGGAGAAAACTGTCTAGGATTTAAGGTAAGCTGATAATTTTGAAAAAGCCCCCAAGTGCATCAGAGCTGACCGTAGTATTATACTGAATAAAGGCGGCATCCAAGGGATAACGAAGCAGCTGGGGAAGGGTAAAATTTATGTATTTTTTATTTATTTTTCCTATCTACTATGAAAGCACAAAGGATTGGGTGAGAAAAGGAAAGGAAAGCTTTGCATGTGAGACAGACTCAGTTCAGTAATCCAGCCCCTGGTTCCGTGCAGGGGTTCGGAGGCTGCTGACCCTAAGGGCTCTGTAACACAGCACTTTCAGTTTGTACATACGACCAGTTACACACAATTTACACCCACAGGCTCTGTGCGAGCCTCTCTCAGCAGCCCCGCATCGCCGCTGCGGGACAGCCACGCTGGGAGGCGTCGCTCGGGAGCCCGGCCGTCCCTCTTCAGGTACTGGCGCGGGGGAAACGCTTCCAGCCAGGAGCCGCCCGGCCTAGCGCGCAGAGCCAGAGCCGCACCCGCACCTCACCTGCGCCGCCGCGGTCCCGCGAGGTCCGGGGGCGCAGCCAGGCCCGGCCGCCCCGCCCTCGCGGCCGCCGCCTCCGCTCTGAGCCCCGCCCCGCTCGGCCGCCGATTGCTCGGGCCTGGCCGCCAGCCCAGGGGCCGATGGCCGAGCGCGTCGCACTCGCGTCCCTGCGCCGTGCCTGCCTCGCGCTCCCTGTTACGGCGTTCGTCCCCGGGCCTGGCGCCCGCGTCCGGCCCGGCTCCGCGGCGGCCTGGTCCGATGGCTCCTCAGCGGAGGGCCGCAACCAAGGCGCCCGAGGGCAACGGAGCGGCCGAGCGCCGGAACCGGAGCAGGTAGCGGTGAGGAGGGGAAGGGCGCGCGCTGCGGCGGCGGACAGGGCCATGGAGTGGGCGGGACTGGGGCTGATGGGGCGGGGCCTGGCCCGACCCGGGTGGGGGGGTGGGGGGGGGCAGGTGGGCGTGGTCTGCCGCGGGGGGCGGGGTCTACCGCAGCCCATGCTGGGAGCAGGGCAGGTGCGGGCGGGAGCCGCGGTAGCCGACGGCAGAGGCCCACCTATCCCAGAGGGGCAGGAGAAAGAGAAGGGGGCTTTGCTCCCAGCCTGATGAGCTGCTGCTGCTGCTCCGGGAACCTGCCGTTTGGCTGTCGCTGTCCCGTGGAATAACCCACCCAGCAGCCTGGAAAGTCCGCCTGAGCCAGGAGCGTGCCTCCGCCTTCACTTTTAAACCACGAAACCTGCTTTCCCCGTGGAATTCTAGAGGATCGGGTGCCATGGAGGAATGGCTTAGTTTTAGGATTTTAAAATGTTACGGGTGATCATTGGTTTGCAGGTATTAGTGAAGGAGCCTCTAACGTGCAGAATACAGCTTCTCGCTTGCTTGATATTAATATTTTGCTCTTTTGGGGAGTGCCCAATTCCCCTCTATTGACGATTTGCACATTGAAGTCGTCAGTTTAGAAATATCAGGAGGACACCTCAGGTTTGGATAGACTGCAATAACTCTTAAACCTCATAGTTTGTTCTTGAGATTTTTATCCCTTTTTCATCTCAGCTGCTTTTGGAGTCTACTAGATAGGATCTTAAATGCCTCATGCTAGTTCACAGCTATAATTTTTTTTTTTTTTTTTGAGACAGAGGCTCGCTCTGTTGCCCAGGCTGGAGTGCAGTGGCGCAATCTCGGCTCATTGCAACCTCTGCCTCCCGGGTTCAAGAGATTCTCCTGCCTCAGCCTCCCAAATAGCTGGGATTACAGGCGCCCGCCACCATGCCCGGCTAATTTTTGTATTTTTAGTAGAGATGGGGTTTCACCATGTTGGCCAGGCTGGTCTCGAACTCTCAACCTCAAGCAATCCGCCCGCCTCAGCCTCCCAAAGTGCTGGGATTACAGGCGTGAGCCACTGCACCTGGCCACAGCTATAATTTTTTAAAAGCCAGTCAAATTTAGTTGTGGGGGGTTGTATACCAACGTTGGTGACACTAAGGTTAATAAGTTCTGGGGATCCACTACCATCAGACTAGCTTGCAACTATAATTTTATAAATGAATGACCTAGTGATGATTTATAAGTATTCTACCTTCTCCCAAAACCAAATCTCTCCAAAAGAATATTTCAAGTATAAACATACATGTATCTATTTCCTTCAATAGTAATATGAGAAGTTATTTAATTAATACATTTTAAAAATTTCCAGTAAACTTGTACATTTTCTGAAATACCGAGTACCAGTTTTTGTCAGCACTGAATGGTTAATATAGAAATATAGACTTTTGAGGCTGAGCCTGGTGGTGCTTGCCTGTAATTGCAGCACCTTGGGAGGCTGAGGCGGTTAGATTACTTGAGGTCAGGAGTTCGAGACCAGCCTGACCAACGTGGTGAAACCCCGTCTCTATTACTAAAAATACAAAAAAATAGCTGGGGGTGGTGGTGCACGCCTGTAATCCTAGCTACTTAGGAGGCTGGGGCAGGAGAATTGCTTGAGCCCAGGAGGCAGAGGTTGCAGTGAGCCAAGATCGTGCCATTGCACTCCAGCCTGGGCAACAAGAGTGAAACTCTGTCTCAAAAAAAAAAATAATAAATAAAAATAAAAAAATAAAAGAAATATTGTCCTAATATGCCTTAAATGAGTCTCTATTCAAGTTTTGGAAATACATGTGTCCAAAGCCCCTCTCTTATCATTGTTGGGACAGGCCCAATACCTGCTCCTTGGAACAGACGAGAAGCTTATTTTACAGGAGGGGAGGGAGTGCGGCCCTGATGGAATAACCTGAGCTGTAGGGGGCTCACCTCCGCCCCACCCTGGAAACAACCTTCCTCCAGTGGCCCCCGTCCTTAGTGTTCACCCCTGTGTGGAGGCCCCCATCACTACCAGCCTGTCCTAGAGCAGCTGCACCACAGGGCACCCCATCCTGTCCCATTTTGCTAAGCAAACCCTTTTAAACATCCTTATTTTGTTGTGAAACATCTCACATTAAAGTGGTGTGTGTTTGTTTATTTATTTATTTATTTATTGAGATGGAGTTTTGCTCTTGTTGCCCAGGCTGGAGTGCAATGGCACAATCTTGGGTCACTGCAACCTCCACCTCCCGGGTTCAAATGATTCTCCTGCCTCAGCCTCTTGAGTAGCAGGGACTACAGGCATGTGCCACCACACCCGGTTAATTTTTTTTTTTTTTGTATTTAGTAGAGACAGGGTTTCACCATGTTGGTCAGGCTCGTCTCGATACCCTGACCTCAGGTGATCTGCCCGCCTTGGCCTCCCCAGGTGCTGGGATTACAGGCATAAGCCACTGCGCCGGGCCTGAAGTGGCTTTTATAAGGAGCATGTCTGGCTTTTTTTTTTTTTTTCTTTTGCTTAAAACCCATGAGTCTCTATTGCAATATTTCTCAAACTCCCGGGCTCAGAAGGCAGTTAGTGTGTATTGGAGATCCCTGAAGGGAAAGGGAGGGAAGAGTCCGTGTTTCCTGAGTGGACAGCGCTGGCCCCAGGCAGGAAGCCCTCGTTTCAGGGGTGACGTGTGAGTGAAGGCCGGGTCATGGTGCATGCACTTTGATGATCGGGGAGCGTTTTCTCTGGCCTCACTCCGTGTTTGGGTGACGTGGCCTGTTTTCTGTTCTCAGCACCAAGAAGGACCGAGCCCCGCGGGAGGTGCAGAGGCTGTGGCAGAGGCCGTGGCTAAGGACCGCGGGCCTGGGGGCTGGCTTTGTGCTCACCGCACTCCTGCTCTGGAGCAGCTTGGGGGCCGACGACGGGGTCGCAGAGGTCCTGGCCCGCCGTGGCGAGGTCGTGGCAGGGAGATTCATCGAGGTGCCCTGCTCTGAGGACTACGACAGTCACCGCAGGTTCGAAGGTAGTTCAGGAAAGCAACACTTTAAAATGAGACTCAGTGTGGTTAAAGGACATTGGCTGCGACGAAGGGGTGGGAATTGGGTTGGATGTGGTATGCTTGGGGGTAGCAGACAACCTCTCCCCTCCTGCAGGCTGGCTAGTCCACGTCTGACTGGGAGTGCAGGTGTTTCGCGCCCTGCCCATCACTGCCCGGCCACGGTTGGCGTTTTAGTAAGCTGTGCGGTCCAGCGGAGGAGATGGTTTGCCTTGGAAAGATAGGGATGAGAAAGTCAAAACCAGAAAGATTTTTTGACTGGAGAATGTGGTAGAGTCAGAGAATGTTGGGGAAAATGTAACAAGAAACGACCAGCAGCCCTTCTGCCGTCCTGTGCCCCAGCTCCCCTCCCCCGCTCCCGTTCTGCCTGGGCCTGAGAGATGCGGGAGGTGGTGGTTCCAGGGCAGCCCAGAGCCTGGAGCAGCGCTGCGGTTGGCCGGGCCGGGGTTCAGCACCTTGGAGAGCGCACGGCCTCGGAGCAGGTCTGACCGGGCCGGCCACCGCACACCCCCTGTAGGCCTCCTGTCGCTTCTGTTTTCTTGAACATTCCATGCCACCTGGATATATTCTTAGTTTTAAAAGTCCAGCATGCGCCGCTGGGTTTTTGAGGCAGAATTCAGGTTTTAAAAATTCAATTCAATGCTTTGCACTTGAACCAAGAAAAGATTGCCAAGTTCTTCCACAAAGGGGCGCCGTTGTGACGCACGTGAACGTGGTCCCAGCCGCGCCGCAGGGAGGGACGGGACCGCCTCGGAGTCAAGAAAATGAACGTGTTTCTGTTGTGTGTTGTTGTGGGTGCTCTCTCTTTCTTAGCAGAAGTTCTCTCTCTAACATCCCAGCTTTCCAAAACTCTTTTTTGAATGCTAGCACGGAGCAGAAATTTTTCATGTTATCATTAATAATTTATCGACATTAAAAATAGTTTCAATGGCCTGGAGCAGTGGCTCATCCTCAATCCCAGCACTTTGGGAGGCCCAGGCAGGAGGATCGCTTGAGGCCAAGAGTTCAAGACCAGACTGGGAAACACAGTGAGACCCCATCTCTACAAAATAAAAAATGGGCCAGGTGTGGTGGTGCACGCCTGTAACCCCAGCTCAGGAGGCAGAGGTGGAAGAATCACTTGAACCCAGGAGGTTGGGAGGTAAGGAGGTCAGGGCTGCAGTGAACCTAGAGTGTGCCACCGCACTCCAGCCTGGGTGACAGAGCGAGATCCTGACCCCCCGCCAAAAAAGAAAAAAGTTGGAATGAGGGAGGGAGGATGGAAGTCCATGTTTAATAGATTTGGGATTTCACCTGTGGGAGGTGGAAAAGTTCTGGAGGTGGTGCTAGTGACGGCTGCACGATGCTATTGTGCCCGATGCCACCACACTGCGCACTTTTTAAAAAGCTTGGCTAAAATGGTAAATTCTATCTTGTATATATTTTACAATAAAACAAATGGTTTGATGTATTTTCTTTTTCTTTCTTTCTTCTTTTTTTTTTTTTTGGACAGAGTGTCACTCACTGTGTTGCCCAGGCTGGAGTGCAGTGGCATGATCTCGGCTCACTGCAACCTCCGCCAGGCCTCTTGGGTTCAAGTGATTCTCCTGCCTCAGCCTCCTGAGTAGCTGGGACTACAGGCACCTGCCACCATGTCTGGCTAATTTTTGTAATTTTAGTAGAGACGGTGTTTTGCCTATGTTGCCCAGGCTGATCTCAAACTGCTGACCTCAGGTGATCCACCTGCCTTGGCCTCCTAAGGCCCTGGGGTTACAGGCATGAGCCACTGCGCCTGGCCTCTAATTTTTATTATTATTGTTTTTTAACTCATGAATTACTTGGAAATTTAAAAGATTTGGAAATGCGTGGGATTTTTGGTCCCTTTTCACAACGTTGTGGGTATTTCTCCTGACCCACGCTCGTGTGCACAAATTCTCATCACCAGTTTCTGTCTCCTTCACCCACCGGCTATGGAAAGGGGCGTCAGAACCTCCACTGAGCATGGACCCAGCAGCGTCTGTGCTTTGGTTGCCACGTGTGTCATGGGGCGATGCTGTCTGCTGTCTGCTGCCCCTTCCCCTTCCTGCCGAGTCGCTCCTGTGCCGCGGGGGACCCTCTCTTCCCTCTAGTGATTCTCTTTGCTAGTACAGAGGCTGCGCCACGGGCCTGTGTGGCTCTCATTGCATTTGCTGTTTGCTTTCCGCTTTCCTGTGTCCTCGCGTTTTGTGGGGTAAACCTTATAAAAAAGCATAAAATGACTTTTTGTTTTTGAAATACAACACCTATGTCCATTAGATCATTTAACCACAGTAACTACAGCCCCCCTTCCCTGATATTCAGCCAAGTGGAGCTCTGTTTATCTCCTGGCACAAGGCCCAGAGAAAGGAACCAAGGTCATCTCGGTGCCTTGTGATCCCTGGGTCCAAGCCCCTGATGCTGGCACTCAGCACTGAGTGCGAGGCTTTTATTCCCATGGTCCCGGGAGGGATGCTCCACGTCCAGGCTCAGGGCTGGCTTTTTAGGCAGGATGTAGGGAGAGGGAGGAAAAGCATATTGTGGAGTCCCGGTTTGCCCCATGTCCTGGTGCTTGTGGGCTGCTGTCTGATCGATCAGGCATGGCCTGACGCCTTTCCAGCGCATGAAGCCAGCTGCACTTGGTACCAAACCACAGGGGCGGGTCCCTGGGCCCCTCTCCGACACTCTGCTGTACCTTGTGCATCTGTGCGATGCTGCCTCGACCACCCTGCCCCTGCCCTGACCACCCTGCCCCAAACACCCTAACCCTGTCTGACCACCCTGCCCCTGCCCCAAACACCCTGCCCCTGCCCTGTCCACCTTTCCTCTGCCCAATGACCCTGACTCCTGTCCACTCTGATCCTGTCCCAACGACACTGCCGCTGCCCCAAACGACCTTGCCCCTGCCCCGATAACCATGCCCCTGCCCCGATAACCATGCCCCTGCCCCGATAACCATGCCCCTGCCCCGATAACCATGCCCCTGCCCCGATAACCATGCCCCTGCCCCGATAACCATGCCCCTGCCCCGATAACCATGCCCCTGCCCCGACCGTGTTGCTCCTGTCCCAACGACCCTGCCCCTGCCCCGACCACCCTGACCCCCATTTGAGCTGCTGCTTCCTCTTCCCTCTCAGCCTCCGCAGGTCACCAAGGTACGGGGAGAGACAGGGGCATGTGCGGAGCAGTTCGCTGTGCCCTGGGGAAGGACTGGGACTAGACCCACAAGCTCCACTCTGGTGGTCTCAGGAGGGTTTTCTGCTCCAGTGGTCTCAGGAGGGTTTTCCTCTCTGGCGGTCTCAGGAGGGTTTTCTGCGCCAGTGGTCCCAGGAGGGTCTTCCTCTCTGGTGGTCTCAGGAGGGTTTTCTGCTCTGGTGGTCTCAGGAGGGTTCCCCCCTCTGGTGGCCTCAGGAGGGTTTTCCTCCCTGGTGGTCTCAGGAGGGTTTTCCTCTCTGGCGGTCTCAGGAGGGTTTTCTGCTCTGGTGGTCTCAGAAGGGTTTTCTGACGGTGCCTGTGGGTGTCTGGACCTGCAGTCAGTGATGGTTCAGGAATGCTGTTGACGCCGTGTCTGGGGTTTCTGTGACTTTCCCAGGGTTTGGGGCAGCAACAGGTGCCTCTGGATTAAATTTCCAGTTGGAGCCACTGGAAGCCAAGGTGGCCCAGTGAGACGTGAACTCCAGATGCACCGCACAAAGCGCATGCACGCTGGAGAGCTGTGGTTGTGTGTGTCTGAAATTCACATTTGACCGGGCGTATTAGCCAGTTCTGGCCCTGATTCCCTGGAAGGGCATGCGCCGGTGGCCTTGGAAACTGCGTCTCACCCTGGCTGTCCCTTCACAGGCTGCACTCCCCGAAAGTGCGGCAGAGGTGTCACCGATGTCGTCATCACCAGGGAGGAAGCGGAGCGGATTCGCAGGTAACCGCCTGTCCCTGAGCACGGTGGGATTCAAACAAACACACGCGGAGTGGGGCTAGGGCGGGAAGCAGAGCATTGTTAGTAATAAAGTGGTTTTAAGGATTTTATTGCCAGGCGTGGTGGCTCACGCCTGTAATCCCAGCACTTGGGGAGGCTGAGGCGGGCAGATTGCCTGAGTTCAGGAGTTCGAGACCAGCCTGGGCAACATGGTGAAACCCTGTCTCTACTAAAATACAATAAATTAGCTGGGTGTGGTGGCATGTGCCTGTAGTCCCAGCTACTCAGGAGGCTGAGGCAGGAGAATCGCTGGAACCCGGGAGGCAGAGGTTGCAGTGAGCCAAGACTGCACCACTGCACTCCATCCTGGGCGACAGAGCGAGATTCTATCTCCAAAAAAAAAAAAAAGATTTTATTATAATTTTATAAGAATTTCCAGGCTGGGTGCGGTGGCTCATGCCTGTAATCCTAGCACTTGGGGAGGCCAAGGCGGGTGGATTGCCTGAGCTCAGGAGATCGACACCAGCCTGGGCAACATGGTGAAACCCCTGTCTCTACTAAAATATGAAAAATTAGCCGAGTGTGATGGCACACTCCTGTAATCCCAGCTACTCAGGAGGCTGAGACAGGAGAATTGCTTGAACCTGGGAGGCAGGGATTGCAGTGAGCCGAGATTGAGCCATTGCATTCCAGCCTGGGTGACAGAGTGAGACTCCATCTCAAAAAAAAAAAAAAAAAAAAAAAAAAGAATTATGTGCTTTCAAGGGCCAAGCTCAGATTTTCCGATTTCAGGAGAGGAGACCATGGCCCTCAGCGAAGCAGTAGCTGGGAGAGTACCCAGAGGCCCAGGTTCCTCTGCAGGGGTTGTGGCCGCCTCTGGGGGCTGCTGCTGAGTGCCCCATGCTCCCCACGGAGCCTCCGGGACACTGCTCAATGACCGCTCAGTGTCTGCTCTGAAACTGCCTCCAGGGAGCCCGTCAGCCCACCTGGCTATGACTTGTGGCAGCACAGGATGCCACTCAGAGGCTACTGGTGCTGGACTTTTCTTACTGAGATCTTAAAAGAAAGTTTTGATTTTCCAACCACTTGTTGAGACGATAAGCATGTGGAATGGTGTGCAGCCCTGGGCCACGTGCCCTGCCCTGAGATTCTCCCCAGGGAGCCTGCCCCCGAGGATGCTGCCTAGCTCCACGCAGGGTTACTGCTGCCTAGCTCCAGTGGGGTTACTGCTGTCTGACTGAGGCACCGGCGTGTCCCCACTTGGTGTCCACAGGCAGCTCCCAGCACCTGTGGCAGCTCAGGGTGGTCCTCTGTGGTCCAGCACAGCTGGCGTGTGGGTGTCTTTCTCCCACCATGGTCAGGGCCCCTATCTCCTGAGCTGGTGAATCTCAAAGCTTCCCCCACCTGCCTGGGGTTCCAGGAGAGATGGGGAGCAGTGGGCCCTCCCCTAGATGCTCCCCAGGCTCCTGAGCTTGGCCCAGGTGGCTTTCGATATTGAAGATGAGAGATTAAGCCCAGCCCTCCCTTTCTCTCTCTCTCTCTCTCTCTCTTTTTCTTTCTTTCTTGACAGAGTCTTGCTTTGTTGTCCAGGCTGGAGTGCAGTGGCGCGATCTCGGCTCACTGCAACCTCTGCCTTCTGGGTTCAAGCGATTCTCCTGGCTCAGCCTCCAGAGTAGCTGGGATTACAGGCACCTGCCATCACAGCTGGCTAATTTTTGTATTTTTAGTTGAGACGAGGTTTCACCATGTTGGCCAGGCTGGTCTGGAACTCCTGACCTCGTGATCCACCCGCCTTGGCCTCCCAAGGTGCTGAAGCCCAGTCGTTTCTAAGCTGAGTCAAATATTGACAAGACAACGATGGCAGTATTGTCGCTTACGCACTGAACTTTGAAAGTTGAGTCCTTTGGTCTAAACATTTGTTTACATCATAAACATTAAACACGCAGGACCCACTAATGTTGCATTAATTTTGCTGATTGACGTTTGCCTAGATTATACATTATAGACAATTCTAGCAACGAAATTCTGAATTATTTTCTCCCTGCAGCGTAGCTGAAAAGGGGCTCTCCCTGGGAGGATCTGACGGAGGGGTGAGTTGAATGTAGTCCCTGCCCCCCTTTTTTTACCCGTTAACTTTGCTCTCACTTGGATGGGAAGGGGAAGGCACAGACATGCAGGGTTCCCTGCGTGCCCCCAAATGTGGGTGGGGCCTGCCGTGGTGTTTCTCAGCACCAGCCGCAGCAGCTGCGCCTGACTGAAACCCGTGCGGCGTCCCCTCGTTGGGAAGAGTGTGTCCTTAGATGTGCGTGGCCATCTATTCATGGCATGTCACGGCCTGCCTGGCTCCAGTTCACACTGGGGGATAGAGGGGGTCGGAAGCAGGGAGCCGGCAAGGGAGCGGGGTGGGAGCCCAGCGAGGAGACGGCTGCGCATGCTGGACACAGGAGAGCCCGTGGAGCTGCCGGGAAACAGCAGGGCCTCCGTGGGACAGACACGCTGCAACGCATCCTGCAACTTCCTAGCTGGACGCCTCCATGGACGCCCTGTGGGGCTGTCGTCCCATGTGAGGCTGCAGGGGGTCAGCTAGTGGCCTCGGATAATGTGTTCACCTGGAGCCCGTGGACATGATCTGATTTGGAAAAGGGACCTTTGCAGATGTAATTAACTTAAGGATCTCAAGATGACATCATCCCAGATTTAGGGTCCTAAATCCAATGGCAAGTGCCTATAGGAGACAGAGGCAGGGGGAGATTTGAGAGGGAGGAGGAAAAGGTCCTGTGATGATGGAGGCAGAGATGGGAGCAGTGCGGCCATGGAAGAGGCGGGCAGGACCTCCCCTGGAGCCCTGGGAGGGAGCAGGGCCCCTCCCACACCTCGATTTTAGACTCCTGGGCTCTAGAACTGTGAGAGAATAAACTTGTGTTGTTTTAAAGCCCCAGTTTGTGTTACCACAGCCGCAGGGATCATGGAGCCACCGCCGGCTGTGGCCTCGCCCTCCTGTTGGGCAGTGGCTGGGAGTCAGTCTGGTGCAGCTGGTGTTAGCTCCAATTCCCATGCGGTTTCCTCAGGGTTGTTTTCTTGCTCGGTGTGTGGAATTGTCTGAAGATCTGTTTCTCTCTGTTTATTTGGTGATCGCTTTGAATTATAATCACTGAATAGACTTGAGTCTTTCTGCATATTTGAAACTTCTAGAAAATTAATTTATAGACTCTTTGAGAATTTCAAAGTATTTCTGTGATGGTCTGTGTGACTTTTTTCTGCAAACTCTTTTCTCTTGAGTTCTGAAAATTAAGTTCCTTTTTTTCTTCTTTTTTTGAGACAGAGTCTCGCTCTGTTGCCCAGGCTGGAGTGCAATGGGGCGATCTCCACTCACTGCAACCTCCAACTCCTGGGTTCAAGCCATTCTTCTGCCTTAGCCTCCTGAGTAGCTGGGACTACAGGCATGTGCCATGATGCCCGGCTAATTTTTGCATTTTAAATAGAGATGAGGTTTCACCATGTTGGCCAGGCTGGTCTTGAACTCCAGAGCTCAGGTGACCCACCTGCCTTGACCCCCCAAAGTGCTGGGATTACAGGTGTGAACCACCGTGCCCGGCCTAAGTTCCTCCCTTTATTTCAGTTTGGTTTGGTTCAGTTCGGGGGCTATTTGTTAAAGATCTGTGAGTGAGTAGGTTTCTGTTTCACAGCTCCTCCACGTTCACATGGGAAGTTGTCCTGCATGGAGCTGGCTGGGCCGCTGCTTTGGGTTCAGTTACTGTTCAGCGGGCCCAAGCTAGGTTAGTGCCGCAGGGCCAGTGGCTGTGGCGATGAGGAAGGGGCAGCAGTGGGGCTCCTCTGGGGTCACAGGTGGGATGACTAACGTGGGCTGGAAGCCTCTTCCTCTGAGGACGTAGGGAAGGACTGAGAGGTGGGTGGTCGGGCAGGAAACACTTCAGCAGTGGCTTACAAAGTGATGACTCAGGCTTGGCGTGGCGCGCACTGTGGTGCCAGCCGCCCAGGAGGCCAAGGTGGGAGCACCGCTGTGAGGCATTTACTCGAGAGAAGTCAACACTTGCCCACAGGGACACATGACTGTGACTGGCACGGAGCTGCACGGAGATGGCTCCAGACTAAAAATAGCCCACACGTGCCACCATTCTTTAGGTCACAGGGAACAAAAGTGTTTGGTCCAGGAAGATTTTTTTTTTTTTTTGAGATGGAGTTTCGCTCTTGTAGCCCAGGCTGGAGTGCAATGGCACGATCTCGGCTCGCTGCAACCTCCGCCTCCCTGATTCAAGTGATTCTCCTGCCTCAGCCTCCCAAGTAGCTGGGATTACAGCTCCTTGGGAGGCTATCTCTGTAGGTGTCCCAGCTACAGCTGGGATTACAGCTCGCCACCATGCCCAGCTAATTTTGTATTTTTAGTAGACATGGGGTTTCACCATGTTAGCCAGGCTGGTTTTGAACTCCTGGCCTCAAGCAATCCACCTGTCTCAGCCTCCCAAAGTGCTGGGATTGCAGGTGTGAGCCACCACGTCTGGCCGGTCTGGGAGGATTTTAAGAAAGTCCTGGGTTGAGGCTGGGTGCAGTGGCTAATGCCTGTAATCCCAGTACTTTGGGAGGCTGAGGTGGGAGGATCACTTGAGCCCCGGAGTTCGAGACCAGCCTAGGTAATATAGTGAGACCACATCTCTACAAAAAATAGAAAAATTAGCCAGGTGTGGTGGCGAGCGCCTTTACTTGGGAGGCAGAGGGTGGGAGGATTGTTTGGCCTGGAGCCTGGAATATTGAGGCTGCAATGAGCTGAGATTGTGCCACTGCGCCCTAGCCTGGGCAACAGAATAAGATCCTTTTTACAAAAAACAAAAACAAAAACAAAAAAACACCTGAGGTGTGTGCTGGCCAGACCTTGGAAACTCGCATTTACCATCCATGACTTTTAACAGCCATTGCCATTGCTGCGGCTGCACGCTTTACTCCACAACGTCTTTTCCAGGCATCCATTCTGGACTTGCACTCAGGGGCCCTGTCTGTCGGGAAGCACTTTGTGAACCTGTACAGGTGAGTGCTGCAGCATGACCTCAGTGCTGGCTCTGAAAGCCGAGTGAGCGGCTCCGTGCCTCTTAGCCATGGACATGTGGACACGTGGACATGTGAGGGAGGATCCGGCTCGGTGCAGCCTCAGGGCCTCAGTGGCTGTGATGTTGGCCGGGTCCTTCCTGGTTCTTTGGGACGCAAGAGCTGGGAGGTGTGGACTCTCCACAGCCTGTGGGCAGGGGGCTTGTTCATGAAGCTTTAGGGGAATCTGGTGTTTTTGTGGGCCCAGGGACAGAAGGGATGGGAGCAAGAGGCAGCAGAGATGGGAGGCTCCCAGGAGCAGCTTCCAAGAATCCAACGGGGCCTTTGACGCTCCATGAGGGGCCGGGAGAGCAAAGAGACCCTCCCTGCGTGGATCCGTGTCAGCCTCATGCATTAGCCCTGGGTCTTGCTCCCGGCTGGCTCCTTGTTTTTATTATTATTATTATTATTTTGAGATGGAATCTTGCTCTGTCGCCTAGGCTGGAGTGCAGTGGCGCAATTTCGACTCATTTGACTCTGCCTCCTGGGTTCAAGCAATTTTCCCATCTCAGCCTCCTGAGTAGCTGGGATTACAGGCACGCACCACCACGCCCAGCTAATTTTTGTATTTTTAGTAGAGATGGGGTTGTGCCATGTTGGCCAGGATGGTCTCGAATTCCTGACCTCAAGTGATCCACCTGCCTCGGCCTCCTGAGTAGCTGGGGTTACAGGCACGCACCACCATGCCCAGCTAATTTTTGTATTTTTAGTAGAGATGGGGTTGTGCCATGTTGGCCAGGATGGTCTCGAATTCCTGACCTCAGGTGATCCACCTGCCTCGGCCTCCCAGAGTGCTGGGATTACAGGCGTGAGCCACTGCGCCCGGCCCGGCTCCTTTATAGCAGTTATCATTGTGGAAATGGAGTTGCTCTGAATGTGTGAGTTGATTTTCAGGGACTTGAGGAATGGCTGAACTGAAAGGAGATGAACAACAGATTAATGAAGTGTTGTGACCTTTGTGAATACTCCTTTTTTCACAGATACTTCGGGGATAAAATACAGAACATCTTCTCAGAGGAGGACTTCCGGTTATACCGGTAAGGAGGAGTGAGGCGGGTGGGGGTTCGCAGGCGGGGTGGCCTGGGGCTGAGGGGTGTGGCAGAGCTGGCCGGTCCGGGGAGGCCCCACGGAGAGGCCCAGGGGCCAGGGCCAGGCCTGCAGAAGTGAGTTCTCATGGAGCAAAGGCCGGGGCAGGCCCAGCGTGGCCAGGATGCGCCCGGGTCGGTGAAACAGATCTGGAATCCTGTGGCTGCATCCTGGTCAGAACCTCTTGTTTTCTGCTGTGTAAAATCAGCCCAGTTTTAAAAATTCTGCCAGATGAGGCTGGGTGCGGTGTCTCATGCCTGTAATCCCAGCACTTTGGGAGGCGAGGCGGGTGGATCACCTGAGGTCAGGAGTTCGAGACCAGCCTAGCCAACATGGTGAAACCCCATCTTTACTAAAAGTACAAAAATTAGTTGGGTGCGGTGGCGGGTGCCTGTAATCCCAGCTACCCCGGAGGCTGAGGCAGGACAATTGCTTAAACCCCGGAGGTGGAGGTTGCAGTGAGCTGAGATTGCACCACTGCACTCCAGCCTGGGTGACAGAACAAGCCTCATCTCAAAAAAAAAAAAAAAAAAGAAAAGAAAAGAAAAAATTCTGCTGGAGGAGCCCAGGTTGAGATGAGGGCAAAGGAGCTAAGAGTCACGCAACCATCCCAGGACACATGAGTGACCCCCCTCGAGCCCCCCACATGGGCCCATGCCCACCCAGACATCCATTTCAGAGCCGCTCTGGCCTGGCACATGGGGTCTTCTGAGCGAGAGTCCCTTTGTCCCCAGTACAGACACCCCATCCACACTTAGCAGGCTCGACACCCACTCCCCTCTCCCCACGTCCACACACCCCGCACACTCACGTTGGGGGACAGCAGCCTCTTCGTTGCTGAATAGGAGGCTGGGCTCCAGGCCCTGCAAGTGAAGCCTGGAGGCTCTGGCATCTGGGGCCTGACTCCACACCAGCCTCCCCAGCGTTGGTCCTGCAGGCCCCCTTCTGCCTCCCCAGTCCTGCTGCTGTGGTCTTGCGCCTGCCTCTGGCTGCTCTGTGCGTGGGCTGTGGGCCGCGTCGTTCCCAGGCGGAGCCGGTATCTGTTCCCGGTGTGCTTGGGAGCCCCCGCCCCGCGGGCCCGGAGCCGTACGAAGGCTGGTTCCTTTCCTGCCACCCACGGGTTGGGACCCACGAGCGTCCCCTCCCGCCTGGGGCTGCGCTGACGGCTATTGTGTCCTCTGCAGGGAGGTGCGGCAGAAGGTCCAGCTCACCATTGCTGAGGCTTTTGGCATCAGCGCATCCTCGCTGCATCTGACCAAGCCCACCTTCTTCTCCCGCATAAACAGCACGGAAGCGCGGACGGCGCACGACGAGTACTGGCATGCGCACGTGGACAAGGTGAGCGCGCCCGTGGGCAGGGTGAGCGTGCCCGTGGACAAGGTGAGCGTGCCCGTGGGCACGGTGAGTGCGCACGTGGGCAGGGTGAGCGCGCTCGTGGACAAGGTGAGCGTGCCCGTGGGCAGGGTGAGTGCGTACGTGGGCAGGGTGAGTACGCACGTGGGCAGGGTGAGCGCGCATGTGGACAGGGTGAGCGCGCATGTGGTCAAGGTGAGGCCTGTTCTCCCGTGGCCTGGGGCTACCTACCACAGGGCTGTCTTTTGCAGCATCCGCCTGCTGTGTGCATGGTGTTAGGATTGATTGGTTGAGACAGAGTCTCGCTCTGTCGCCCAGGATGGAGTGCAGTGGCGCGATTCGGCTCACTGCAACCTCTGCCTCCCGGGTTCAGGCGATTCTCCTGCCTCAGCCTCCCGAGTAGCTGGGACTACAGGCATGCCCCACCAGGCCTCGCTAATTTTTGTATTTTTAGTAGAGACGAGGTTTCACCATGTTGGCCAGGATAGTCTCAAAATCCTGAGCTCAGGCAATCCTCCTTCCTTGGCCCCCCAAAGTGCTGGGATTACAGGTGTGAGCCACCATGCCCGGTGGGTGTAAGCATTTAGATGTCTTCCTCTCTGAGGTTTCAGGGCACACCCTCAATCTCACTGATGGAGTTGGAGAAATAAAATTTCTCATTTGATGGTGACAAGAAGAAGTGGAGAACCCGGCCCACACGGCCTGTGGTTACCCCATTGTTATTTATTAACAGACTGATGCTTAACCTCTTACGGCAGATGGTCTCTGCTCAGCCACTCATGCTCTCTGTGGCCCAGGTCTCTGTGTTGTCTCTGGGAGCCTTCTTTTACCACTTTCTATCTTTCTTTCTTTTATTTCTTTTGAGTTACAGCTTCACTCTGTCACCCAGGCTGGAGTGCAGGTGTGCAGTCATGGCTTACTGCAACTTTGACCTCCCAGGCTCAAGCCATCCTGCTGCCTCAGCCTGGGACTGAGACTATAGCTGGGACCACAGGTGCGTGCCCCGACGCCTGGCTCGTTTTTCTATTTTTGTAGACACAGGGTTTCACTATGCTGCCCAGGCTGGCCTGACCTCCTGGGCTGAAGCAATCCTCCCGCCTCAGCCTCCCAAGGTGCTGGGATTACAGGCGAGAGCCATTACCCATCCCATTTCTTTTCTTTCTTTTTTTTTTTTAAGATGGAGTTTCACTCTTGATGCCCAGGCTGGAGTGCAATGGTGCGATTTCAGCTCACTGCAACCTCCACCTCTTGGGTTCAAGTGATTCTCCTGTCTCAGCCTCCCAAGTAGCTGGGATTACAGGCACATGCCACCACGCTCGGCTAATTTTTGTATTTTTAGTAGAGATGGGGTTTCATTGTATTGGTCAGGCTGCTCTTAAACTCCTGACCTCAGGTGATCTGCCCACCTTGGCCTCCCAAAGTGCTGGGATTACAAGCGTGAGCTACCATGCCCAGCCTTTTCTTTCTTTCTTTCTTTCTTTTTTTTTTTGAGACAGTCTTGTTCTGTTGCCCAGGTTGGAGTGCAGTTGTGTGATCTTGGCTTACTACAACCTCCGCCTCCTGGGTTCAAGCGGTTCTCCTGCCCCAGCCTCCCAAGTAGCTGGGACTACAGGCATGCACCACCACGCCCAGCTAATTTTTGTATTTTTATTAGAGACAGGGTTTCACCATGTTGGCCAGGCAGGCCTCAAACTCCTGACCTCAAGCAATCCACCTGCCTCGGCCTCCCAAAGTGCTGGGATTACAGGTGTGAGCCACCGCACCTGGCCCTTAATAAAAGATTTTAGAAGATAAAAGTAAAGCACGGCTAATACAAAGAATGGTATTATAGCAATTCTTTAAGGGTGATTTTTATGGTGTAGAAGCTGTGAGTTCCCTTCATACAGTCAACCTGGATGGAAGTGGTTGAATGGCACTGTGAGCCCTGGAGCTGAAGCTCAAATAGAAGATTAAAGCCAGAAAGCACATGGCTGGGGAGATTAGGACTCTTGCTGCCCCACCATGCCCGCTGTGACAGAGGAAGGAATGGCAGTTAGATGACCAGCTTTCTGTGCCGTGTGACATTTGTTACTAAATTATTCTTCAAGGGCAGTCTTTGTTTTTTTTTTTTTTTTTTTTGAGATGGAGTCTTGCTCTGCCACCCAGGCTGGAGTGCTGTGGCGCGATCTCAGCTCACTGCAACCTCTGCCTCCCAGGTTCAAGCCATTCTCCTGCCTCAGCCTCCTGAGTAGCTGGGATTACAGGTGCGTGCCACTGCGGCCGGCTAATTTTTGTATTTTTAGTAGAGACGGGGTTTCACCATGTTAGCCAGGCTAGTCTCGAACTCCTGACCTCAGGTGATCCACCTGCCTCTGCCTCCCAAAGTGCACTCTGTGCAGTTTCAGTTGTAATCAGAAGGAGAGAGAGATTGCAGTTATAATCTGCAATCAGCATCTGCCATCTTGGCACTCTGCTACTTGGCATTAAAATGGTAAACCCAGGGCCGGGTGTGGTGGCTCACGCCTGTAATCCCAGCACTTTGGGAGGCTGAAGCGGGTGGATCACGAGGTCACGAGATCGAGACCATCCTGGCTAACACAGTGAAACCCTGTCTCTACTAAAATACAAAAAATTAGCCGGGCGTGGTGGCGGGCGCCTGTAGTCCCAGCTACTCGGGAGGCTGAGGCAGGAGAATGGCATGAACCCAGGAGGTGGAGGTTGCAGTGAGCCGAGATCGCGCCACTGTACTCCAGCCTGGGTGACAGAGCAAGACTCCATCTAAAAAAAAAAAAAAAAAAGGTAAACCCAAGGGAACAGGAACAGTGAAGGAACCCAAGGCCTGGGACTGCCTTCAGTCCTCCTCTCTCCCTCTCGGGCTGCAGTGTCGGGAGCAGCCGGCGCCACCGCTTTGCCGTAACCACTTTAACCACTTCCTTTTTCACGACTGCACGGCACTTACTGGCCTTCCGCCGGCACAGACAGCAGATTCGCCCTGGTCCGGTCGCTCCCGGCTCCTTCCATGGCCCCTGACCGAATTTTGTCTGCTCATCAGGAAACCAAAGTGGCGTCTGAAGATCAGTGTTTTTCTAATTAGCAGAGACTTTACTTCAGTGAAACAGAACTGTTTAGAAACCTGGGTGATTTTCGTGGTGTTCTGTGGGGAGCTATTTTGCTATGACTTCTGGCCAGTGTACTTTATTTTAAATTTAGTTTTGAATAAATCATGCATCAAAATTTGAATATTTGAATAAGTAATGCATCCTACAAGATTTAAAAGTCATATATATATATATGTATATAAATAAAGGCGAACCAGTAACCCCCTCACCTACAGGTAACCACAGTCCTGAGATCTCAGAGTTCCTTCTTGAATTTCTCTGTGTGTATAAAAACGAATGCATAAGAATACCGCATTCTGTCAGTTGTAAAGAATCACATTTAAAACAGTTTTGGCAATTGTTCCTTCTTCCCATTGCATAACATAAGGCAGCTGTGGCTGTCAGATCATGGACCCTGGTATGGTTTCCTTTTTACAGAAGGCAGTGCAGTCCGCACGCGGCTTTGCTCACTTGACGTCTGTCTTACTCTGGTCTCCCCAGAATCAGAGCCTGGCATGGACTTGTGTTTGGGAAGCTTTTAAGGGGGGACTCCGGGGGGCATCTGTGAGGCCTGGAGGGGGCAAAGCCCATGGGAGCTGAGCCCAAGGGGCCTCCTGGCAGCTGGGAGGGGCAGGGGGGAGGGAGCTTGACCCACCGCCCAGGGCACCACCTGAGACTGGGCTTCCTTACAGCGGATTATGTGAGGTGGATATTGGCGGGTCGGACTGGGGGCTGGGCCCCAGCGTGATCCTGCTCTCCTTCCCAGGAGGACTCAGAGGAGGCCACCTTGCCCAGGGGGAGGGCCCGGTGTCTGCCTTCAAGCCTGGGCTCTCTCCACTGCACACGAGGCTCTGTTGTGTGTGATGTACCTAGCTCAGCGCCCGCACAGTGGGTGTCCAGTTCCGCGCTGGTGCGGCTCCATCCCCCTTCCCTCCCCAGAGTGTCTCTTTCCCTCCCTGGTCTGGGTGTGCTTATGACAGCTGAGCTGGGTGAGATGCGCCCTCCCCTTTGCAGCTGGTGTCCTGGCAGCTGCACCTTTCACCCCCAGGGCGTGGCCCCAGCTGGGTTCTGGAATGGAAGCTGAGTGCTGCGACCCCTGAGTGAAGTAAGCCAGTCACGGAGGGACAGATCCTGCCTGATCCCACGTCCGTGGGGACCCTAGAGTCGCCAGGTTCACAGAGACAGAAAGCGGAATGGAGAGGGCAGGACTGGGGGGCGTGGGGAGTCAGTGCTTCCTGGGGACGGAGCTTCGGCCTGGGAGGATGAGATGTTCTGGAGAGGACGGTGCGGTGGCTGCACAACATTGGAAATGTGCTTAACATCACTGAACTGTGCTTAAAAACAGTGAAGACACAGTTAAGCTGGAAAATCTTAGGTTCTGCATTTTATTACAAGTTTTAAAAAGCTTGGGATTGCTCCACTTCTGAAGAAAGGAGAAAAGCGCGTCCACCGCTGCCTCTGGTTCCCACGTGTGGGCAGCGAGGCTGGCACCGGGGGACCATCCCAGCATGCACACCCTGCTGGCTGGCCTGCTGCCCGTAGCCTTTGCTGGAACACGGCTGCTCCAACATCTGAGCTTACAGGAAATCCTGGGCAACAATGCATGAGGCTGGAGACTCTGCAGAGGGTTTTTAAAGTTGCAAAGGAACAAATGGCCTCATTAATGGGGCCGACACATGTTGTTAATTTACCTTCTGGAAAATAAGAAGCACAGATGTTGGTGACTCACGCGCGTAATCCCAGCACCCGGGAGGCTGAGGTGGGAGGATCACTTGGGGCCAGGAGTTTGAGACCAGCCTGGGCATCATAGCGAGACCCGCCCCCCTGCCCCCACCACCCCGCCCCAACCTCTACAAAAAATACAAAAATCAGCCAGGCACAGTGGCTCATGCCTCTAATCCCAGCACCCGGGAGGCCAAAGTGGGTGGACTGATGCCATCTCTACAAAAAAAAAAATAGAAAAGAAAAAATTAGCTGGTTGTAGTGTCGTGCGCCTGTGGTCCTGGCTACCCGGGATGCTGAGGCAGGAGGATTGTTTAAAGCCAGGAGTTCAAGGTTATGGTAAGCAATGACAGTGCTGTGACTGCACTACAGCCTGAGTGATGCTGTCTGTAAAAAAAGCGATACCCTATTAAAAAAAAAAAGAGGCTGGGTTCAGTGGCTCATGCCCGTAATCCCAGCACTTTGGGAGGCCAAGGTGGGTGGATCACCTGAGATCAAGAGTTTGAGACCAACCTGACCAACAAGGTGAAACCCTGTCTCTACTAAAAATACAAAATTAGCTGGGTGTGGTGGTGGGTGCCTGTAGCCCCAGCTACTCGGGAGGCTGAGGCAGGAGAATTGCTTGAACCTGGGAGGCGGAGATTGCAGTGAGCCGAGATCGCATCACTGCACTCCAGCCTGGGTGATGGAGCAAGACTCTGTCTCAAAAAATAAATAAACAAAAAATAAGAGAGAGAAGCAGCACCTGCCCTGGTCGCATGCTGAGAGCCCATTCTGCCCCCTCCTCCCGGCTCTGCCCTCAGGTGACCTACGGCTCCTTCGACTACACCTCGCTGCTGTACCTCTCCAACTACCTGGAGGACTTCGGCGGAGGGCGGTTCATGTTCATGGAGGAGGGTGCCAACAAGACGGTGGAGCCGAGAGCTGGTAGGAGGCGCGGGCGGGGCCTGGGCGTGGGGCTCCTGGCTCAGGCAAGCACGGTGGGTGTGGGGGGCGTGTCCCTGGGAGCGAGGCTGAGTTCACGGAGCATCTGCTGTGTGCCGGGCCGGTGCTGAGTGATTCCCAGGTCTAGCGCCAGTCCCAACACCCAGGAGGCTGGTGTCTACGGGGCCACATGTCTGAGGTCACCGTCAGTCAGCGGCAGAGCCCCCCTCCACGCCCTGGTGTGTGTCACCTTGACAGGCACCATCCATTTCCCTCCCTGGTGTGTGTCACCTTGGCGGTCAGGGTCTCCCTCCCTCCCCTCTGGAGTGCGTTCACCTCTGTACCCTTCTCAAAGAGACTCGCAACCTAAGATTAGACGAGGCCCCAGCCCAGTGTCGGTGACCTAGTGCCCTCCTCGCTGGTGGCTGGAACCTCACCGGGTGGCTCTGCGGTGCCGGCTTCAGAACCCATCACACTGGACCTTGCAGTCCCAGAGTCCCAGAGCCCCAGCCATGCCCAGCCTGCTGCAGACACAGCAGTGCCAGTGAGCATTTGCCGAGCGGACAGTCATCCTCTGCTCCTTGAACTTGTGGGTAACACAAGCCCAGATCCTGGGGTGGGAGGGTGTGGGGAGTGGGGAACCCCTGTTAGGGGCCTCCTCAGGTGGAGCCCACGGCCCTGACCCCAGATGCAGCCGAAACTCGCATAGGCTTGGGAGCCCTGTGGACTGTGCCAGCACCATCCACCCCCCACTGCCTCACCCATCCCCAGGGCACTGCCCTCACCCCCCCCCCCCCGCTGCCTCACCCGTCCCCAGGGCACTGCCCTCACCCCCCACTACCTTACCCGTCCCCAGGACACTGCCCTCACCCCCTGCTGCCTCACCCGTCCCCAGGGCACTGCCCTCACCTGTGGGGTGGCCTCTCAGCACGGGTGTTCCTCCTGCCTGGCCGCTCAGTCAGACCAGGGACTGTGTGACAGTCAGGACTTCTTTCATCTCTTTTAAGATCTCCAGCTTGTTTATTTTGAGATTCCTGTTATTTGTACTTGCCTTTCTCAGGTTAGTTTACGACTTCAGTTTGCAAGCTCAGTTTGAGGGACTCTCTTTCCACGACCACCTGTGGCAGGTGGCCTGAGCTGCCCGGCCACTTCCTGCCATCCTGCCTCCCTCAGCTGCTCCCTGGCCACAGGCTGGACAGTTCCCGCTGTAGCCAGCGGCTGGCCAAGCCCACTCCCTGCAGCCGGCTTCAGGCCGTGTGTGCCGCAGCCCTGGGCACAGTCTCCCCTGGCGTGGATTGGGGGCGTTTGGCCTGACTGTGTCCTGGCCTCACTCTGCCTTCATGTCAGTTGTTCTGAGTCATCTCTGCATTAGGGGAAGGGTTTGGACGTCCAGCCTCTGCAAGCAGGAGCCCAGCCTGTCTGCCCTCACCCCAGAAGTCCCAGTCACAGCAGTTTTGTGGGAAAATGAAAAACTCACAGAGCACAAGACAGGCGTTTTCTTGAGAAGTCAAGCAGCTGAAGCCTCCTGGGACTCGAAATTACACAACTTTTTAGCATATTTTGATCTTAGTCATTTTAAGCATGATAAATACTTGAGTCAAACATTTTGTATTACGATCTTCTTTCAGATAATTAAAACAACCTGTCTCCTGCATGTGTCTGTCTAATTGTATCTATGTGTTTACCTGTGATTTGATGTCATACATGTCTAATTGTATCTATGTGTTTACCTGTGATTTGATGTCATACATCTAATTGTGTGTATCTGTGTGTTTCCCTGTGATTTGATGTCGTACATCTGTCTGATTGTGTGTATCTGTGTGTTTACCTGTGATTTGATGTCGTACATCTAATTGTGTGTATCTATGTGTTTACCTGTGATTTGATGTCGTACATCTGTCTAATTGTGTGTATCTATGTGTTTACCTGCGATTTGATGTCATACATCTGTCTAATTGTGTGTATCTATGTGTTTACCTGCGATTTGATGTCGTACATCTGTCTAATTGTGTGTATCTATGTGTTTACCTGCGATTTGATGTCGTACATCTGTCTAATTGTATCTATGTGTTTCCCTGTGATTTGATGTCATACATCTAATTGTGTGTATCTGTGTTTACCTGTGATGTTGTACATCTGTGTGTTATCTATGTGTTTACCTGTGATTTGATGTCATACATCTAATTGTGTGTATCTATGTGTTTACCTGTGATTTGATGTCATACATCTGTCTAATTGTGTGTATCTGTGTGTTTACGTGATTGATGTCATACATCTAATTGTATCTATGTGTTTACCTGTGATTTGATGTTGTACATCTGTCTAATTGTGTGTATCTATGTGTTTACCTGTGATTTGGAGACTTTTTTTTTTCTTTTGAGACGGAGTCTCGCTCTGTCGCCCAGGCTGGAGTGCAGTGGTGCGATCTCGGCTCACTGCAAGCTCCGCCTCCCGGATTCACGCCATTCTCCTGCCTCAGCCTCCCGAGTAGCTGGGACTACAGGTGCCTACCACCACGCCCGGCTAATTGTTTGTATTTTTAGTAGAGACGGGGTTTCACCGTGTTAGCCAGAATGGTCTCAATCTCCTGACCTCGTGATCCACCCGCCTCGGCCTCCCAAAGTGCTGGGATGACAGGCGTGAGCCACCACGCCCGGCCGTGTCGCAGTTCTTACCATGAGTGGCAAATGCTAGTTTTCTTTGTAGGGCAACTTTATCGAGGAAGGCAGAGTCCTGTGTTCGGGGGTTCCCAAGACCACCTTTAGGTCCAGTGACTCACTGTTGGGACTCACAGAACTCAGCAAAGCCATTATACCCTTGGCTGTAGTTTATTACAGTGAAAAGAAATGGATTAAAATCCACCAAGGGGGCCAGGTGGGGCGGCTCACACCTGTAATCCCAGCACTTGCAAGGCCGAGGCAGGCAGATCGTTTGAGCTCGGGAGTTCAAGACCAGCCTGGCCAAAATGGCAAAACCCCGTCTCTACAAAAAATACAAAAAGCAGCCGGGTGTGGTGGCGTGCACCTATAGTCCCAGCTACTCAGGAGGCTGAGATGGGAGGATTGCTTGAGCCTGGGAGGAGGAGGTTGCAGTGAGCCAAGATCCTACCATTGCATACTGCATTCCAGCCTGAGAAACAGAACCAAACCCTGTCTAAACAAAAACAAAAACAAAAAACAATCCAGCAAGGGGAGAGGCCGTGGGGCAGGTTGAGGAGTGACCAGGTGTGAGCTTCCCACTGTCTTCTCCCGGAGTTGGGTCAACAGCTCTTAGTTCTCCAGCAGTGATGTGTGATGATATTCGGGGGTGTCACTGACCAGGGATGCTCGGCCGAGCCTTGGTGTCCAGGGTTTTTACTGGGGGGCTGGTGGTGCAGGCACGGCTGGCCTCTGTCCCCAGCCCCTCTGGATGCTGAGCTGCTGCTCTGTGGCCCACGTCCCACCATAAGTGACACTGTCAGTGTGGACCATCTGGTGTGGCCCTAGGTCCCTGGTAAACAGAGGTTCTCCTATCAGGCAGGATGTTCTGAGGGCTCAGAGGTCCCCCCTGGGAGCCGGGGCAAAGGCCAGGCCTCTCTCTGGAGGGTGTAGGGTGTGCACCGCCCAGGCCCCTGGAGTCAACCCTTTACCACACAATCCCTGTCCTGTGTCCCCAGGATGTTTTTGTTTCCGGATGATGTCTTGTGGGTTCCAAGAAGTTAATGGACCGAGAGCCAGTGAAGCTGCTGGTGCGAAGGCTGGAGTCAGGTGTCCTCCGGGGACTCACCACCCGCCCGAGAGGGGAGAGACACATGCGATTCTGGAAGCTGAGAGCATTGCTTATTGTTGATTCCTTGGTTGCCGTGCTGAGTCCTGCTTTAAGGAAGCAGGTGATAATCTAATAGTCATTTACTAAAGAAAGTGCATCTTAGGCCGGGCGTGGTGGCTCACGCCTGTAATCCCAGCACTTTGGGAGGCCAAGACGGGCGGGTCATGAGGTCAGGAGATCGAGACCATCCTGGCTAACACGGTGAAACTACATCTCTACTAAAAGTACAAAAAAATTAGCTGGGCGTGGTGGCGGGCGCCTGTAGTCCCAGCTACTAGGGAGGCTGAGGCAGGAGAACGGCGTGAACCCAGGAGGCAGAGCTTGCAGTGAGCCAAGATCATGCCGCTGCAGTCCAGCCTGGGCAACAGAGCGAGACTGTCTAAAAAAAAAAAAAAAAAAAAAGTCCTTTTCTGGCCCCGTATTGATCTCATCTCCGTCTGAGCCTTCAGTAGTGTGGATGGTGGGTGGTTTCCTGCCTCCCACAGCTCACGAGGCTCAGCTGTCCTCCATCCTTCCCCCTGTCCTTTGGTGCCTCTGTTTGCAAGATGTGCAGAAACACCAGAGGGCCAGAGGAGACCCTCCTTTTACTGAATGCTGGCAGCCTCCTGAGAACCACGTCTGCCAGCAGTAGAGAGCAGAGAGTGTGGACGAGCATGGGCGACTGAGGTCCCAAATGGCGCGAGCCGCTGGGCCCTCCTGCTTGTGCCGATGTCTCAGCCTCGATTGAAGCTGGAAGAAACCAAGGACAATGTGTCCTTTAAAAGTGTAAGGTTAGAAGGTGCCCTGACTCCAGCCGACCTGGAAAAGGACGTGTCCTGCATATCTGGAGGTGGCCCACACGGTCCGGGAAAGATCGGCTGCCTTGCCTGCATCCCAGGGCGCTTCCCGGCCTCCATTAAGAGGTGACCATTGCATCCACGTGATTTCTTTTGCTCCACTATTTCCAGGCACAGTGCAACTGACTCCCTCTTGAAGCTAGAATGCCCTGCACACCCGGGATGGACTTCTCTCCCCTTTCAAAGATCGAGTGAAGTTTGCAAATGTGAAAGGAAGGAATTGCATTTCCAGTGGTAACCTTTGAAGGGGAATGAAATTGTCACAGGACGTCAGGAGCCACGTGGGGGAGCCCGGTGTCCTCTGAGTCTCAACGCCCCTTGCTTCCCACTTGGTGACGGTCGATGGCTGTGTCCAGCGGTGAACGCTTTACCACAGGACTCTACGGTGGGGTAGGCAGCGCCACTTCAATGTGAAGACAAATGAACTGGCGTCTCTTGAGATAGGCCCCTGCCTCCAGGACCTCTCAGGCCCCGGGCCCTGGTTACTGCCGTGGAAGCTGCCTGTTCAGACGTCATCTCTATCACCCCTTGAAGGGAGACAGAGAGGTGTTTGCGAGTTGGATGTTTTATCTTGTCTTTCCTGATTCTTTGTTAGAACACCCCCAGGGCTTGGTTTTTGTTCTCAACCTGTGATTAGAAATAAGATCCTAAAGTGTCAGATCTGGAAGGCCCATGAGAGCTGAGGAGATCAAATGCCCGGAGCTCGGGAGATCAGATGACCTGGGGTGTCTGGAGCCAGTGGTGGCCTCATCTGCAGCATCTTCCTCTGTCCTGCCCACCACAGAGTCCCTGCTGGCCCCGGGGGGCCCCTCCTCCGCCACAGGGCCCCTGAGCATTGCTGCGTTTGTTTCTCCAGCTCCTCCTTCCTGCAGAAGCAGTTCCCAGAGGGGCAATTTCTCCAGCCTGCCTGGTTGGTTGTGTTGATTGGTTATAGTTGCTCTTTCAGGTGACCGCAGACCCTCTGAAGGCTGTGGCCGTGGGTGTGGCTCTATGGCCACCTCTCTCTCTTCTCCTCTCCCAGGTCGCGTCTCCTTCTTCACCTCGGGGTCCGAGAACCTACACCGCGTGGAGAAGGTCCACTGGGGCACCCGTTACGCCATCACCATCGCCTTCAGCTGCAACCCCGACCATGGCATCGAGGACCCAGCGTTCCCGTAGCCAGCAGCCGGGCCAAGGTAACTTCAGGAGGGCCCGTGTGGAGGCAGCCGCGCCAGTCGTGCACCCACCCCCACGTCCACCCGCTCCTGTTGCACAGAGTGCCTTAGGAATTCTCTGATTTTGATTTGCTGACGTGTTAATCTTTTCATCTGTGAGTAAATGAAGGGAACCAGCTTTTCACTTCTCCAGCATCATGTGTGCTTGGGCTGTAGGCCTGGGAGCCTGAGGTGGAGGCCAGGAAAGGGACCCAGCAGGACGGGGCACAAGTCCCCATCTGTGAATGGACGGGACTCATCCACCCAGGTTCAGCAACCCCCCGGGACTCGTCCAGGTTCAGCAACCCCCCGGCCCATCAAAGACTGGCTAAAGCATCAGCCATAAATGGGGACAAACGTGGGGCCAGCAGCTTCTGTTCGGGGTCTCGGCATCAGCAAACCGCAGCAGCTTTGGAGAAGGGTCCGTGAGTGGCGGCTCTGGAGGCAGCAACGGGGTCCTTTGGGGTGGGTGGGAGTTCTGCTGGATTCAGGTGGAGGTGAACATCTGCCGTTCCCACAGCCCTGCGTGCACCCCCAATGCTGCTGGCCCACAAATCACCGTGGGCCACGGCCCCACCACACCAGGCTTGGCCCTGTCAGCGGCCAGCATCCCAAGGGCCAGGGTCCGAGTGTCCTCACCAAGGAGGCTCTTGGCGTCGCTGTGCCGGCTCCCATGGGCCTTCTGCTGGGTCGAGGGTAGGTCTCCTCCTCCCCCTTTGCCCTGGCATTAAACTGATGGTCAGGCTGGGCGCGGTGGCTCACACCTGTAATCTCAGCACTGCGGGAGGCCGAGGCAGGAGGATCACTTGAGGTCAGGAGTTCAAGACCAGCCTGGCCAACATGGCGAAACCCTGTCTCTACTAAAAACACAAAAACAAATTAATCCCAGCTACTGGGGAGGCTGAGGCAGGAGAATCGCTTGAACCCAGGGGGCAGAAGTTGCAGTGAGCCGAGATCGTGCCACTACACTCCAGCCTGGGTGACAGAGTGAGACTCCATCTTAAAAATATAAAAATAAAGTGGTGGTCAGAGGAGCCCCGAATAGACCAGTTGTGGAGAGGCCTGGGTGGGGTGGCTGGCAGGGAGGGCAGGCCAAGCCCAGTTTCTGCCCACAGTCACCTCGAGGTGACTGTCCAGGGCTTTGGGCACCTTCCCGGGAGGGGGACGGCCGCCCACCCTGAGTGGTGTTGGAAGCTGGGCTCTCCTGGATGCCCTGACCCAGCTGCCTGGGGAGAGCCCTGGGCCCCTCCTCCCTCAGCACCTCCTCCCTCAGCCCCTCCTGCCTCGGTCCCTCCTCCCTTAGCCTGTCTGGCATAGATCCATGTTCCCTAGCCCCTGGCACAGGTGCCTCTGACTGGAGGAGGCCCCACCTGTGGCCCGGGAGCTGCTCTGGGGGTTGATAAAGGGCAGCATTATTGGGTCCTGGGAAGGAGCGGGCGTGAGGCCAGCTGAGGCATGGTGACCCCTGGGAAGGAGCGGGCGTGAGGCCAGCTGAGGCATGGTGACCCCTGGGAAGGAGCGGGCGTGAGGCCAGCTGAGGCATGGTGACCCCTGGGAAGGAGCGGGCGTGAGGCCAGCTGAGGCATGGTGACCCCTGGGAAGGAGCGGGCGTGAGGCCAGCTGAGGCATGGTGACCCCTGGGTACGGGGGACTTGGGGGCCGCACCTTGGTTTGCCCAGGGCCCCTCCTGCACCACGGGCCACATGCGGAGGACGGCGTGGGATAGGCTCCCTGGGTCCACAGCTTCTGCCCGTGTATGGGGAACCCTCCTTGGTCAGGGCTGCAGGCTCTGGGCAGATGGGGCAGGAACCCTGAGGCTCCCGCGCCCTCCCATGGCCTCTGATGTGGGACACTGGAGCGAGGCACGATTCTGAAGGACTCCATGGATCTGGGAGGATGAGGCCCACCTCCGGTTGGTGGCCAAAGCCGTCCTTGCGGGGCCGGCTGCTTCACGGACACTCTCCGGGTCGGGCTGGTGGGCCCCATCGTGGGTGGGAAGTCGCCTGAGCCTGGGCCGCCCTTGAGCTTCTCCCAGTCTTGACTTTCCAGAGGGTCCGTGGCTGTGGTCATGGTCGGGGCAGGTGGAAAATGCTGCATGGAAACCTGATCCTGTCACCTTGGAGTAAATGATGATGTCGCCGGCTTCTCGCCACGTCTAAAGGATAAATGCATTTGAAGAAAGTGGGTGTTGGGTTTGTTATGGGTTAAAGTGCTTTTGAAATAAGTAAATTATTAGTTTGATTTTCATTCTTGGCTACTTACACTATTCATGATAATCACAGAGATACTTGGACAAAGAAATATATTTGGGCAAAAGCAAGAATTTCCTTCTTTTTTTTTTTGAGACGGAGTCTAACTCTGTCGCCCAGGCTGGAGTGCAGTGGCGCAATCTCGGCTCACTGCAAGGTCCACCTCCTGGGTTCCCACCATTCTCCTGCCTCAACCTCCCGAGTAGCTGGGACTACAGGCGCCCGCCACCATGCCCGGCTAATTTTTTTTGTATTTTTAGTAGAGATGGGATTTCACCGTGTTAGCCAGAATGAAGAATTTCCTTCTGAAGTGGGAACATATGGCTCATGCTGGTAATCCCAGCACTTTGGGAGGCCAAGGTAGGAAGATCACTTGAGCCCAGGAGTTGGAGACCCATCTGTGCAACATAGTGAGACGCTGTCTGTACAAGAAACTTTTAAAAAATGTAGCTGGGCGTGGCAGTGTGCTCCTGTGGTCCCAGCTACTCGGAGCTGAGGCAGGACGACTGCTTGAGCCCAGGAGGTCGAGGCTACAGTGAGCTGTGACGGCTCCACTGCATTCCAGCCTGGGAGACAGCAAGATACTGTCTCAAAAAAAAATTTATCATTGAAGCCTGGGCATTTTAAAAAAATAAAAAGGTGGGAAAATACGTGGGCACAGCAGTGAATCCTCACACCCTGGGCTTTGCCCAAGAAGTGCTCGTGAACCTGATGAAAGTGTCGGGTGTGGCCGACGTGAGGCTGTTCCAGGAGCCACGAGGGGTGATTGGTTCCGCTAGAAGGTTCCAGGGAGGAACTGGAGTCTCAGGTGTGTCCTCTGATGAGTGATCTATTTTTAAGTAAAAGTGTTTCATTAAAGTCAAAGATGATTATTCCTTTCAAAATAAAGAATCTAGGAGGGCGAGTCCTGCTGTCGGGAAGGGAGATGTTTCCTGCTTCCGTCCGTGCTCCTGACCTGGCGGTGGCCCTGTCCCTGCTACCTGCGTGGACAGAGTCTCCAACACGCGGCAGCCACCAGAGCCAGGCCCGAGCGCACAGCCGTGCATTGCGAAAGCAAAGCCGAAACACGAGGTCGCCGTATGTCAGCCTGGGGAGTACAGAGCCCCAAGGCTGGGTTTCTTGAGTTGTGTGGAAAGCTCCGTGTACATGTCCCGAGTTCTCACGAACGAAGGGGAGGAAGCCACGAAAGCAGAGGCCACGACGGTGAAGTGGGTGGGGGGGTTCCGGGGAGGGGTTCTGGGGAGGGTTCCGGGGAGGGCTCCGGGGAGGGGCTCCGGGGAGGGGTTCCGGGGAGGGTTCCGGGGAGGGGTTCCGGGGAGGGTTCCCGGAGGTCTCCGGCTTTCTGCAGGGCCGAGGCCGGGAGGGCCTTAGTGCCGTGTGGGTGTGTGGTCGGGGCCTGTGAGGCCACAGGGTGAGCAAGGAAAGCCGTCCATTTTTATGTATGGGAGACTCGTTTTCAAAGGAAGGGAAACGGGCGTGACCCTCCCATCATTGGTCCCATCCCGGAAGACTCGTCACCATGGCCAGCCTGGAGCTGACTCTGTGTGGTGTGTGGGTCACTGCCAGGAACCCACGTGGCAGCCACCTCTCACCCCACCATGGTCACAGCCCTGGTGTGCAGCGTGGTGGCCTCTGCTCCCTCCACCTTCTCTCTTGATGGGGACCCTGGCCCGGCTCTGCCCAGCCCTGCTGTGCTTATCACCGAGATGGGAGCCAAGGGCCTGAGACACCAGCGGTGTGTGCCACGCCCACTCGCCACCTGGCACGTCTCCCAGGTCAGCGCTTGCTGCTGGACAGCTCTGGGCTGGGGAGCTGGAGGACCCGCGGCCAGAGGGTGGCCCCGTGAGCTCAGGGGTGGCTCAGGCATCAGGAAGGCTCCGTCCACACTGGACGCTGTCCCTGACTGCACGTCACTCTGTCACACCGTGGCACTGCCCAGTACCGGTCCTCGCCCTGTGATTTGGGGGTGCCCAAGCATTGCCCCTCACCTGGCCGGCCCATGCATTTTCTGTTCCTCTCCGTTTCTGTCCAGTCTCTGTCCCCTCTGTCTTGTCTCTGTCCTCCTCTGTCCCCTGTCTTGTCTCTGTACCCCATCCCCTCTGTCTTGTTTCTGTCCAGTCTCTGTCCATCTCTGTCCCCCTCTGTCCCGTCTTGTCTCTGTCCAGTCTCTGTCCCCCTCTCCCCTGTCTTGTCTCTGTCCATCTTTTTCCCCCTCTGTCCCCTCTGTCCATCTCTGTCCAATTTCTGTCCCCTTCTGTCCCCTCTGTCTTGTCTCTGTCCATCTCTGTCCAGTCTCTTTCCTGCCCTCTGTACCCCTCTGGCTGCTGTTTCTGTCTAGCCTCTGTCTGATCTCTGTCCAGCGTCCTCACATCTTAGAGCCTCCTGGCCCCCAAGGCAGGTGGGTGAGGGACGGAGCTAGGCCAGCTGGGAGCAATGAGAGTTATTTTCCATTTATTTCATTTACACATCTAAATAATTTGCAGAACATCAACGAAGCACGAGGCAGGAAGAGGACGAAACAGGAACAGCAGACGAGGAGGAGCTGAGGAGGCCCCTGTGCCTGCAGCAGTGAAAATGGATCCCGAGGCTCCTCGTGTTGGGGAAGAGGACGTGGGGTCCCCCGCAAGCCAGTCCATCTCCGTGTCGTTCTGGGGACGCCGGACACATACTGGAAATATCCGAGTTTCGGGAGAAGAGCGGGTCAGGCCCCTCGCCGTCCCCTGGACTCACTTTGCATGGCTGCACCTTCCTCCCCAGGAAGGGGCCCCGTGGCTCCTGTCTAGCGTCCCGGGAGCCGGCCACACCCTGCCGAGACACACCTTCTTTCTGCGTGGTCTGGGCCCCTTCTCCGTGTGTCTCTGTCCTTCCTGTCTGCTCCCAGCCCCAGCGTAGGGTGGGGATCAGGTCCTGGCCGGCTTAGGGCAATGCCAGGCAGCAGCCGCTCCCTCACAGACCCCAGGCTCCCAGCAGAACCTCCGGCGGCTCACCCTTGGGGGCTGGCCCCACCCCGCCTGCCAGCATGCCCTGCCTAGAGGGCAGGGGAGGGTCTGTGGCTGGAGACCAGGGCGGGTGCTCCGGGGAGGGTCTGTGGCTGGAGACCAGGGTGGGTGCTCGGGCCCCTGACAGACCCTACCTGGGCTTTCCTTCCCCCGTAGCCCCTTGTGAGGCCAGGCCAGGCTCACTGTCCCCACGTGCCCCTCGGCCCTGGGACCCCGCACCCAGGCCCTCCTGCTAGCCAGTCCTGCCCTGCATCTTCATTTCGGCTGGCGTGTGTGGCCGCCTCCCTGCTCTGGGCCCTCCCTGGGTGGCCGCGCCGTGTTCAGGGCTCTGGAGGATGCAGTCCTCAGAGGGGAGCCCAGACCCCTCAGCCCGGGTCAGAACTTGCTGGCATCCCTACCTCGCTGTCCGCCCAGCCCCCTTCCCGTGCTCTCGCCCACTGGCCCTGGAGTCCTGCCCATGGTGAGGTGGGTACGCTGGCTCCTGCCTCTCCTTGGGCCCCTCCCTCCACCCCTGAACCCACACCCCCCGGGACTGCCTCTTAGCGTCCCAGGGAGAAGGCTTCTGGCCCCCAGCTGCCCAGGGGAAGGCGGAGGGAGGATGGGGAGGAGAGCCTGGGACAGAGACAGCCCTTCCCCATCACTAGAGGCCAGGGGAAGGCGGAGGGAGGACAGAGACAGCCACTCCCCATCACTAGAGGCCAGGGGAAGGCGGAGGGAGGACAGAGAGGAGAGCCTGGGACAGAGACAGCCACTCCCCATCACTACAGGCCAGGGGAAGGCGGAGGGAGGACGGGGAGGAGAGCCTGGGACAGAGACAGCCCCTCCCCATCACTGGAGGCCAGGGGAAGACGGAGGGAGGACAGAGAGGAGAGCCTGGGACAGAGACAGCCACTCCCCATCACTAGAGGCCAGGGGAAGGCGGAGGGAGGACAGAGAGGAGAGCCTGGGACAGAGACAGCCCCTCCCCATCACTGGAGGCCGGGGAAGGCGGAGGCAGGATGGGGGAGGAGAGCCTGGGACAGAGACAGCCCCTCCCCATCACTGGAGGCCAGGGGAAGACGGAGGGAGGATGGGGAGGAGAGCCTGGGACAGAGACAGCCCCTCCCCGTCAGGCCCCAGGCCCAGCCCCGGCCTGACTCCCAGCCCCCGGGAGGAATTTTGGCTCAGGGTGGCCAGATTTGGCTGAAGGGCAGGGGGGCAGCGGCTCCAGTTTCCCGCCAACTCCTAGTTCTGGGGTGAGACACAGCTCTGTGTTTTTAATCGCGCTGTGGGGTGCCGGAGGCCACCTGGACGGACGGAGCCCGGCCCAACGCCCTGTGAGGACCCGTCAGTCCCAGGCACCTGCATGTGTCCACTCCCGGGATTTCCAGCACTGGGCCCCAGGCACAGCCTGGGTGGTCCTTCGAGCCGAGGTCCCTTAGCTGTGAAACAGGAGAGCACTCGGTTGGAGAGCAGCCCAGTGGTGGGCTCTGCCAAAGGGGCTCCCGTCGGGGCCATGAAATACCCAACAGCCCAGGCCGCTCGGCCTGTGGGTTGCTGTGGGCTTCAGGGAAGCGGGGGTGGGGGGGGGGGCTTGCCAGGAGGTCCCGTTGGGCTGGCTGGAGGTGACAGGAAGATCCCAGGCCTAGCTGGCAGTGGGGTCTGCAGGGGCCCCATGCGGGGAGGGCAGAGGGGGCTGGGGCTTGGACCGGAGTCTCCAGGCTGCTGACCGTTGGGGCTGTGTCCTGCTGTGACCTCACTCACCCCCCAGGCCCTCCCAGCCTGGGTCTCCTTGGCTGCAGGTGGGCAAAAGTGACAGACCAGAACTACCCAGCCTTGGGCCAGTGCCAGCCTGTGCACCTGTCCCGGTGGCTTGGGGCACGCGACGCCTCTGGGCCCTGGGTCAGTCCCAGGAGAACTGGCCTCCCCTGACCCCTGCATGGGGCTGGGCACTTGGCCTGGGAAAAGCCGGAGTCTGGAACAGCCTGGCCGTTGGCCTTGGCAGCCTCGCTTCCAGCTGGGACTGTCATCTGTCTGGAATTCAGATGGAAAAACCTGCCCTTGTGAGTGATGAGGGAAGGTGCCAGACAGCATGGGTTGCACCAAGTGCTTTCCTAGGGGCAGAAAGGGGCCCGTGCACCACGCCACCTCCCGGGGCTGACCCTCCAGGTGGCCAGGAGCGCACCTGTGATGCTGTGCAGGTTCAGGGCAGGAAGAGCGCAAGTCTTTGCCAAGCAGCTCCAGCCATCCTCCCCGGCCAGGGCCGCCTCACCCCACAAGCGCAGTCACTGCTGCCACCTGCAGCGGCGGGCCGCCTTGAGGTCCATTCCACGGGGATGGCCTCCCACAGCGGAGCGTGCCCGGGCAGGTAAACAGCGGAGCCTGCTGGTTGGAGGTGCAACCCACTTCCTGAAGCACACTGTTCCTGGAATGCCTGGGAGTTCAGCAGCTCTAAATGGCAGGTGCTTCTTTGTTGAGGAATAACTCATGTGAAGTGTGGCTTGGGGCCTTGAGACCCCTGCATCCACGCGCCGGTGCACCCCACCCTCCCCGCCGTGGACCCCAGAAGACCATGTCCTCCACGCTCTATTGGGAAGGCGGGAAGGTGGGACCTGGGGGTGTCTGAAAAAGCCCCTTTGAACTTGAGGCCAGTTTGGGGAACGTGGCGTCCACTCCCACTGCCCTGCAGCAGCTCTGGTCGGGGAGCAACGATCAGAAACCAAACCCCAGCCACGCCAGAGCCGCCTGGAGACAGGCCAGACGTGGGGCAGTCTGTGAGGGCGCCTGGCAAACCAATCACCCGCCGCCAGGCACCTGCCACCAGACATCCACCCCCCAGCCGGGGACACAGTTCATTCATGCGATCCTTTGCCCCCCAGGCATGGGCCACCTGCTGCCTTGTTCTCGGGACCAAGGCCCGCCCAGGACACCTTCTCCCTCACCATTTTTGCTCTGGGCTGAAGCAGCTGGGGGTGTGGGTGGAGGGTAGCAGGGGTGGGCATGGTGGGGGGATATGATAGTGCTGGAACCGAGCCCCTATCCTGATGCAGGGGGGGCCCCATCCAGGCTGCTCCACTGCCCAGGGCCTTCCAGGGGAGCTGCACACCCCACACAGCAAAGGCCTCTCCAGCACAGGCCCTACCATTTACCCCATAGGCCAAACCCAAATTTACAAAATCTCTGATCCAGCACAGTCAGTGTCTCACAAAGGGATTTTCAGTCGCCTTTTATGAAAAGAAATTCCTTTCCCAAGTGCACCTAATATCCAGTAAATTCCAGGTGCTTGCAGGGGGGAAACAGGAGGGCTCGTCCCTTGCCGGTGAGTGTCCGCGGCACGGCTGAAGCTGCTTTGGGGAACAGGGAGACAGCGAGACAGCTTCCACCTGCCCAGTGATTCCGCCCCTGGGTTCTACCCAGGGCAAACGAAAGCAGAGGCTGAGGCAGCAGCATTCACAGCAACTTCTTTAGCGACTGCCCACCCAGCGCTGGACCCAGACAGCCACCCCTTAGCAGCGGCAGCGATCCCTCGGCCAGGCCCCGGCAGCAGAAGGGAGGCAGCTGTGCTGCAAACTACTGGAGTCCGGACATGCAGGACCGCAGGCTGCAGGCTCCCATTTGTAAGGAATGCTGGAACCAGCAACACCTGCCAACGGCCTGCAGCAGGGATGCGCCTCGTGGGGGGGGGTTCAGGGTGCCTTGCAGCGGGGGTGGGGGGCCTTGTGGGGAAGTGAGTGGCATTGTGGGGAGGGTCCGGGGGCATTGCGGGGGGTGGGGGGCATTGCGGGGATTGTGGGGAGGGTCTGGGGGGCATTGTGGGGGGTGGAGGGACATGGCAGGGAGGGTCCAGGGGAGCCTGGCAGTGGTCGGGGCCGTGGGCACAGCAGAGCTGTGGTGCTGGGGGCAGCCAGCCATGGACAACGTCAACTAGGACCTGTTAGAGCCGGGGTCTTACTCTTGCTTTCAGGGCAGAAAGGACTTTTGCTGAAATCCCCAGCGGGGCACTCGACCCCTCTAGTGGGTTGTGCCATGCACTCCATTGTCGCCGCCCCCGACCGGCCCCTGGCACCGTGTCCCTCCTACCTGAGCAGGCTCTGACTCCAGCCCTGGACACAGCTGGGGTGGCCACGGTGACTGCTGAGAAGAGGGGCTGTCCACACAGCCTGGTGGCTTGGAGCCCCGGGACCCCCACACCTGGGTCAGGGTGGGGCCGGATGAGGTCTGAGTAAGGGAGTTGGGTGCCAGGGAAGGGCAGGGCCTGGGGTGGGAGGGGAGGAGGGGAGAGGAGGAGAAGGGCCTCCAGGGGTGGCCCAGGGGACGGGGGGCAACGCGTAGATGAACACGCAGGCCTGGGCCCAGCTCTGACCTCCCCAGCTGCAGGCCTCTCGCATGCCATGTCCTCCTCCTCCTCCAAGGCAGGCGCCCGACAGCCCCGTGTGCAGGAGACGCACAGCACTCACCGACCCCAGGCGTGACTACGTTTGAGGCAACCATGAAGGCTTCAGACATTCAAACTTCTTAATAGACCAGGCGTGGTGGCTCACGCCTGGAATCCCAGCACTTTGGGAGGCTGAGGTGGGCGGATCACTTGAGCCCAGGAGTTTGAGACCAGCCTGGGCAACATAGGGAGACCCCCGTCTCTACAAAAAATACAAAAATTAGCCAGGTGTGGTGGCGCGTGCCTGTAATCCCAGCTGCTCAGGAGGCTGAGGTGGGAGGATCACCTGAACCTGGGAGGCGGAGGCTGCAGTGAGCCGAGATCACACCACTGCACTCCAGCCTGGGCAACAGAGCAAGACCCCATCTTAAAAAAATTTAGTAACAATCCTGATTTTAAAGCTGTGTATACCTTTTGGGAGAAATCTGGAAAAGACTCAAAAGTATAAAAAGTAAAAAAACAAAAAACAAAAAAAAACTACCTAAAATTTCCCACCAAGGGCTAACACTGTTGCTTTTTTTTTTTTTTTTTTTTTGAGATGGAGTCTCACCCTGTTGCCCAGGCTGGAGTGCAGTGGTCTGATCTCAGCTCACTGCAATCTCTGCCTCCCGGGTTCAAGTGATTCTCCTGCCTCAGACTCCTGAGTAGCTGGGGTTACAGGTGTCTGCCACCGCACCTGGCTAATTTTTGTATTTTTAGTAGAGATGGGGTTTCACCATGTTGGCTAGGCTGGTCTCGAACTCCTGACCTCGTGATCCACCCGCCTTGGCCTCCCAACGTGCTGAGATTACAGGCGTGAGCTACCGTGCCCGGCCCACTGTTGCTATTTTAAAGTGTCCCTGTGAAGTCTTGATGCATACATGCACACACATGCACCCACACACGCCTACACAGCCATGTGTGCACATGACACAGGGTCGCAGTCTCACACACCACACTCCTACACAGCCACATGTGCACATGACACAGGGTCCCAGTCACACACACGCCACACTCCTACACAGCCACGTGTGCACATGACACAGGGTCCCAGTCACACACACACCACACTCCTACACAGCCACGTGTACACATGACACAGGGTCCCAGTCACACACATGCCACACTCCTACACAGCCACGTGTACACATGACACAGGGTCCCAGTCACACACATGCCACACTCCTACACAGCCACGTGTGCACGACACAGGGTCGCAGTCTCACACACCACACACCTACACAGCCATGTGTGCACATGACACAGGGTCACAGTCTCACAAGCCACACTCCAAATGCCACACTCTCACCACACATCCACACACATTCTTATTTGTTTCAAACGAAACCTGGATTAAGTCACTCGGTTTCACTTTCCAGCTTTCCTCATTGGCCGTCATGCCTTGGATCATTAAGGACACTTTGGAACGGAGCTTTGCTATTCTCTGAAGATACACAAAATCCTCCACTGCTCACGTCATAATCTATTTACCAACTGTGGAAAATTCCGCGGTGCCTGTGGTTTTTAAAGTGATGCTGAAGCGAGCACCTTTGTGCATATGTCTTGATCCACGCCTGATTTTAAAATTTCAGATAAAATCCTAGAAGTGAAATGGCTGGAGAGAGAGTTACAGCAGAGCCAGGTTCTCCGTCCTGCGCGGTTTCTAAGTGAAATGGCTGGAGAGAGAGTCACAGCAGAGCCAGGGGCTCCATCCTGCGCGGTTTCTGCATTTGGTGTTGAGTTGTCCTTTCTGCATCGGAATTCTGACTCCTGAAATCACATTTCTCACCGTGTCTAGGTCATACTTTCAATAATCTTTCAATAACCTTTCTGCTGCTTTTTTTTTTGGAGACGGAGTCTTGCTCTGTCGCCCAGGCTGGAGTGCAATGCAATGGCGTGATCTTGGCTCACTGCAACCTCTGCCTCCCAGGTTCAAGCGATTCTCTTCCCTCCTCCTCCCGAGTAGCTGGGATTACAGGCACACGCCACCACGCCCGGCTAATTTTTTTCGTATTTTTAGTAGAGACAGGGTTTCACCATGTTGGCCAGGCTGGTCTCAAAGTCCTGACCTCAGGTGATCTGCCCGCCTCAGCCTCCCAAAGTGTTGGGATTACAGGCGTGCGCCACCATGCCCAGCTAATTTTTGTATTTTGTGTTTTGGTAGAGACAGGGTTTCACCATGTTGGCCAGGCTGGTCTCAAACTCCTGACCTCAAGTGATTCACCCACCTCAGCCTCCCAAAGTGTTGGGATTACAAGGGTGCGCCACCGCGCCCGGCCCCTGCTTCTCATTTTAGAATACATTCACTGCTACTTCCTCTTCACTCATTATTACTTTATACCCGGCATTTACATATAAAATTCCATCTGGATTTGAGGGTGCTGTCCTCAGTGCCCTTTCCCCGGGACAGAACGCTGCCTGGGCTGCACCCCCTGCCAGAGGGTTCTTGGCAGAGCCCTTTGGTGCTTAGGAAATGTGCAGAAGAGAGAATGCAGAGAGAGAGATACAGAGCAGCCGCCAGGCCTGACGGGCTCCGGGGACCCTGCAACAATGGAGGCTTGGCAGGGCAGGGCCCAGCTGTGGGTGTGGGTGTGAGTCTGCAGTGGTGTGTGAGTGGGTGTGAGTCTGTAGTGGTGTGTGAGTGGGTGTGTCTGCAGTGGTGTGTGAGTGGGCGTGAGTCCAGTGGTGTGAGTGTGAGCGGGTGTGAGTCTGCAGTATTGTGTGGGACCATGTGTGTTCTGGGAGGCAGGGGGCCGGTGCTGCAGCTTACAGAGCTACTTGTCACTGACGTAATTGCTTATGGAGGCCCCCTGGGTGGAAGGCAGGTGCGCTGCGGGGTCGCCAGCGGGCGGGGGGATGCGCAGGCACGGCGCATGGTGACTGGATGATGTGTTGATGAGGACGGGGCCGGGGCTGGGGCTGGGGGTTGCACAGTGGCGCCCACTGCTGCCCCATCCACACCCAGGCAGGGGAAGCGGGCACCGAAGAGAACGTCCCGCTTGTGATCTGGGGTGCACTGTGCTGTGTGTGCCCACCTCTGCATCTTCACGGTTCTTTAATAAGAGGCATTGGAAAGGAGAGAGGGGATCAGGGCTGGGGGACTCCCTCCCGGAACCAGGTGCTCCTCCCGGAGGAACTGCGGATCAATCTGCCAGCCTTTCAGCGAGTGCTTTGTTTTAGTGCCCAGGTCTCCAGGTTTCCTTTCCCAGCCTCTGCCTGCTCCGGTTTCTCAGAGTCCGTTACTTAGATTTTTTTTTTTTTTTTTTTTTTTTTTTTTTTTTTTTTTTTTTGAGATGGAGTCTCGCTCTGTCGCCCAGGCTGGAATGCAGTGGCGCAATCTCGGCTCACTGCAAGCCCCACCTTCCGGGTTCACACCTTTCTCCTGCCTCAGCCTCCAGAGTAGCTGGGACTACAGGTGCCCGCCACCACGCCCGGCTAATTTTTTGTATTTTTAGTAGAGACGGGGTTTCACCATGTTAGCCAGGATGGTCTCGATCTCCTGACCTCGTGATCCGCCCGCCTCGGCCTCCCAAAGTGCTGGGATTACAGGCGTGAGCCACTGCACCCAGTTGTCCCCTGTTACTTAGGTTTTATTTAATTTCTCTCCTGTCCCTGAGTCATTCACCCCTTGTTTTGCTTTCTCCTTTGTCCAGGGGTTTCCCGCAGCCCACACTCACATGCACACGCGTGCCCGTGCCACCCTTTTCTTCACGTTACCCAGCCCTGCCCTGAAGCTCTGCCTTTCCAGGGAATTCTGTCCTCATCGGCCCCGTGCTGACATCCGTGGAGGACACACGTGGTTGTAGATGCCTGCATGGTCACCTCCAGCAACTGTGCCTCACATCATGGGGGCTACCCGCCCTCTCCAAACCCAGGTGGGAGGAGGGGACCCACTCCCCGCCCCTTGGGGACAGCAGGTCGCCCGCTGAGTTGGGTGGAGGGTGGCTCTGGGGTGGTCTTCTCTGGGTCGTGGGGCTGCAGGGCCCCTCCTGGGACTCGAGTCTTCAGCTGTGTTCTGACTTGGAGGCGGGGGGTCATGGATGGGACCATGTTGCTCCAGAAATTCCCTCTTTTGGAGCTTCGTGGCTCTGGAGACGTGGGGGGCCTTCCACAGAAGTGGGGGGTCTGCTGGAAAAGCGGGGGGCCAGGAGCAGTGAGCAGCTGCTGTGAGGCAGTCACTGCCGGTCACCACCCTGGGCCCCGTGCCACATGCAGGTGCTCAGCGCAGAAGCCATGTTGGCGCGAGCAGACCGGAAGGCGGTGGGCAAGAGGTCAAGCGTGGAGTCTCCCCACGTCCTGTGCCCCGCCGTCTGGGCTGCCGCCGAGAGTCTGCGTGTCAGGCGAGGACAGTGCCAGCTGGAACCACCAAGCCAGGGACCAGCTCTGGCTGTCAGATGTTTAATTTTGATTTTGCTTCTCTACAAAGACAGCAGCTTTAGGAATCAGGCTTCGGTTGAGAAAGAGAAAGCACCTCCAACCCCCAAAGCTCTCCTTCTGCATCAGAGAAGCTGCAAGGATGCCTCAAGAGACCAGCCGCCAGCACAGGCCTCAAAGGCAGGTGCACCCCTGCGAGGACGCATGGCTCGGGTGGCTCCTGGGAGCCTCTGGAAGGGGCGTCATCAGCCCTGTCCCACCCTCCGCGGAGCTGCCTGCTCCCCGGGTGATTTTACCAGCAAATCGCTGTTTATTTTTTTCTTTTCTTTCTTTCTTTCTTTTTTTTTTTTTAAGACAGGGTCTCACTCTGTCGCCCAGGCTGGAATGCAATGGCACAATCTCAGCTCATTGCAACCTCTGCTGCCCAGGTTCAAGCGATTCTCCTGCTTCAGCCTCCTGAGTAGCTGGGATTGCAGGCACCTGCCACTGCGCCTGGCTAATTTTGTTGTATTTTTAGTAGAGATGGGGTTTCACCATCTTGGACAGGCTGGTCTTGAACTCCTGAACTTGTGATACACCCGCCTCAGCCTCCCAAAGTGCTGGGATTATAGGCATATGAGCCATCGTGCCTGGCCTTCTTTTCTTTCTTTCTTTTTTTTTTTTTTTTTGAATTTTAAAGATCAGATTTATTTGGAGAAAGCAAAAAACCCCCAACCCGAAGATGGGATTTTACATCTAAGACATCTCCAAGATTACAATCTACAGATTACAAATCCCGGATTACAATCTACAGATTACAAACCATTTTCATAGAAGATATTTTTGTATACATTTTACATGTATTCAGGAGTGGGATGTACATCAGTCTCTCTTTTTTTTTTTTTTTATTGATCATTCTTGGGTGTTTCTCGCAGAGGGGGATTTGGCAGGGTCATAGGACAATAGTGGAGGGAAGGTCAGCAGATAAACAAGTGAACAAAGGTCTCTGGTTTTCCTAGGCAGAGGACCCTGCGGCCTTCCGCAGTGTTTGTGTCCCTGGGTACTTGAGATTAGGGAGTGGTGATGACTCCTAACGAGCGTGCTGCCTTCAAGCATCTGTTTAACAAAGCACATCTTGCACCGCCCTTAATCCATTCAACCCTGAGTGGACACAGCACATGTTTCAGAGAGCACAGGGTTGGGGGTAAGGTCATAGATCAACAGGATCCCAAGGCAGAAGAATTTTTCTTAGTACAGAACAAAATGAAAAGTCTCCCATGTCTACTTCTTTCTACACAGACACGGCAACCATCCGATTTCTCAATCTTTTCCCCACCTTTCCTGCCTTTCTATTCCACAAAACCGCCATTGTCATCATGGCCCGTTCTCAATGAGCTGCTGGGCACACCTCCCAGACGGGGTGGTGGCCGGGCAGAGGGGCTCCTCACTTCCCAGTAGGGGTGGCCGGGCAGAGGCGCCCCTCACCTCCCGGACGGGGTGGCTGGCCGGGCGGGGGGCTGACCCCCCCACCTCCCTCCCAGACGGGGCGGCTGACATCAGTCTCTTTCAATTTTAACAGAGGGACAAGGTCGGGGAGTGGGATCCTTTTGTTTTTAAAGTAAAACACGACAGAACTCACACATTCAGGTGCACAGTTCTGTGGCACTGGCTCGTTCACAGCATCGCCCAGTCACCAGCGTCTAGTTCCAGAGCACTTTCGTAACTCCAGGGGGGAGCTGCAAGCATTGCCCCTCTTCCGGGAGGCCCTGGGGAGAGCGCTGCATGCTTATTCCTGACGCCGGCCACAGTCCTGCCAGCAGAGCTGTGCTCACTCCACTGAGGGGTAGGCACTGGAGGGACCAAGCGGGCATGACCCTTGCCCCAGTGTTCAGATGGAGCCCCAAGGGGCTGGTAGTCTGGGCATGGCCATGGGGTGGGGAGGGGAGGCCAGGCTGGGGGAGGCCATGCAGGGTCCGGGGCCGGGCTGGGGGCTGGAGGGGGGCAGTCGCCAGAGAGAGGATGGTTGGCCAAGCTGGGAGCTGGGGCAGGAAGTCTGTCCAGGAGGCAGTGAGGGGTGAGTGGGGCAGAGACTGCCAATGCTACTGTGAGGTGGGACCTGGATTCCCTTTCTGATCAGACCTGAGCCAGACGTGGATGAGAGGCCAGGAGGCCTGTAGGTGCGGCCACTGACCTTGTCCTCTTGCGTTCTGCACCCAAAGCCTCAGGCCTCTGCTGGGCAGTGCCTTCCCTGCTCCACCCCTCAGCTGGAGCCTCCCCTCCTGGCCACCTTCCCTGCCCCACATCAGGTGCCAGACCAGCCGCCTGCACAGGCCTCAAAGGCAGGTGCACCCTCTACCCCAGCCAGACCCACAGGCTCCCCCTTGAGCTGCCGTTGTCGTCCTGGGGATCCTGCCGGCCGATCCTCCCACACCTCAGATGTGGCGTCCCCCGCGCCTAGGCAGGACACGGAAGCCAGCTCAGGGTTGATTGTTCCAGTGGCAAAGCCACAAGGGATGGAGCCACACAGGCAGGAACAGGAGTCACAGGGCCGCTGGCTGAGAGGAGGAGGGTCCCGGGGGCGGCAGCCGCGCCATGGTCTCCACACGGGCCGGGCACTGGCGCCTGCTGCCCTCTGTGACGAAGCCATGGTCTCCAGAAGCCGGGACTGCGCTGGAGCCTCCTGGAGACCCTCAGGGAGGCGGGTGGGCGCTTCTGGGCATCACGGGAAGGGCGCTGAGGGGAAGCGAGCAGGATCTTTCCAGAAGGGGACGGAGGAGGGGCAGGGCCTGTGATTTGGGAGTTGGGGGGGCTCCCGGGAGTGGCTGGGGCTTTGGGGCGCGTCCCCGCCTGGACTCCAGCCGCCCCTCCGCGTGCTCACGCCGGGGCCCTGGGACCCTCGGGCGCAGGTCGGGCCGGGGCCGCTGGGGCCAGCACGAGGCTGTCAGTGGGCTGTGGGCTGCAGGAAGACAGGGAGCGGCCCGAACAGCGCTGGAAGCGGGCGCGGGGCTGCAGGGAGGGAACGGGCCCCCGGCCTCCCCCGCTGCCCGGGCCCCGCACGCGGCCGCGCAGGTGGTCGCGGTAGTTCCTGGTGAGCAGCGTGTAGAGGAAGGGGTTGGCGCAGCTGTTGCCGTAGGTGAGGCAGGTGGTCAGGTAGTTGACGATGCGCGCCGTCCGCGGCGCCAGCGGGGCCTGGTGGTACTGGGCGAGCAGCTGCCACAGCCAGAAGGGCAGGAAGCAGGCCCAGAAGAGCAGCACGATGCCCAGCACCAGGCGCAGCGCGCGCGCCCCCGGCCGCCGGGCCCGCTTGAAGGAGGCGCGCTGCGAGCGGCGGTAGGCGCGGGCCAGGCGCGCGTAGAGCAGCCCGATGAGCAGCCCGGGCCCCGCGATGCTGGTGGCGAAGAGCAGCGTCAGGTAGGCGCGGTGGGCGCGCGGGCCCCAGGCGGGCAGGCACAGGCTCTTGGGACCCCGGCGCACCAGCCGCATGGCCAGCATCACGGGCAGCGTCAGCAGCAGCGCCAGCAGCCAGGTGCCCAGCGCCAGCAGCTTGCGGTAGCCCTTGGGGCGCTGCACGGTGTCCAGCGGCCGCAGCACCGCAGCGTAGCGCTCGCTGCTCATGACGGTCAGCGTGAAGATGCTGGCGTGCATGGTCAGGAAGTCCAGGCCGAAGAGCACGCGGCAGCCCACGTCCCCGAAGTGCCACTCCTTGGTGACGTAGGTGGCCACGATGAAGGGGATGCTGAGCAGGTACAGCAGGTCGGCCAGCGCCAGGTTGACCACGTAGACGTACATGGAGGCCACCGCACGCAGGGAGCGGCAGGTGACCACCAGCGTGTAGGCGTTGCCCACCACGCCCACCACGCCCATGGCCGACAGCAGAGTCCCAATGGTGCCCGTGGCCACCAGGTCCTCCAGGGAGCTGGGCTCGGTCGGGCTGGCCCAGGAGCTGTTGAGGGTTGCGTTGGGGCCGCCAGGCGGCTCCGGCACAGAGCTGCCAGTGGCGGCCAGCCCAGGGAAGCTGCTCGGGGACTCGGGGGTCAGCGCCATCTCTGACCCCTCACGACGGGCTCAGGGCTGGGTGGACACTCCCTGAGATGGGGCGGGGGCCCCTGTGGGCAACCAGCTCAGCCTGTGGGGAAAGAAGCAAATCAGGCAACACCTTCCGCTCCCAGGAGGCCACTGTGATGGCCTCGTTCCCACAGAGTCACGTGGGCTCCCCAGTGCCCTCCAACTCTCGGGACTCTCTGGAAGCCACCAGCTCTGCAGGAGGACTCAAGAGCCACCAGACGAGCTGCCCCAACCCCCCTCCCCGACCCCCGCATGCCCCAGCAGGACCCCTGCCCCCCCCTCACTGTAGGTCCCATGGCCTCTGGGATGAACTGGGCTTTTCTGAAAGCCGGAACACAGGAGGGCAGCCCCTGGGGCAGAGGTCGGCAGTGGACAGAACTGGGAGTCCTGGGCTCTGCCCATTGCGCCCCCCCAGGCCTCACTTTCTTGTCTGTGCACAGGTGGGGCCCACTTACTCCTGAGTCCTTTCTCGTATTTATTTGACTTGTACATTTAAAAAAATGTTTTCTTTAGATTGCAAAACTAGTAGCTACTGACTTTAAAAGTCCAAATAGAAGAACATGTAAGGAGAGGAAGGCCTCTGCAATCTCCATTTCTCATACAGGGAAACGAATTCAAGATGGATTGCAGGCCTAAGTGTGAAAGGTTAAATCAGTCAGTCGAGGTTCTGGAAGAAAACGGGAATACTGGCATAACCTTGGATGGGAAAATATTTCTTAAAAATGAACAAAAAATACTTTCAATAAAAGACTAAGCAAATGGGTTTCATTAAAATTAAGAACTTTACCAAGAGAGCGAAATCATAAGCCACAGGCTAGGAGATCATCAGAAAACATATATCAGGCCAGTTGCAGTGGCTCACGCCTGTAATCCCAGCACTTTAGGAGGCCTAGGCAAGTGGATCACCTGAGGTCAGGAGTTCGAAACCGGCCTGGCCAACATCTCGAAACCCCGTCTCTACTAAAAATACAAAAATTAGTCGGGCATGGTGGCACACGCCTGTAATCCCAGCTGCTCGGGAGGCTGAGGCAGGAGAATTGTTTGAACTCGGGAGGTGGAAGTTGCAGTGAGCCAAGATTGAGATTGTGCCACCGCACTCCAGCCTGGGCAACAAAGTGAGACTTTGTCTCAGAGAAAAAAAAAAAGAAGAAACATAGACAAAAAGCTGGTAAGAAAAATATAGGGAAGAACTGCAAATTAGTAAGGAAAAGACAAACAACCCATTTGAAAAAAAGAGACCAAAACCGTGACCGGGGACTTCCTGAAAAGGACACCCACGCAGCCAACAAGCAGGGAAATGCCAGTCAGGGCCACAGGAGCCCCTGCGTGCTGACAAGGATGAACGCGTGAAAAGGCAGATATCCTTGTCAACAGGCGTGGGGGCTGTGGAGGAGCTGGCCCTGCCGTTTCCTGTTGCTGGGAACCTGGACTGTGCCGCCGCTTTGGAAAGCCATTGGCACGATTTGCAGAGTTGACCGCCTATACCTTCTCACCCGGCAATTCTACTCTCAGGTTAGTACCTTAGATAAAGGGCTGCCAACGTTCAGAAAATGACAAGCGTGCGAAAGTTCACGGCAGCTTGACTCCTAAGAAGCTGGAAACAGCTCAAATGTCCCCAGTGGACGGGGCAGGCAAACTGTGACATGAAGCCAGTGAAGGAGTCGCCGCTGGGGTCAGCAGCCTGGATGAAACAGCGCGGTGGTGGGCTGAAGAAACAAGACACAGGAGGCTGCCTGATTCCACGAGCCACGCTGAATTTAGGCCGAACACTCATGGCTGCGCAGGGAGCAGTCTTGGCTGGGGTGGGGAGTTGTCAACAGGTGGGGGCGCTGGGGGCCTTCCAGGGCCTGGAAATGTGCCCTGTCCGCCCTTTCCCACCAGGCCGAGCAGCTCCCAGCTCCATCTGTCCAGGGGACCCTCACCCCCTTGCTGCCCCCACCCAGGGCATTTCCAGAGCCCTCACCCAGGGGACGGCGCAGAAGCCGAGGGTGCACCGGGCTCCCCAGTTGTGCGCGAGCCCGAGTCACGGGCAGGGGGACAGCGGCCGCCGGGCCGCTAGGATTGCTCCAGGGTCGCTAGGGGGGAAGGGGAGGGGCCGAAAGTTCCACGGCACGGGAGAAGCCGCCTCGCTGGACCCCGCTCCCCTCGCCCAGGGTGGGTTCCCACCGCGAAACCCCGGCCCAGCCCTGCGGAGGGCCCCGAAGGGCACAGACCCGGCAGTCCCCGCGCGCTCCCGGTCACCCACCGAGGACCCACCTGCCTCCGGTCACTGAGCGGCCAGACCTGCCCGCCGAGCCTGGGGTCGCGCGTGGGGGCAGCCGCTCGCGGCTCCAAACTCCTCGCGCAGCGGGGCCGCGGGGAACTTTCCGAGGCGCGCTCCCCTGTCCCAGCGCAGAGGGGGCGCGAGGGGCTCCGCGGTGGCCTCGGCTTCCAGAGCACACGGCAGGGGCGCCCGCCAGTCCCGCCACCAAAGCCGCGCCCCCCGCCCCGCGCCGGGTCTCTGCGCCGCCGCCACCTGCCCGCCGCCAGCTGGGAATGCGCCGCGCCCCGCGCCAGGGCCCGGTATTAAAATAACCCCAGCGGGCAGCAGGCGCGCGGAGGGGACGGCGCCGGGTGTCTAGGGGGCGGCGCTGACCGCGCGGCGCCGGGAAGACGCGGGGGTCGCGGGGCCGCAGCGGGGTCGGCGGAGGGTCCCAGGCGGGTCTCGCGTCTGCGTCTGCGGAGCGAAGCTGCCTCCAGCCCGGCTGCCCCAAGGCTGACCCCGCAGCCCCTCTTGGGTTCTCCGCCTCCAGCGTTCACCCCTGCGCCCCTCACGCCCGTGTTTGCAGGGCACGGAGCCTGGGATTCTCCGTGTCCACCAAGCCCTGGACCCGCCCGCGCGCAGGTGGGGGGCAGGAACACCCCTAAACCCCGAGAGGGTCATAGAAAGGAGGTAAGGGAGGGAGGGAGTCACCCGCCCAGGCGGGGACGGGCTCTTTGGGGGCCTTGACCCCGCCCCTGTTGCGGGTCTCCCACAGATGCTCTTAGAAGCCCACGCAGCCTCTCCAGGCCTCGGCAGGGACTCGTGGTGGCCACATCCACGGAAGTGACGCTGGGAGCTGCAGGGCCCCGCGGGGTAGGAGGAAGGACCCCACAGCCTCACCCTCGAGCCCCTGAGCTGGGTGCTGGCCCCCACTCGGTTTCACTTGCTGCTCGGAGGTAGGATGTGGGCCTTCACTCATGCTGAACCCCTGAAAGAAAAAGACACAGAACATTAATAAATTAGACTAGAGGAGAGCTGGAGAGCTGTGAACACGGGGTCTAAAGGGCCCCCAGCGAGGAGCTGGCCTCGCCCACTCCACTCCGCCCGGGGCTCATCTGCTGCCTGAGGCCGCGGACCGGCCCCTAAAGCTGAAGGGGTTCTGCTGGGGGAGAGGAGGTGGCCAAGTGTGAATGGCCGAGAGGCTCCTGCAATCAGCTGGATCCGGGGGAGCCCCAGATGCCCACCAGTCCCCTCCGTGGGACGTTTGCCACGTGCTGGGGAGGCGAGGCTGGGCTGGAGAGGGCGGGAAAAGTCCCTCTGGTCTCCGAGCGTCCGCTGGACGGAGCAAGGGTCACACAATAAGACAGTTCATTCTCTGTGAGCTGAAAACAGCCGAACTGAAACCAAATACAGCTGCAGCTTCCGACCCGAAAGGGGAGCAGCTCATCCTGCCTGTGCGCGGGAGGAAAGGGGGTGGAAGGCTGCCTCCGACGTGATGGTTCTGTGAGAGCTGATTACTAAGCTGGAGTCTAGGGGCTAGGGCTGGGGAAAAGCACTCAGGACCCAGAATGCCTGCTCCAAGAATTAAATTTCCCGCAAGCCAGCTGCCGAAACGATCTGCTGTCACCTCAGCCAGTTCACCGAGTAGCTGCTGAAACGACCTGCCCTGACACGAACACCGGGTTTTTTATTTTTTATTTTATTTTTTTATTATTTATTTATTTATTTTTTTGAGATGGGGTCTCACTCTTTCACCCGGGCTGGAGTGCAGTGGTGCGATCTCGGCTCACTGCAACCTCGGCTCACTGCAACCTCCACCTCCCAGGCTCAAGCAATTCTCCTGCCTCAGCCTCCCAAGTAGCTGGGATTACAGGCACCCGCCACCACACCCAGCTAATTTTTGTGTTTGTAGTAGACGGGGTTTCATCATGTTGGCCGGGTAGGTCTCGAACTCCTGAGCTCAGGTGATCTGCCCACCTCAGCCTCCCAAAGTGCTAGGATTACAGGCGTGAGCCACCGTGCCTGGCCTCCAGTGCTGGTTTTACCACTGAGGCCACTCGCCTGAGCTTGCCAGCTCCCCCGAACTACCAGTGCCAACGGGCTTTCTTTCAAAGCAATAGATAACGTTTCTCTTTCCAAAAGAATCCCGATTTTCTTTTGTTCTTGAACATACCGAATTGAAATTCTTCCTAAAATTAAACATTAAACTTAAAGATTTGTCTGTATATTTGGACTTTGACAGTTGCTATGTATAAAATGCTTCAGCAAGGAAATAATAATCTGATTATTGTTTCCTTGCTGCTTCATATCTTATGTGATCCATAATTGATGGGGGAAAAATAGCCGATAGAAGCAGGTCCATATGTGACACAAGTATTGGAATTAGCAGACCAGGAGTTTCTGTTTTACAAAAACTGTTACAAATATAGTAAAGCAAGCAGAAGAACCTGGGCAACATGCATGAAAAGATGGAAATTTTCACCAGAAAATGGGAATGTATTTCTTTCTTTATTTGAGACAGGGTCTCGCTCTAAGGTCTAGCCTAGGCTCGCCCAGGCTGGAGTGCAGGGGTGTGATCATGGCTCACCGCAGCTTTCTTTGACTTCCTACACTCAAGCAATTCTCCTACCTCCCGAGTAGCTGGGACTACAGACATGCACCGCTACACTACACTTGGCTAATTTTTGTATTTTTTGTAGAGACAAGTTTCACCATGTTGCCCAGCCACTACGCCCAACCCCATTTGACTCTTTTATTAGAAATTCCCAGGCTGGGCACTGTGGCTAACACCTGTAATCCCAGCACTTTTTTTTTTTTTTTTTTTTTTGAGATGGAGTCTCACTCTGTCGCCCAGGCTGGAGTGCAGTGGCGTGATCTTGACTCACTGCAACCTCCGCCTCCCAGGTTCAAGCAATTCTCTGCCTCAGCCTCCCGAGTGACTGGGATTACAGGTGCCCACCACCACACCCAACTAATTTTTGTATTTTTTTTTTTTTTTTTGAGACAGAGTCTCGCTGGTCGCCCAGGCTGGAGTGCAGTGGCGCAATCTCGGCTCACTGCAAGCTCTGCCTCCCGGGTTCATGCCATTCTCCTGCCTCAGCCTCCCGAGTAGCTGGGACTACAGGTGCCCACCACCGTGCCTGGCTAATTTTTTGTATTTTTAGTAGAGACGGGGTTTCACTGTGTTAGCCAGGATGGTCTCGATCTCCTGACCTCGTGATCCGCCCGCCTCGGCCTCCCAAAGTGCTGGGATTACAGGTGCCCACCACCGCTCTCAGCCTAATTTTTGTATTTTTAGTAGAGATGGGCTTTCACTATCTTGGCCAGGCTGGTCTTGAACTCCTGACCTCGTGATCTGCCCACCTCGGCCTCCCAAAGTGCTAGGATTACAGGCATGAGCCACCGCACCCGGCCAATCCCAGTACTTTTGAAAACTGAGGCAGGATGATCACTCGAGTCTAGAAGTTTGAGACCAGCCTGGGCACATAATGAGACCCTCCATTTCTATTTCTAAAAAAATTTTTTAAAGGGTGAAGGAAATAATGTATACAGTGGTCCATTTCCAAGACAGTGTGCCTTGAATCGGCTTAGGTCAGCAAACTACAGAAGAACAGGATATACTAGGCCCCAGCTTGGATAGTGGATGCCTGCTTGTCGGCCTCATCCACTCCCTTTTAACCCCCTCTTAGTTGCCCTCACCCAAATCAAAGAAGTTTAAGATGAAATTTTACTAGCCTGCAAAATAGCTGGTTTGATCTATTCTTATCAGCCTGCCCAGCTACTTAGGTCATAAGTCAAATACTTAAAGAGCCCCTGAGCTAACTAGGATTGCAATGCATTGTGGGCTGCAACAAAATGCAGCAGGACAACCCTGAAGAAAACACCTACAGCACCTGCCCAACAACCAATAGGCGACATCCGGGAAGATTGTGACCCGAGAGTACTCAGCCTATGAGGAACCTGGGGAGGGACCTGCACCCTGCAGCCCCTGCCCAACAACCAATAGGCGACATGCAGGAAGACTGTGATCCCCTAGTACTCAGCCTATGAGGAAGCTGGGGAGGGACCTGTGCCCTACAGCCCCTGCCCAACAACCAATAGGCGACATGCGGGAAGACTGTGACCCCAGAGTACTCAGCCTATGAGGAACCGGGGGAGGGATCTGTGCACTAGGGGATAAATTGCTTGTTGAAACTGCTGGGTGTGCCTGCCCACCAGACACCCGATCTTGCCGTCATTAAAAGCCTCGCTTTCGCTGTTCTCCAGGTCCCTGAGTCAGTTCTTTGGATTTGGACGGATGAGTTTCTTTCTCACAAGGGTCAAATGGACATTTTATAACTTTTAAAAGTACAGTATCTAAAATTCAGAAATCACAGCAGAAGAAAGAATCAGTTAACTTAAAGGTAGGTCAATAGAAATTATCCAGACACAGAAAGAGAAAAGAATGAAAAACAGAAAAGCCTGTGGAACCACACCATCAAATGATCTGACGTACATGTCACTGGAGTCCCCAGATCAACAACAGAGGAAAATGGGGCAGGAGCAATATCTGAAAAGGCAGTGGCTGAAATTTTCAAAATTGATAAGCAATGTCAACTTACAGACATTAGAATCTTAGTAAATCACAAGCAGGAAAAAACTAAAAGCAAACAACTCCAGCGCATTGTAGTAAAAAATTCCAAAAACCAAAGGTAAACAGAAACTGTAAAAATTATTGAGATTAAAAAAAAAAAAAAGACAATGCATTCAGGGAATAACAATAGGAAAGATGACTAGATCTCCTCAGAAAACCATGGAAACCGAAAGAGAATGACCTCTTTAAAGTACCAAAATAAAGAATTTTAACCAACAATTTATGTACAATAAAATATAGATACTTTCAGACAAAGCTAAGAACATTTGTCACAGCACAAAAAAATACTAAAGGAGCTCCTCAGGCTTTCCTTCTGCTGACAGAAAATGACCCCAGATAGAAACTCGGAAGTGCATGGAAAAATGAAGTGCACCAGGAAGGTAAATATGTTTGTAAATTAAAAAGATGAGGACTATGCAGCAATAGCTCTGGTGGCGCATGATGATGATAACACGTGTCAACTAATATCCAAGACAACAATAGCACCAGGTCTCTGGAGAAGGGTGAGTGAAATTACACAGTTGGAAAGCTCTTTGTTGTTGTGTAAGAATTCACATTTCAGGCCGGGCGCGGTGGCTCACACCTGTAATCCCAGCGCTTTAGTGCAAAGTGGCTCTGCCTGCCTATGATTCACTTTATGGACCATTAAATCATAAATCATAATCATAAAGCTCCCATTTTCCACAAATGTGACTTTTGAAGCTTTGCTCTGCACTTAATGGGTTCATTATGTTTTGCAATGATAATTTTTGTGAAAGAAGTACTTTCCAATTGGATTACTAAATTCTGTAGAAAATGAGGTTCCACAGACAGAGCTGGTTTCATGGGGCTCTTTTCAGGTGCCCATCCAGCCTGATGTTTGTGTTTTTCAGACTTGAAGAGGATGCTTTGTTCAGAACCCACTCCACCTCTCAGGTGCTTAGAGACCAGAGGCCCATCCTGCCGCAGACACTGGGGCAGAGATGCTTGATGAAAATAAGGGAACGTGGCCGAGCGCAGTGGCTCATATCTGTAATCCTAACACTTTGGGAGGCTGAGGTGGGAGGATCGCTTGAGCCCAGGAGTTCAAGGCCAGCCCGAGCAACATAGTGAGACCCTGTCTCTATAAAAAGAAAATAAAAATAAAAATAAATAAGGGAATAAAAGTGAGGGGTGGAGGCAGCTCAGGCTGAGTGCACCCCAGATGGAGTTAGGGAACCTCATGAGGAGCAAAGACTGGGCCGTGCAGAAACGGCCAGGCCCTCAAAGCCCCAACTAGAGCTCAGCCATCAGCCATCAGCTGCCTGGGATCCTGCCCAGGGAGCGTGGGCCCACTTCATTACCCAGAGCTGAGGGCTCTTTCTTTTGGAAGGAGGTCCCAGGGGGACACCCCTGCAGGGCCTCCCACCTCTCCCAGAGCACCTCTGCAGCTGGTGATTTCACTTTACTCTTCCAGGAGACACTTCCCTTGATGCTGCTGTTGGTATTTTCCTTTACTTTTGACCTCAGGCACCACAATTTCCCCAGTCTTGGTCTCAAACACCTCCAGATATGAGACACAGCTGGAGAGATGGTAACATGAATCAAACCAATTAGAACCTGCACGGGTCTCCAGCTGGTGGTGGCCCTATTAATTAGCAGAGAGCCTCAGACATCTGAGCAATTGCAGGGGATGAAAGGGCTTAAGCTGGCAGGAGACAACATGGAATTCCGAGCACTTCCCCTGACTTAAAGTGTCCAAGCTCGTGAAAGCTCAGACATAGGGAGAGTGAGGAGAAATGTCTAGTGTACATAATAGTCTTTTCTCAGAATCAACTTTTGGGGGCCCCCTGGGAGTCCCAACACTACAGCCTCCCTGGCCCCATGAGGCCACTTGAAAGCTGGCTAACCTTTGGGAAAAGGTTCCAGTTCAGGATTCAGGAAACCTCACGTCCTGAGTGAAGAGGCTGGATGCAGAGCTCTAGAAAGCCCCTCCAGGGATTCCAAAGGTCAGAGTCAGGGCTGGGGTGAGGGCAGAAACCCCAGAGGCCCCAGATTTCTCTTGCAAGCATACAACCAAAGGCACACGTGTGTACCACGCCATGGGGCCAAACTCCTCACCCCGTGTCATGTAACAGAGTGTGGGGGTTCCTTCCTTCTCAGCGTGCTCATTCCACTTCTTCCTGCCTTCCTGGGAGGCAAGGAGGTCAGGGGCCCCACCTCCTTCTTGAAGGACTATCATCCACATCCGTGTCTGACAGCAGCGGAGGGCCCCAATGCTGAAACTAATGGAGGGGCCTCAGCAGCAGCCAAATCCAAGGAGGCAGAGCCCTTTATCCTTCAGGTCTCTTCCTGTGGGCCTTCTTTACTATCTTCACTATCTCCATCACCATTATTACCACCACCACTATAACCATCACCACCGTCATAGCCATCATCATCATTGGCATCATCTGTCTCCTCAACATTAGCAAACTTTTTTTTTTTTTAGATGGAGTCTCACTCTCTCACCTAGGATGGAGTTCAATGGCACGATCTTGGCTCACTGCAACCTCCGCCTCCCAGGTTCAAGCGATTCTCTTGCCTCAGCCTTCCAAGTGGCTGGGATTACAGGCACGCGCCACCACGCCCAGCTAATTTTTGTATTTTTAGTAGAGACGGGATTTCACCATGTTGGCCAGGATGGTCTCGACTTCCTGACCTCGTGATCCACCCACCTCGGCCTCCCAAAGTGCTGGGATTACAGGCGTGAGCCACCGTGCCTGGCCAACATTAGCAACCTTTACATGTGGTTTGGTCTATAGACTTAAAAAAAATTTTGGGGCACATATCTATATTAATTATATGTTTGACAACACATTTTTATTGTTCAAAACATGGCTGTTCTTTAAGTATGTATTTTTATTTATTTATTTTTATTTTTTGATATAGGGTCTCACTGTTGCCCAGGCTGGAGTGTAATGGCATGATCTTGGCTCACTGCAGCGTGAACTCCCAGGCTCAAGCAATCCTCCCACCTCAGCCTTCCAAGTAGCTGGGACTACAGGCACACACCACCACGCCTGGATCATTTTTGTATTTTTTGTAGAGATAGTGTTTTGCCACGTTGCCCAGGTTGGTCTCAAACCCCTGAGCTCGTGATCCACCCGCCTCGGCCTCCCAAAGTGCCGGGATTACAGGCATGTGCCACCTCGCCTGGCCTATTTTATTTTTTGATACAGGGTCTTGCTCTGTCGCCCAGGCTGAAGTGCAGTGGTACAATCACAGCTCACTGCGGTCTTGACCTCCTGGACTCAAGCAATCCTCCTGCCTCAGCCTCCTGAGTAGATGGGACTACATGTGCATGCCACCACACCCAGCTAACTTTTTTTATTGTTAGTAGAGATGAAATCTCACTATGATGCCGAGGCTGGTTTCGAATTCCTGGGCTGACCTAATCCCAAAATGCTGGGGTTATAGGCATGTGCCACTGTGCCTGGCCCTGTATTTCTTTATAAATAATGTGAAACAAACTCCCATGATGAGCCTGGAAACCGACCAGAACCCTCATCTCTCCCGTGCTCCTCTTCCCTTCTATCCTCTGTTCCCACCATTTGGTGGGATTTCAAGCCAGCAAAGTGGCTTAGCCCAGATACTGAGAGGACAAGGATAAGGCCAATCAACAAAACTTGCTGAGGAATGACTTACACAGGAGCTTGTTTGAAAGCTTTTATGACTTTTTAAAATTAAAAACAACATATAGAGCAACAGGAATTAAATGGTTAAATTGCATCAACGGCCAACATTTAAAACCAGCTCTCCCTCCACTGTAGACCAGAGATCCTAGTGCTGCTGACAGGGTCTTGTGGCACCCCTGAGATTGTCCTGGCAAAGTCGAGAACACATCCAGGTCACCACAGATTCTGGTGTGTTCTGCAGAGCATGTGTTTTACAAGCAATGTCCCTCCCCATGGCCAAGGTGAAATAGGCACAAGTTCTGTGCCCTGCCCCCCATGTCACAAGCAGCACAACAGCCATTCAGGCCAACACATCCAGAACTATGTGACAATCAACTGGTAAGAACTTGTTTCCAGGTTATGAATATTTGTAATGCTTCCCTCTGAGGCCACAACAGGCCCTATCTCCCAGCCCCTAAAGTTGCTCCCCATGTTTCCTTTGCCAACTGCTCCCCTGGCTGTTGTGGAACAGCAATTGCTGGCCCTTCCCAGTCTCTGATGTCCTGGTGTGCCCAGGACAATGGCAGCTACATGAGCCTTAGTCTCTCAGTTCTGGGGCCCTGGACTGAGGCTGGAAACAGGGCAGCTCCCCCATGGCCGAGGCTCCTGCAACAGCCAGGCTTTCCTCAGGACCCCTGCTCTGTGTCTCAGGGGTGCTGAGATCCTGTTCTTGGCTGGAGGACTGTGGCTTACAGGCTGAGTCTCCCTTCTTGCTCTCCCTGTTGGTCCAGGGTGAATAAGAGACTATGGTGAATCCTCTTCTGCAGGGCTGAGGCTGCAGGGACCAGCTCTGCCCTGTGTCCTGTTAACGATGTTTCTAGAATGCTCAGCATCCACCAGTGCAGGTCCTGCTCTTGGGGTGCATCTTGGAGTCTCACCACCCACACTTCACCAGGCTCCAGCAGCAATTTCCAGTGCTGCCCTGGGGTCCTCAGGGCCCTGTCTGGGGTCATCTTCTGTAGGTAGATGGTATCATAGCAGCCCACCATGGAGACAAGCTGCAGGGCCAGTAACTAGGCCTCAGCCTCGGCAGGGTCCACTGCCCAGGTAATGCCCAGCTTCAACACCACGGGCTCCCCTGGGGGCAGGTCCACTTTGAGAAACCCCTGCTATGAAGGAAAGAAGCTTGGCCAGTGTGAGCAGGTAAGAAGCTCCTCAAATCTCCAGGGAAGACCCTGGGTCCAGTCAGCATCCTCAAGGCCCAGGCCCAGGGGCACAGCCTCCTGAGGCCATAGTTCAGTGGGGACAAAGTGGGGGTCCAGACCTGCATCTTCCAACCCTTCTGGGGCTGCTGCCAGGGTCCCTGGCCCCCATGCCTCAGAGCCCCCCTGCACAGGCTGTCCTGGGCTCTGCCCCCAGCTCAGCTCCATCCCTGAGGACCCCTCCTGCTCTGACTCTGCCTCAGTGTGCTCCATCAGCTCAGGGTCCCAGTTGTCTTCTTCCCAGTCCTCTGACTCCAGCAAGTCTTTAAAGTCTAGAAAGGCAGCCTTGAAGCAGGTGAAGCAAATGCTTAGCTGATCTCCATGTTGAAGCTGATACATCCAGGAGGCGTAGAGGTAGGACATGCCCTCTTCCTCATACCGCATGCTGACCGGAGGGCACATGGCCAGGCTGCCTGCCTACTGCCGGGGTGGACAGCAAGAGCTGGGCCTTCAGAGGATCTTGGACGGTCTGGCCACAGGTGCTGAGGCCAGTAGGATGCTGGGCGGCAGGGATGAAGGGGACAAGGAGCAGGAGGAGAAAGGGGTTTCCTATCCAGGGATTTGGGGTGGGGTGGATGACCTGGGTCCCAGCTCAGTGGGGACCTGCAGAGGGTGGAAGCTTGAACTTCTGGAAATGTCTTCAGCTTCTGCAGTTGCTGTGGTCTCAGGAGAGCTGGAAAGGCAAAGGAAGGGAGGTTAGGCACCCCCAGCAGGCAGGGTGGGGGCAAACTGTGGGGACCAGCAGGGGCAGGGATGTTGGGGTTCAGACTGGCCCTTTAGTGGGGACCCTGCTCAGTTTGAACAGCACCGGGGCTGGGAGGCCTTCAGTTCCTCCATCCGACCTCCCCGGGCTCATCAGCCACCCCCTACACCTCAGGGACCCCAACAGCCCATCAGCTTCACCTGACAGAACCTGGGGGAACATGAGGGAAACTGGCAGAGCCTGAGGGGACCTGATGGAAATTGAGGGAACCTGAAGGAAACTGGGGGAACCTGAGGGAACCTGAGGGAAACTGGGGGAACCTGAGGGAAACTGGGGGAAACTGAGGGAAACTGGGGGAACCTGAGAGAAACTGGGGGAAACTGAGGGAACCTGAGGGAAACTGGGGGAAACTGAGGGAACCTGAGGGAAACTGGGGGAACCTGAGGGAAACTGGCAGAGCCTGAGGGGACCTGATGGAAATTGAGGGAACCTGAAGGAAACTGAGGCAACTTGAGGAAACCTAAGGGAAACTGAGGGAAACTGGGGGAACCTGAGGGAAACTGGGGGAAACTGAGGGAAACTGGGGGAACCTGAGGGAAACTTGAGGGAAACTGGGGGAAACTGGGGGAACCTGAGGGAAACTGGGGGAAACTGAGGGAACCTGAGGGAAACTGGGGGAACCTGAGGGAAACTGGCAGAGCCTGAGGGGACCTGATGGAAATTGAGGGAACCTGAAGGAAACTGAGGCAACTTGAGGAAACCTGAGGGAAACTGAGGGAAACTGGGGGAACCTGAGGGAAACTGGGGGAAACTGAGGGAACCTGAGGGAAACTGAGGGAACCTGAGGGAAACTGGGGAAAACTGAGGGAACCTGAGGGAAACTGGGGGAACCTGAGGGAAACTGAGGGAACCTGAGGGAAACTGGGGGAACCTGAGGGAAACTTGAGGGAAACTGGGGGAAACTGAGGGAACCTGAGGGAAACTGGGGGAACCTGAGGGAAACTGGGGGAAACTGAGGGAACCTGAGGGAAACTGGGGGAACCTGAGGGAAACTGGGGGAACCTGAGGGAAACTTGAGGGAAACTGGGGGAACCTGAGGGAAACTGGGGGAACCTGAGGGAAACTTGAGGGAAACTGAGGGAACCTGAGGGAAACTGGGGGAACCTGAGGGAAACTTGAGGGAACCCGAGGGAACCTGAGGGAAACTGGGGGAACCTGAGGGAAACTGAGGGAACCTGAGGGAAACTGGGGGAACCTGAGGGAAACTGGGGGAACCTGAGGGAAACTTGAGGGAAACTGGGGGAAACTGAGGGAAACTGGGGGAACCTGAGGGAAACTGAGGGAACCTGAGGGAACCTGAGGGAAACTGGGGGAACCTGAGGGAAACTTGAGGGAACCTGAGGGAAACTGGGGGAACCTGAGGGAAACTGAGGGAACCTGAGGGAAACTGGGGGAACCTGAGGGAAACTTGAGGGAAACTGGGGGAAACTGAGGGAAACTGGGGGAACCTGAGGGAAACTGAGGGAACCTGAGGGAAACTGGGGGAACCTGAGGGAAACTGGGGGAAACTGGGGGAACCTGAGGGAACCTGAGGGAAACTGGGGGAACCTGAGGGAAACTTGAGGGAAACTGGGGGAAACTGGGGGAACCTGGGGGAAACTGGGGGAACCTGAGGGAAACTGAGGGAACCTGAGGGAAACTGGGGGAACCTGAGGGAAACTTGAGGGAAACTGAGGGAACCTGAGGGAAACTGGGGGAACCTGAGGGAAACTTGAGGGAAACTGGGGGAAACTGGGGGAACCTGGGGGAAACTGGGGGAACCTGAGGGAACCTGAGGGAAACTGGGGGAACCTGAGGGAAACTTGAGGGAAACTGAGGGAACCTGAGGGAAACTGGGGGAACCTGAGGGAAACTTGAGGGAAACTGAGGGAAACTGGGGGAACCTGAGGGAAACTGGGGGAACCCGAGGGAAACTTGAGGGAAACTGGGGGAACCTGAGGGGAACTTGAGGGAAACTGGGGGAACCTGAGGGAAACTGGGGGAAACTGAGGGGAACTTGAGGGAAACTGAGGGAACCTGAGGGAAGCTGGGGGAAACTGAGGGAACCTGAGGGAAACTGAGGGAAATTTGAGGGAAACTGGGGGAAACTGAGGGAAACTTGAGGGAAACTGAGGGAACCTGAGGGAAACTGGGGGAACCTGAGGGAAGCTGAGGGAAACTTGAGGGAAACTGGGGGAACCTGAGGGAAACTTGAGGGAAACTGAGGGAACCTGAGGGAAACTGAGGGAAACTTGAGGGAAACTGAGGGAACCTGAGGGAAACTGAGGGAACCTGAGGGAAACTGAGGGAAACTTGAGGGAAACTGAGGGAACCTGAGGGAAACTGAGGGAAATTTGAGGGAACTTGGAGAACCTTAGGGAACCTGAGGGAAACTGAGGGAAATTTGAGGGAAACTGAGGGAACCTGAGGAATCCTGGCCCCGCTTCAGCCTCCCAACCCCTCACCCAGCACCAGGCCGTGTCTCCGAGACCCCTCCTCAGAGACCCCTCCTCGGGAGATCTCACCATCCTGGTGTCTCTGTTCATGTGGGCACCCAGGGAAAGGAGGAGGCAGAGCCCATTTGGGTATATAAAGGGCCATTTCCCATGGTGCTCTGGGCTCATCTGCATATCTCCCATGAGCCTCAGTTTCCAGGAAATGAAAGTGCTGAGTCACCAGCTCCCTCCAAGGAGGGCCATGTGCAGCCCCTGGGCACCTGCAGGAAGGCCCTGGAGAGGCAGCTCCTCTGGGGGCTGGAGATTGGGGTGGGTGCTCTCCGTCTGCAGGCTGGCACAGGGTGAGCATCCAGCCTGTGGTTGCTGGCCCGTCGTGGGCACGACGTCCTGGTCCTGCCGCGTTTGTAAAACGTGATCCCTGCTTTGCTGTCTCTGTCTTAAAGTTCTCTGAATTTTAAGAACCAGCCAATTGTCAATTAGTTATTGTTTAAACACATTTTCCCCTTTGTGGTTCATCTCTTCGCTCTTTAAACAAGACGCTTATAAATTAACACTTGTTTTTTCAGTAGACTCTATTTTTTACAGCAGTTTTAGGTTCATAGCAAAATTGAGCCAAAAGCATGGAGCTCTCCCACCGCTCCCCTGCTCCTGCAGGTGCACAGCCTTCCCCAGTCCTCCCGTCCCAGCCATTTGTTACACGTTGTTATTATCATCATCGCCCTCTGCAGTTTCCATTATGCTTTCCTCCGGTGCTGTGCATTCTGCAGGTTTGGACACATGTATAATCATGCAGACCCACCACTCTAATATTGTACAGACGGGTTTCTCCGCCCCGATTCATCTGTGTTCTGCATTTTCATCACTCCCTCTCCCAGCCCCTGGCAACCAGGAATCTTTTGACTGTCTCCTTAATTTTGCCTTTTCCAAAATGTCACAGAGCTGGACTCATACATTATGTAGCCTTTTCAACTTCTTTTTTAGTAATACGCACTTTGGTTCTTCCATGTCTTTTGTGGTTTGATAGTTCACTTCTTTTTTTTTTTTTTTTTTTTTTTGAGACAGAGTCTTGCTCTGTCACCCAGGCTGGAATGCACTGGTGAAATCACAGCTACTACAGCCTCAACCTCCTGGGCTCCTGTGATTTTCTCACCTCAGCCTCCCAAATAGCTGGGACTACAGGTGCTGGTGCACACCCCGATAAGTTTTGTATTTTTTGTGAGACAGGGCCTCACCATGTTGCCCACACTGGTATCAAACACTTGGGCTCAAGTGATCCGCCTGCCTCTGCCTCCCACAGTGCTGGGATTACAGACGTGAGCCACCTTGCATGGCCAGCTCACTTATTTTTTAACACTGAATGGTATTCCATTGTCTGGATGTACCATGGTTTATTTATCCATTCACCTATGGAAAGACATCTTGGTTGCTCCCAGGTTTGGGCAATTATGAATAAAGCTACTACAAATATTCATGTGCAGGTGTCTGTAGACATAAGTTCTCAACTCATTTTGGTAAACTCTAAGGAGTGAGATTGCTGGATGCTGTGGTCAGAGTGTGTTTAGTTTTGTAAGAAAGTGACAAATTGTCTCACACAGTGGCCCTGTGGGAGGAACCCCCAAACCCTTTCCCTACATCCCCATGACCTCTGCTCCTCCCCACCTGGCAGCTGTCTGTGCCTGGCTCAGGTCATCCACACACCTGGGGCTGCCTGCCACCCCCACCAGGTTAGGGCTCAGATCAGGGCCACCCCTCACCCTGGGGCTTCCTCGTCCCAGTCCTGGGATAGGGGCAGGTGTGGGGCTTTGGCTGCCAGGTGTCCTGCTGTGGGTGGAGAGGGCAGTGAGCTCATTCCCTAAAGACTCGGGTGCCTGAGCTGTCTGGCTGGTCCCCTCAGGTGAGAGGAAAGTAGTGGTTGAGGGACCCCACAGAGAAGCCTGTTTATGGGTCTGGGGGTCAGAGGCTCCCGGGAGGAGCCCCCAGGTCCTGGTTTTCTCTGAAAAGGCCACTCAAGGCCTCGGGGCTGAGCTGTGGCTGCCCTGGCCAGAAGGGGGCCGGGGAGGGAGCCCTGCACCTGTCGTGAACACTCAGGGCTGGGCCAGTGGGCGCCTGGAGGATGAGGTCCCTCCCACCTGGCCCCTCCCAGCCTCAGTTCTCAGGACACAGCCCAGCCGGCAGCTGCCAGAGTCACTGCCTAAAGGAGGTTTTGACCGAGGAGCAGCAGAGCCCTCTGAGGGCCCCTGTGGTAAGCAGGCTCCTCGCTGGTTTGCATGGCTTTTTCACACAGTAGTTGCGTCGAGAATTTAATATGCTGCGACCTCGTTGCCAGCAGGAGCGGTGTGGGACCGGGAAGCTGACGGGGAAGTGTTGGCGGGTGCAGGGCAGCGTCCACTCTGGGAAGCTGTGGCCAGCGCGTCCTGGCCAGCCAGGGCCTGGGCAGGGACTTGCCTCTCGGGCCTCGGCCTCACCCTGGTCTGAGAGTGTAGGACCCTCTCAAGGTCCTCAGTCACCTCAGCAGCCTGGGACGGAGCCTTTGGATCGCTTCCTGGGCAGCTGGGTACAGGAGAGGCCACTTGAGACAGATGTTGGGATGGACAGCTGGATTTGAGGCCCAGAGGGAAACCGTGGCAAGACTTGGTGGGTGGATGGTACCAGAGGAACAGGACGTGGCCATAATCGGGGAATCCAACACTCCTGTATCTCCAGAAGGACCAGGCATTTCCCCAGCTGCAGAGACCACTGATGGGGCAGCACAGCCATTGTGGGGCCAAGGCCATGACCCGGAGCCACTGGGGCCGTAAGCCTGACACCCAGATTGCCCACGAGCCAGAACCCCATCCCCACCATCCTGGGGTGCACAAGCTCTTGTGTTAGGAACGGGTGAAGAGGGGGAGCTCAGGAAGCTGAACGCAACCCAGAGGGGGTGGACAAGCAGGGACAAGGCTGCCAGATGGGCCTGGCCAAGCTCAGGGGCCCCCAGCTACCTCGGGGGTGCAGGTGCCAGCTGAGCCCTGCAGAGGAATGGGGTGAGGCCACGTCACGCTCTTTGAGCACCGGCTTCCGAGCTCAAGCGGCTTCGTCTCTGTCTCACCCAGAATGCCTCGCGCAGATCCGGGGCCCAGAGAACATTCCAGAGATGCTTGTGGAGTGGAGCAGCTTTAATAAGACACATTCTTGCTTCTCTGTTGGCTTCTTACCTGTGTCCTCGGGATGGCTGCCAAGGTGCTACCAACCTGCTGCATCCCTGGCTGAGGCTCAGAGCCTCCTGGGCTGGTGCCTTCCTGGGCACAGGATCCCCAGCAAGTCCAGGAATCTGACCTGAGGTCACCAATCATGCCCAGGGAAACCAGCCAGCCCCCAAAGCCTCCAAAACCCAAGTGGGCTTGGTTCTGTTGGCAGGTGACCCAGCTGGAATCAAACAAGAAAGAAAAGTGTGTTTAGATCATCAGGTGACTCACCAAATAGAACTTTCTTGAAAACTGTTTAATAATCAAGACCAGGAAAAGATTATGGAATATTCTAGCAAAGTCCAAGTACTTGGATTTTAAAATCAACATTTATCTTACTGCTCTTATATTACAAAGTTCCGCCCTCACCTCCAGTCTCAACGTTTGCACAAAGCATTTCAGCAGCACATGCAATGGCGTTATGGTTGGCTTTTCCCTCTCGCTCCTCCGCACAGCACTGAAGAAGGACAGGAGCAGTTTTCTTTGTTTCTTGCATGAATTTACTACTGAGGCTCGTCAGAGAGAGGCTGCCTGTGGGAGTGATGCATGGCCTCTGCTTCCACGGAGAAAAGCCACACGGTGGTGGCCAGGGGTGGGATGCGCCCGTGGACATGGAGGACAGATGTGTTCTGAGAAGCTGCCTGTTTCTTTTGTTTGTTTTTGAGATGGACTTTCACTTTTGTTGCCCAGGCTGGAGTGCAATGGCGCGATCTCAGCTCACGCCAACCTCCACCTCCCGGGTTCAAGTGATTCTCCTGCCTCAGTCTCCCAAGTAGCTGAGATTACAGGTGCCTGTCACCATGCCCAGCTGATTTTTGTATTTTTAGTAGAGATGGGGTTTCACCATGTTGGCCAGGATGGTCTCAATCTCTTGACCTCGTGATCCACCCGCCTTGGCCTCCCAAAGTGCTGGGATGACAGGCATGAGCCACCGTGCCCAGCCGAGGTGGCTTCTTTACAACAGACTATCCAGGGGACCACAGTCACCCTCCCCTCACTCCCAGCCCACCCTTCCTGCTCATTTGCTTTGTCCACCTACTCAGCTCCGTGGCCCATTGGTGGCCTCCATCCTTCTGAAGGACCAAGAAGCCACTGCCATGTGGAAGCACCTCCACGTGCCCTGGTCAGGTCTGTCACCAGTGCTGTGTGAGGATCAGAACACCCTCGACCACACTGGCTCATCATCCAAATTGTAATCATGGACTTAGAGGCTGTCCTTTTAAAAATAACTTTTGGTATTGTTTGCTTATTTCAAAGTAAACAAATTCATTATCAAACATTTAGAAAACAGGCAAGCAAATAAGAGGAAAGAACATCACCAGTCACACATTCTCCAGAGAGTGCAAAAAGCAAGGTCTCTGTATCTTACTCTCAAGTAGGAAGAATGGTTGCAGGAGAGGAAGGAAGGAGAGAGGGCCTGGGCGCTGTACCCGGCTGTGGCCAGCTCTGTCCTGAACCCTCCTGGGGTCTGTCCTGAACCCTCCTGGGCTCTGTCCTGAACCCTTCTGGGGTCTGTCCTGAACCCTCCTGGGGTCTGTCCTGAACCCTCCTGGGCTCTGTCCTGAACACTCCTGGGCTCTGTCCTGAACACTCCTGGGGTCTGTCCTGAACCCTCCTGGGGTGGGATTTCCATAAGGTGGGCATTATTATCTTCCCTGGGCTGGGCCAGAGCCTGGTTGGGGCCTGGGGCCCCATCCTGAGTCCAGAGTCTGTGACTCCTCCATAGGCCCCAGGGCCTGTGCAGTGACAGTCCCTGAGCAGCAAAAGAGCAAATGAGTGCTGGGAATTGTGGGTCCCTTCCCTAAAAAGGCAGAGGTGGTGATCCCGCCCAGCCCAGGGTCTTCAAAACTGCAGGTACATCCTTGCTGTTCTGTCAAACACATCTGCAGATAACTTGAGTCCATCTAGGGTGGGTTTCCAGGCAGCTGGGGACCAAGTGAGGGGGTGGAGGCGGCCACGTGAGACCCCAGGAAGCAGAGCCCCCACCACCCCAGGAGATTTCTTCATCCACAGTGGCAAGGGTGGGGGCTGCCCTAAGATGTCAGCAAAGACCACCATTGGGGAAGGTCTTGGACATGACTCTGAGTGGTCCCATGGGGAAAGGGGACTGGTGTCTCCTGGAGGGAGATGCTGGAAGAAGGCCAGAGAGGAAGGATGGCCAGAAGTCCCCATTTCCATAGCCCAAACCTGTGGAAACACTGCCCCTGGGCAGCTCTGTGCCCCTGGCGACCTCCTGGTATGATGCAGCTTAGAAAGAAGCTGCCTGTCTCTCCATTGCCAGCCTTTTCTGGAAGTCTGGGTGCCTTCAGGTTTGGGGATACTGAAACATCCTCCCAATATCCCAGGGCTCCTGGCCTTTGAACACCCGCGAGGGGCGGGGCAGCCACACACTTGGGGGTCACGTTCCCTGGGACTCTCCCCTCTTGGCTTCCCCCCATCACCCAGGGCCAGGGAGGCCGGGGCAGGTGCAGACCCAATCCTGGCAGTTGGCAGCGGTTTCCAGGCGCCTGCGTGACCCTGTCTGTAGCCTACAGGAGCAGGTGCTGCCTGTGATGGGGGCCCTGGGCTCCAGCAGATGTAGGAAGGTATGAGAGTGCAGCCACCCTCCTACACCCTCTCTCCCTAAGGCCTCCATAGTAGATTTAGGGTTCATGCTACTGGGTGAGATGGAGTTGAGGGAGGGCCCGCAGTTCTAAAGATCTGGGTCACACTTGGGCTATAGGGCCCTGTTAGCCATGAACTCCTTCATCAAATAAACCAAATGTGGAAGACGCATACCTGGGGCCCTGGTGCTTGATTTTGTTTTCTGCTCTCATCTCTCATCACCCTACAAAATGCATCTCCATAAAAAGACATTAAACAGCCCCGCACGGTGGCTCACGTCTGTAATCCCAGCACTTTGGGAGGCCAAGGCAGGTGGCTCACCGGAGGTCAGGAGTTCGAGACCAGCCTGGCCAACATGGTGAAACCCCGTCTCTACTAAAAATACAAAAATTAGCTGGGCATGGTGATGGGAGCCTGTAATCCCAGCTACACGGGAGGCTGAGGCAGAAGAATTGCTTGAACCCGGGAGGTAGAGGTTGCAGTGAGCCGAGATTGCGCCACTGCACTCCAGCCTGGGCAACAGAGTGAGACTCTGTCTCCAAAAAAAAAAAAAAAAAAAAAAGACATTAAATGAGACTAAGAAAAAAATGGCAAGTATTAAACATTTTGGGTAAATCAGAGCCATGTCATGCTGGCCTCACCCTCAGCCACCAGCTGCCTGCCCCCGCAGAGCCAAGCTCATTGCTGTCTGTCATCTGAGTGAGGGCACTGTGCATGATGAATAACACCTTTTTTTTGTTAAAAACAGCTTGAAATATTTACTTCAGTTTAATCTGTTCATTTTTAAATCAGAGCAAAACCAAAGTTGTGCAGAATGAGCTGGGAGATTAGGGGGCCTCAATCCTACTCCACAGGGACCCTGTCCACATGTGGCTCAATCCTGCTCCATAAAGACCCTAGCCACAGGCCGTGGCCCAACCCACATGGCCTGGACACACAGAACAACCCTCAAATCAACCCAGAAGCTCCAGATACTGGGCGTGCCCCCCACAGCCCTCGGCAACACCATAAACCCCACTTGGGGACACAATGGGGGCCACCGCCAGGCACACAAATGGCCCCAAAGGAGCATGGCCTCCCCCTCCTCTGCCCACTGGTCTGGATCCTACCTCCTAGGGGTGGGCACCAGGGGTTCTGTCCAAGGAAAGGGGCTCTGCCCATGACAACTGGGAGGTGGTGTCGTGTCCACCCTGCCATGCACAGCGCCCACACACAGGAAGCGGCGTGGCTGCAACAGCCCCTGGGTGTGAGGCCTCCCATACCCCTGGTGTGCTCGCTGAGATCTGAGACTGGAGAAGCAGGCACTGGAAGCAGGACTTGGCGAACCCACACGCCTCCTGGCAGGGAGGGAAGATTATGGAAACTGGGGGCTTCCGGGTGCACCTGTGCCACCCCCACATGGCTTGGGGCAGGCGCCTGGCATCCCTGGGCACCTGTGGGTGCGGCAGAGCAGCCCGGAGGCAGCAGGATCAATTTCTAGGCTCTGGATTTGGGCGCCAACTTGCTGTGTGCCAATAGCACCCCCTGGTGGTCACTTCAGTCTGCACGGACGCTCGTGCTTTTGTACCATCAAATCAGCCAAGCCCGCAAAGGGGCCCTGCCATTGGCCTGGTCTCTGGACTGGTTGCTGGGAAGAACTGAGAACCATGGCTGGCCCTTTAGCAATTCCTGAGGCCTCCCGACCCTCCTCCTCCAATCGGCTCTGCCTCCATCTTCTGATCTGTGGAGTTGGGATGTTGCACACGGCATCCCGACGGCAACCCGCGTCCTCCTTCAGCTGAGAGTCTGCCGGGTGGGCTGAGGCCGGGCCAGGGGCTATACCTGGGCCACCCCAGCAAGCTCCCTCCCTCGGTCCAGCTCCACGGCCGGCCCCAGCCCTGGAGGCCTATTGCGAGTGCATGTTTGTGTGTGAGAGCATGCCCTCACGAGTGTGCAGGGGTGTGTGGGGTGCGGTGTATACATGCACAGGTGTGTTCGTGTGTATGCAGGAGTGGGCGGGTGCACAGACGTGCACCTGTGGGCAGGAGTGACCTCAGAGACTCCTTCCCGCAGATGCCTCGGTCGCAGGGCCCCAGCCCGGCGTGGTTGGTGACCTCAGAGACTCCTTCCAGCAGACGCCTCGGCCGCGGGGTCCCAGCCCGGCGTGGTTGCTGCTCTACACACATCTGCTGGATTGAAGTAAACAGGAAGAGTCAGTTAATAATAGAAGGACTTGGGGTGTGAAGCAGCTGGCCCCAAAGGCAGGAGCTACAAAGCGAGAGGACCTAGAAGCAGATGCTGACTGAGGTCAGGTTTGGGGTAGATAACAGGGGGCAGGTCATTCATGTTCTCTGCTTGCCTGTGTTTTCCACAGCTTCTAAAATGAACTTGAGTTACCTGGAAATAAGAAGCTCAACAATTGTAACATTCTCGGGCTGCCAGCAACTCCATGTCTGAAGCCCAGCCTGGATCGAGCCCTGGAGAAGCCTCGAGGGTGGGCCGAGGTGGTGGCCCGTCCAGCCCTCCTGGACAGGCCCAGTGGCTGGGACAGAGGCCTCCGAGGTGCCGGGTGTGCCGGCCCCACGATGGTGCACCTGCCGCCACCCCGGTGAGATGGGCATCACCCAGGGAGGCGCAGAGAAGCCGGCAGCGCAGCCAGGACTGACACGTAATCCCGACACCTGGGCCATCGGCAAGAACTGTCAGCCTACTTGACCTCTTTTTGTGACAAATCAGATCCTCCCCCAAGAACAGACCAGTGTCTGTCAGCATCAACCCCCACAGACACCTCTGCTGGTGTGGCAGGTGACATTGCCACAGTGGGGCCCTGAGTCAGGCGGCAAGTCTCTGTAACAAACAGCTCCAGGAGCAGTCATGCTAGTGGGGGGCTCAGCCTGTGCAGGCCCTGGGACCTGGGTAAAGTCGAGGTGCAGCATCAGAGTCCGGGGCCCCTGCACCCCAGGCCAAAGGTTGCCCTCATCCCACAGAGCCTTCCGTTGCAGCTGGTTCAGGCCCCGGGGCCAGCCGGGCATCTCGCCCTGAAAACCACAGGCTCCGTGCAGAGGGGAACCCGAGAGAGGCCTGCAGATGCCACACATGATGCTGGTGTCACATTGAAATAGTTTCGGCAGGGGGCGGTGGCGCACGCCTGGAATCCCAGCACTTATGGAGGCCAAGGCAGGCGGATCACCTGAGGCCAGGAGTTCAAGACCAGCCTGGCCAACATGGTGAAACCCCATCTCTACTAAAAATATAAAAATCAGCTGGGCGTGGTGGTGCACGCCTGTAATCCCAGCTACTCTGGAGGCTGAGGCAGGAAAATAGCTTGAGCATGGGAGGCAGAGGTTGCAGTGAGCTGAGATCACACCACTGCACTCCAGCCTGGGTGAAGAGTGAGACTCTGTCTCAAAAAAAATAAAAAGAAAAAAAAGAAATAGTTTGACCCCAGAGTCATTCTGGCACAACCTAAAAAGCCGACTCTTTAACATTTGAGCTTTTAAAAATACCAAATAACCTGGGAAAGTGACACGCTGTCCCTGTGGCCATGGGGCCATGTGAAGGGTGACGTGTCTTGCGCAGATGCCCTGTGTGCGGCCCTCACTGAAGCTGCAGGGTCTGCTGCCGCTCACAGCTCTGGACTCCAGACGTCTGCCTCTCGGGACACTTGGGACTCGATTCCACAGCTCCAGAAAACCCAGGAAACCCGAAGGCGACCTCAACACCGTTCGTTCTCTCAGTAGCATACGTGATAAATGAAGTAAAAACTCCTTTAAAGCGAGGGTTTGGGGAAACAGAACTGTTGTGTCTCAGACGGCGTTAACCAAGTTGCAATCATTTTACAATTGGGAAACTTTCTAAGAAAACTATCTACACATCTGCTTACAAATCAAAGCCAGAGTGTTTTCTACCGTCAGGAAACTGGGAGAGGCTCAGGAATGAGGGGGAGGCAGTCAAGAAATCGCTAATTAAAACCAGCGCTTTCCCACCCTTCTGGCTGGGAGGGGGCCGGGAAAGACGAGGAAGTGGAAGAGGTCAGGAGAAGGCAGTGAGTGAACAGATTACTGTCCCAGTCTCCACCTTTGTGTTTATGTTTGTACTTTTCCATGATAAAAGCTTTGTTCTGAACATCGGCCTCCCCCGGGCTGTGCAGAGCTCCACGGCCCCGGCTACCCCAGTGGCTCCAGTGGCCGACAGGGTTGATTCTACTCACCTGAGCAGGTGAGCCTCCCCAGAGTCACCTGGCATCGCTCTGGTGGGTTTGAAGGAGAGGTCAGGATCCCAGGACATGCACGCGCGGGTGGCAGTGACCCTACCAGAGCTGGGGTCACGGGGGGAACTGAGGCACCCCCCACAGACATTTTTAAATTCTAAAATCAGATGCTTTTGTTTAGTTGTTCAGAGTGAGGCTTCTATGCCCCTGCATGTGCGTCTCCAGTTTGGAACTTATGCTCCTCTAGGAGTTCCCGAGGCTCTGCGTAGAGATCAGTGGAAGAATTGGCTCAGATCAGCCTCAAGTCCTGAGGAGCAATCGTATTTCAGGGACGGCTGGCTTATTTCATTTATTATAATTCTCCTATTTACTATTCAATTCCAACACAGCAGGTTTCCAAATGTGAGAGGGAAACATTTACGTCGTGGGGACTGTGGCTGTAAATTCCCACTATGGCAGGTTTCTCTTTGACAAATAAAAGCGTTGGTTGAATTATTGACAAGGAAGATAGATTTAGAAATGTGTGTCAGACGTGGGGCTGGGTGAGTTTGTGAAGGAGAGAGAGGTGAAGGAAAGCTATGAGGCGAGCAGGGCAGGGTGGCAGCCGGCCAGCCCAGGGGGTCTCGTGGAAAGCTATGAGGCGAGGAGCAGGGCAGGGTGGCAGCCGGCCAGCCCAGGGGGTTTCGTGGGTGTTTATGCTGGGACCTTGGCCCAGGACCCCACCTGGCAGCCTCTCCTTCCCAGCAGGGCCAGCCCCCTGCAGCCCCAGGCCCTGGGGGGCAGTCTTGGAGGGGCTCTGGCTCTGATGTCTTCCCTCCCTCCAACGCTGGTCCCAGCACTCAAATAGAAACTCAAATCCTATTTTCTGCGGGTAGAGATAGGATGACAAGAGGCCTCCCTTCTAGAAAGGAAAATGAGAGATCAGAAAAATCAGAAAAACCAGAAGGCATTGGCTGGGTGCAGTGGCTCACGCCTGTAATCCCAGAACTTTGGGAGGCCGAGGTGTGGGGATCACCTGAGGTCAAGAGTTCAAGATCAGCCTGGCCAACACGGTGAAACCTCGTCCCTACTAAAATACAAAAATTAGGCGGGCGTGGTGGCAGGCACCTGTAATCCCAGCTACTCAGGAGGCTGAGTCAGGAGAATCACTTGAGCCTGGGAGGCGGAGGTTGCAGTGAGCCAAGAACGCACCATTGCACTCCAGCCTGGGTGACAAGAGCAAAACCCTGTCTCAAAAGACAAGACAAGAAAATCAGAAGGTCTTAGCTCTGGTGGAAGAGCCCGGAGAGAGGGCGTTCAGGCTGGGACCCCCTCAGTCTCTCTGTCTCCAGAGGGGGGCGTTCAGGCTGGGACCCCTCAGTCTCTCTGTCTCCAGAGAGGGGGCGTTCAGGCTGGGACCCCCTCAGTCTGTCTCCAGAGAGGGGGCGTTCAGGCTGGGACCCCCTCAGCCTGTCTCCAGAGGGGGGCGTTCAGGCTGGGACCCCTCTGTCTCTCTGTCTCCAGAGAGGGGGCGTTCAGGCTGGGACCCCCTCAGTCTCTCTGTCTCCAGAGAGGGGGCGTTCAGGCTGGGACCCCCTCAGTCTCTCTGTCTCCAGAGAGGGGGCGTTCAGGCTGGGACCCCCTCAGCCTGTCTCCAGAGGGGGGCGTTCAGGCTGGGACCCCTCTGTCTCTCTGTCTCCAGAGAGGGGGCGTTCAGGCTGGGACCCCCTCAGTCTGTCTCCAGAGAGGGGGCGTTCAGGCTGGGACCCCCTCAGTCTGTCTCCAGAGAGGGGGCGTTCAGGCTGGGACCCCTCAGTCTCTCTGTCTCCAGAGAGGGGGCGTTCAGGCTGGGACCCCCTCAGTCTCTCTGTCTCCAGAGAGGGGGCGTTCAGGCTGGGACCCCCTCAGCCTGTCTCCAGAGGGGGGCGTTCAGGCTGGGACCCCCTCAGTCTGTCTCCAGAGAGGGGGCGTTCAGGCTGGGACCCCTCTGTCTCTCTGTCTCCAGAGAGGGGGCGTTCAGGCTGGGACCCCCTCAGTCTGTCTCCAGAGAGGGGGCGTTCAGGCTGGGACCCCCTCAGTCTGTCTCCAGAGAGGGGGCGTTCAGGCTGGGACCCCCTCAGTCTCTCTGTCTCCAGAGGGGGGTGTTCAGGCTGGGACCCTTCTGTCTCTCTGTCTCCAGAGAGAGGGCGTTCTGCTGTATAAACAGGAAGCCCCGGGTGCCTGAGGATCCTTGGCACAAGCAGGGCGGGGACCGGGTCGGGGTCGCCCACATGGGCACTATCCCGAAATCTTGTGCCATCTCTTGTATTTAAAAGCAGAGTGGTTCTTCCCCCCACACTGTGGCGGCTAGCTAATTTTTTTAAGTTTTGAGTTTTTAAACCCGAACCTGCCGCTGAGCAGTTTGCAGCTTCACACTCGCGTGTGCAAGAAACAGCTTCCTGACTTCCCCCTCGGAGCCCTCCTGGGGAGGGGAAGCCGCTCCTTGGCTGCTGCGCCCTCAGACACACGCTCCCTTGTGTCAGGTGTGTCAGGCCTCTGAGCCGAAGCTCAGCCATTGTAACCCCTGTGACCTGCACATGTATGTCCAGATGGCCTGCAAGAGCCAAGAAGTCTGGGGCAACCCAAATCTACAAAAGAATGAAACAGCCAGCTCCTGTCTTAACTGATTGACCAACCTTACGACATTCCATGATGACCTGTTCCTGCCCTGTCCCACCTGATCGATCGACCTCGTGACATTCTTCTTCCGGACAATGAGTCTTATGATCTCCCCACCATGTACCTTGTGACCCCCTCCTCTGCTGACAATAGGTAACCACCTTTCACTGTAACTTTCCACTGTTTACCCCAGTCCTATAAAACGGCCCCACCCCTACCTCTCTTTGCTGACTCTTTTCGGACTCAGCCCACTTGCACCCAAGTGAATAAACAGCCTTGTTGCTCACACAAAGCCTGTTGGTGTCTCTTCACATGGACGCACGTGACACAAAGTGCTGGGGTTACAGGCGTGAGCTGCCACGCCCGGCCCTCTTTGCTCTTTCGTACGAATTTTATTTTTTATTTTTATTTTTTTTCTTGAGACAGAGTCTTGCTCTGTCGCCCAGGCTGGAGTGCAGTGGCGCGATCTCGGCTCACTGCAAGCTCCGCCTCCCGGGTTCACGCCAGTCTCCTGCCTCAGTTACCTGAGTAGCTGGGACTACAGGCGCCCGTCACCACACCTGGCTAATTTTTTGTATTTTTTTAGTGGAGACGGGGTTTCACCGTGTTAGCCAGGATGGTCTTGATCTCCTGACCTCGTGATCCGCCCGCCTCGGCCTCCCACAGTGCTGGGATTTACAGGCGGGAGCCACCACACCGGCCTTCGTATGAATTTTAGAACCAGTTTTTCCAATTTCATGAAAAATTATCTTAGGAATTATATTAATTTCGGGAAAACAGTTATCTTTGGGTCCCACGTAAACACAGGGAGTGGGAAACAGTCGTGTGGCATCTGTGGCACAGAACACAGAGACCAGGCCCCGGCGGCTCTGCCAAGCGAGGCTTCGTCCCGGAGACTCGGCGTGTGGCCTCCGGGTCACAGAAACGGCCTTCGTAGCTGTTTGATGTCACACCAACGAGACTTCATTCGTGTTAGCAGAACTTTGGGGACGACGTGACCCTGCGTGACAGCCGGGAACACGGGAGCCAGATGTGGGGACAGCGGCGAGCTGGCACCCCGGATGGAAAGCCGGACAGAAAGGCGGACAGAGCTGCAGCCACGACCAGGAGTAGCAGCAGGTCCTCGGACGAGAGGCAGCCCCCGTTCCCGGACCAAACTGAGGGTCGGGCCCCATAACGAGACGCAGCTGAACTGGGGAGGAAGCACGTGTTTATTTCCCCAACCGGTTACAGGGAGAAGGCCTGGACATTATCTCCAGACCAACTCAAAATTACAGTCCTCCAGAGCTTATCTACCTTCCACACGCTACGTCTACGTGTAAGTGTGCATTCATCTGAAGACTAAGTGACTAACTTCTAATCTGTAACTGAGGTCTGAGTCCTGAAGACCTTCCTCTGGAGCCTCAGTAAGTTTAATCTAGATGGGTCCAGGTGCTGGGTCATTACCCTTATCCTGTCTCCTGCTAAGTCACGGAGGTTGGAGAAGTTCCTTCGGGCCCCCAATAAGCTTGTTTGTGGAGGCCTGAGGAGTTCCTTCAGACCCGCGATAAAATTTGTTTTATCCTAAATGGGTCCTATTAAGAATTCCTTTGTTATTTTTTCATGCTTTAAGGCCCAGGAAAGGGCTAGGCAAAACTCTTGGTATGCTTCTGTTACATTCCAGCCTTTGTATAAGGGCACTGGCTTTTAACTCCCTCAGTACTGAAACTGGTCATGGAGGCCCACGTTAGTGAGACCTGGCCTACCGCACTCCCACCCAGCCCACGGGCGTGTAAATCTGTGCAGCCAGACACACCCTCACCCTGCAACCACCCCTGCAAACCCCCCTTCCCCACTTCCCCATTGTGAGATGTGGCAGCCCAGGGCGGAGTGGGTATTTGCCCTAAAGACAAACACCGCTGGAGGCACGGAGCCGACACAGGCGCCATGAGCTGACACAGGCACGGAGCTGACACAGGCACGGTGAGCTGACACAGGCACGGAGCCGACACAGGCACCATGGTGTCTGTGGGACTGTGACTGCCGAAGGCCAGAATCAGCCTACGCACACACACACGGGGCTGTTGACTTAGTCACCCCCCACCCAACACAGCAGCCATGCCTGGGAGGCCACCCCGCACCCACCAGGAGGGTCTCCAGGAGGGCCTGGTGTGGGCCAGGCTGAGCTCAGGACGCCGTGATGGTCGTGCCTCCTTCTGTGTCAAAGGGGAGGGGCAGATAGAATACGTGTTTTTCTTTGCTTTTAGCTACATAGTCTGAAGGATCCACAGGAGCACAATAAAGGAAGAGCCACCTGGGGCTGAGGAAGAATCAAGACTCTTGCCACCTGTGATGTGGAGTGCTCCGTCTCTGAAAGGTGTACCGTATTAGCTGTGGTTAAAAACAATTTAAGGCCAGGTGCCATGGCTCACGCCTGTAATCTCAGCACTGTCGGAGGCCAGGGCGGGAGGATCACCTAAGGTCAGGAGTTCGAGACCAGCCTGGCCAACATGGCAAGACCCACCCCCGCCCCCCCTGCCTCCCTGTCTCCACTAAAAATACAAAATTTAGCTGGGCATGGTGGTGGGTGCCTGTAATCCCAGCTACTCAAGAGGCTGAGGCAGGAGAATCGCTTGAACCTAGGAGGTGGAGGTTACAGTGAGCTGAGATCACACCACTACACTCCAGCCTGGGTGACAGAGTGAGACTCCGTCTCAAAAAAAAAAAAAAAAAAAAAAGAATTTTACCAAAGACCAGCTTTAGCTGTCTGCCCAACTAATTTTTCCTTTTCTTCTCCCTTGAAAGCAGCTTCACTAAGGCGGTGGCATGTCACAGCTCCATGATACAGAGCAGGGCTGCCCCGGAGAAGTGTGCGGAGAGCAGCAGCTCAGGGCAGGGCAGCCGTCACATTTATACCCACTTTTAACTACATGCAAATTAAGAGGTGGGGCATTCAGAATTTCCTAGAAAAGGGGTGGTACTTCTGGGTCATTGCCATGGAAAGGGGCAGTAACATCTGGGTGTTGGCATGGCAATGGTAAAGTGTCACAAACTCATGGGCCTATAGGAGCCAGCTGGCTGCAGGTGGCTGTTCTGACAGACTGGAACCTGCTTACCTGGCTAACCCTTGTCGCCTGATAGGTCATCCAAGGAGAGAACTTGAACCAAAATTTGGGTAAAGCAATCTCTGTGGCAGTTTGGTTTTATAAAACAAGACAAAACGAAACAAAAAAAATTGTTTTACCCTCTTTCTCTTTAGTTTCAAATGAGTTTCCAACGTTTACATTCTAGTTAGACCGTAAATAACGAGTCTTCGCACCAGCAGCTTAGTAACAGCAGGTTTAAAGCAAGAAAGAAAAGAGAGGACCAGAGAGCACCTTAGAACACTGCTTAACCACAGCACAGGTTCACCACTGGAGGTCTGAATTTTCCTCGCTGTCATTTGCCCGTCAGCTTAAAACATGCACAATGGGCTGTAATATGTAACCAGCTGGAGTCCCTAAGAGGACGACAAAATCAGGGGCCGGGATGTTGGAAACTGTTTTTCCCTTTTTGGGCTGGGCCCCTGGATTGAACAGGAAAATAGAAAAGAAAGGAAAGCGGAGGAGAAAGGTTTGCAGCAGGGAGGAGAAACAAGAAAGGAAGGAGGGAGGCTGGCGAGCCTCCAGCCACTGCGTGGTGCGGGGCCAGCACCCCCTCACCCTTGATCATCTCCCATCAGGGAAAGCCTCCGCACCCCAGACCTGCGCGGTGTGGGATGAATCCCTCCCACCTCCGCAGATCACCTGTCAAGGTCAGCTGTTCGCAGCCACAGGGAGCTAAGGGTGCTTTTGACCAAGAGGAATAACGCTTTGGTGGCGGACGGGAGGAGGACGTTGGAGGAAGGAGAGAGAGGTCAGGGTGCACACACTCATGCGCACAAACCAACAGCTGCGTCCAAAAAACCTCCTTTAAGGGGCTCGGTTTCAAACGGCCCCTCGGGCGACTGAACCCGCACTGAGCAGAGGCCCTAGGGTGCCACAAACACAAACGAATTCAAATGTATCAAATGCCCAACTGGTGTCACTCACAGCCAAGTCTAAACAGAGGAGGGCCTCAGCCACACCCCAAAGAGGCAGAGGGTCCCTGGGTGAACTCCAACTAAGGCACCCAGTTCCAAAGTTTATTAACTTCTCCAAAGGTCACTTCCTTTGCACCAGCAAAGCGTTGAAGGCAGCAGGAAGAGAAGGACAGGATTCCCGGACGAAAGCATCTCGGCGGCCACGGGGCAGCTCCTCCCATTCCAGCCACAGGCGCAGCAGCCAGGAGCAGCTGGAACTCACAGGTGAACCTACGCCCTGCCCAACAGAAACCAGATGGGCAGGCTTGGGCCCCCCAAAGCACACAACGTTCCCCACACGGGCCACCAAAATTGTAACCGAACGCAAGTTCCGTTCCTCACCACTTGCAGAGTCCAGTAATCAAGAGGGAGGCCTGGTTGAAAGAAAGTGACTTTATTATCCGAAACTAGTCATGGGCAAGGGGCCGCATTCCCGTCCAAAGCAACCACTTCAAATTCCTAGGGAGAAGGCAGGGGCTTGTCACGGGGAAGCTGGCGTGGGAGGCGTGCCGGCGCCGTGCTGGGTACAAGGTCTGTGTGTCTGTCCTCAGTGGCTATCTTGGGTCCCAGTACACTTGGAGCGCAGGCTGGGGTCATCTGATCAACGGCTGGGTGGCTGACTTGCTGCCTGGGGGAAACCTCTGGAATTTTGCCGCTGAGTTTCCAGGGTTGGTCTGTCTATCTCAAGATTAGGCCCTGGAACGTTTTTGAGACAGAGTCTCGCCCTGTTGCCCAGGCTGGAGTGCAGTGGCACAGTCACAGCTCACTGCAGCCTCCTGGGTTCAAGTGATTCTCCTGCCTCAGCCTCCCAAGTAGCTGGGATTACAGGTGTGCACCACCACGCCTGGCTAATTTTTGTATTTTTAGTAGAGATGGTGTTTTACCATGTTGGCCAGGCTGGTCTCAAACTCTTGATTTCAAGTGATCTGCCCACCTGAGCCTCCCAAAGTGCTGGGATTACAGGTGTGAGCCACCATGTCTGGCCCTTTTTTTTTTTTTTTTTTTTTGAATAGAGGAAAAACATACAGGACTCACAAAGAACTGAAATGTTCATGAATCTCAAGCAAAACAAGAGTTAACTAGGCCAGGCGTGGTGGCTCACGCCTTTAATCCCAGCACTTTGGGAGGCCAAGGTGGGTGGATCATGAGGTCAGGAGATTGAGACCATCCTGGCTAACACGGTGAAACCCCATCTGTACTGAAAATACAAAAAATTAGCCGGGCATGGTGACGGGCGCCTGTAGTCCCAGCTACAGGCTGAGGAAGCTGAGGCTGGAGAATGGTGTGAACCCAGGAGGTGGAGCTTGCAGTGAGCTGAGGTCACACCACTGCACTCCAGCCTGGGGGACAGAGCGAGACTCCATCTCAAAAAAAAAAGTGAACTAAATGGACGGCCCTCAGAAAGCACCTTTTAGAATATTGCTGATCCTTGTTTTGTTTTTCAGAGTCAAAGAAACTTGAACTGTTCACGGCCTTTAATAATTGAGCAAGGTACTCTCCTGTGAACAAAATTTGGAGCATGTTTGTTTCTCTCCCTGGTTCCTCTAGAATTTGGAAACTATTTGTGAGTACTCTTATGGTGATACAGTTGGTTGCATCAGTGCAATAAGAATCCATTTTTCTTGGCCAGGCGTGGTGGCTCATGCCTGTAATCCCAGCACTTTGGGAAGCCGAGGCGGGCAGATCACAAGGTCAGGAGATTGAGACCATCCTGGCTAACACGGTGAAACCCCGTCTCTACTAAAAATACAAAAAATTAGCCGGGCGTGGTGGCGGGCGCCTGTAGTTCCAGCGACTCGGGAGGCTGAGGCAAGAGAATGGTGTGAACCCAGGAAGTGGAGGTTGCAGTGAGCCGAGATCACGCCACTGCACTCCAGCCTGGGTGACAGAGCCAGACTCTGTCTCAAAAAAAAAAAAAAAAAATCTCGGATACGCTGAACAAAGACAACTATCATTCCCATGCCCTCGGAGAGGGATTTAACCGAGACAGGAGATGGGGAGGCAGGTGCGGGACAATCTCATCCTAGAAAGACCGTCAGGGGGAAGCTCTTCTGGGCAGCGGCTCCTCAGGGAAGTTCTGCTGCCGCATTCTGATGTTACAGAAATGCTTCCTCGCCCTTCCTGGGAGGTGGTCTAATGCCACCCCAAACCTCCATCACTGACAGCCTCTCAGCATGGGGGAACTGGGTGTGAGGAAGCTGGGGAGGGCACTGGGGGAGGGTACAGGGGAAGAGGCACAGAGGGAGGACACGGGAAGAGGGTGTGGGGGAAGGACATGGGGGGAGGGCACAGGGGAAGAAGGCACTGGGGGGAGGGCACAGGGGGAGGGCATGGGGAAGAGGGCACTGGGGAAGAACACAGGGGAGGGCACTGGGGAGGGCACAGGGGAAGAGGGCACAGAGGGAGGACACAGGGGAAGAGGGTGTGGGGGAAGGACATGGGGGGAGGGCACAGGGGAAGAAGGCACTGGGGGGAGGGCACTGGGGGAGAGGGCATTGGGGGAGGGCATGGGGGAGGGTACTGGGGGAGGGCAGAGGGGGAGAGGACACCAGGGGAGGGCACTTGGGGGAGGGCAAGGTAGAGGGCACTGGGGGAGGGCACGGGGGAGAGGATACCAGGGGAGGGCACTGGGGGAGGGCACTGGGGGGAGAGGACACTGGGGGAGGCACTGGTGAGAGGGCACAGAGAAGCACTGGGGGAGGGGTTGGGGGCAGGGCTTTTGGGGGCACAGGGACTCTGGGGGGGTCTCCCAGAGGCGTCTCCTCTCCAGCAGCCCAGAACCAGATCCTCACTCTTGGGTGTCTTTGGGAACCCTCCCTCCTCTCCCCATGAGGCTGGAGGAGGCATCTCCAGGAAGCTTCAGATCCAGGACCTGCGACCTTGGGCACCCTCGGACCTGGGCATTTGCTGGTGGTTAGAGTCTTCCCGGGAACAGCGTCCTGATTCTCTGGGAATTCCAGGAATCAAGGGGCAGGCAGCCAAGGGGAGAGAGTAGAATGTGGTCAGACCACTCCTCCTGCACGGAGCACCGTCCTGGGGGCACATTGGAGGCTCCCCTGAGTCCAGGGCTCCGCAGAGCAAGCAGGGCTGGGCACGGCCATTGACAGGATTCCTGGCCGGGACAGGCACGGCCATGACGCTTAAGTCAGACGGAAAGCAGCAGCTCTGTGGCCGGAGGACTGAGAAGGGTCTGCAGATGCCGGCGAGATGCCAGCCCCAGTGCCAGCCGGTGTCCAGGTTCTTGACACCATCATGAGGAAGAATTCGGGATGAGTAGGAATGAGACAAAAGGCAAGAAGCTTTTATTGTGAAGTGAATGCCTGCGCACAGGAGAGGCACGGGCGTGCTCCGAGAGTGAGTCACACACAACGAGGCCTGAGTTTCTATTTTATGGGCTTTCCTAGTTAGAGGGTGGAATAATCATTAGATTTTCTAGGAAAAAGGTGACGATTTCTTAGAATTGGGGTGCCAGATATTTTTATACTAAATATGGGCATGGTTGGATCTGCCGTGACGCTGGTGTGTACGTGATTGTGAATGGCAGTCAGTGTGCAATTAGGTCTGGGGTGGGCACAGGTCAAGCCTAGTGCCACGGTGGATCCGGCCAGCCTCCTCCAACGTAGCCTCTCCTGCTTGTGGGGTCGAGGGTCTCATCAGTCCGGGCTCATCCCTGCCTTTGTGGCTCATTCTAACAGCTGCTTTCCGTGGCTCATTCTAACAGCTGCTTTCCATGGCTCATTCTAACAGCTGCTTTCCGTGGCTCATTCTAACAGTTGCTTTCTGTGGCTCATTCTAACAGCTGCTTTCTTGCTTTTCTGCAAGATTACTGTTTGATATTTCTCATTTCTCCTATGACCACCCAGCATTCCTATCTCATTGGCTAGGAAGGATTACTATTAAAAGTATTTTCTCTTTCTCTCTTTCTCTCTCTCTCTCTCTCTCTTTGAGGCAGGGTCTCGCTCTGTTGCTCAGGCTACAGTGCAGTGGCCTGATCTCGGTTCAATGCAGCCTCGACCTCCCAGGCTCAAGAGATCCTCCTACCTCAGCCTCCCAAGTAGCTGGGGCTACAGGCACTGGCCACCACGCCCGGCTCATTATTTTATTTTTGTGAAGATGGGTCTCACTGTGTTGTCCAAGCTGGTCTCAAATTCCTGGCCTCAAGAGATTGTCTCACTTCAGCCTCCCAGAGTGCTAGGATTACAGGCATGAGCCATCGCACCCAGCCCTAAAAATGCCATTCTTTCTAAAATTAAGCTATAACAGCTGGGCACGGTGGCTCACGCCTGTAATCCCAGCACTTTGGGAGGCCAAGGTGGGTAGATTATGAGGTCAGGAGTTAGAGACCAGCCTGGCCAACACGGCAAAACCCCGTCTCTACTAAAAATACAAAAATTAGCCAGGTGCACGCCTCTAATCTCAGCTACTAGGGAGATTGAGGCAGGAGAATTACTTGAACCCGGGTGGTGGAGGTTGCGTGAGGTGAGATCGTGCCATTGCACTCCAGCCTGGGCAACATAGTGAGACTCCATCCCCCCCAAATAAATAAATAAATAGAATTAAAATAAAGTGAAGCTATAAAGACAGTGAAATCCCAAAAGAAATACCAAGAAGATTGGCAAGTGAAGGGGCTCAGGGCAACATAACTGGATGTTCGAGGAGCACAGCCTTTTCAGGTGGAAAATAACAAGCTGGGTTGTGGATTCCACCAAAAGCAGAAACACATGCTGGGTAAGAATTTAAAATTAGCCTCATATTTTAAAACTTCCGAATATTATAAAATAGATAAATTAGAATTAGGTTAGCACAAGACAAGAACAAGAGCAACAAAACGACAAAGACTGAAGCAAACATTTTAGACTTTTTATCTGTGGTGCCTGCCTGTGGTGCCAGCTACTCAGAAAGCTGAGGCTGGAGGATCGCTTGAGCCCAGAAGGTCAGGGTACATTGAGCTACGATCCTGCCAGTGAACAGCCACTGCAAGCCAGCCTGGTCAACTACAGGAGACCCCATCTCTTAAAAAAAAAAAGCCTCCAAATATATGATTAAAAATTCCTAGAACCACAAGAAGAGGCTGCTAAGCCCCCACCATAGGAGGCCATTCCAACCTATCTCTCTTAATTACTGATAGCTCAAGCCCATACAAATTGACAAGTATATAAAAATACAAAAAATTAGCTGGGCGTGGTGGCGGGCGCCTGTAGTCCCAGCTGCTGGGGAGGCTGAGGCAGGAGAATGGCGTGAACCCGAGAGGCGGAGCTTGCAGTGAGCTGAGATCGTGCCACTGCACTCCAGCCTGGGCGACAGAGCGAGACTCCGTCTTAAAAAAAAAAAATTGACAAGTATATAAAAGACCTAACCTACCCCACTGACACCTTGACAGGAGGGACACCTGCAGAGACCCTTGCTCCCAACAGTCAGAGAATATTACATGTTGGAAGGACCCGTGAGACCCTTCCAGCCAGTGAGCAGTGGGTACAACTGAGTCATGCACAAATCTGTGGGGCCGGTTGGCTCGGCTCCCAGGAGGCTGCGAGTCTGTCCACGGGCCGAGGGCTTTGGGGGGCGGCCCCCAGGTGGCCGGGGGTGCGCGGGCAGAGTGAGCAGGACAGTGGGAGGGTCAGAGGCCCTTTCATAAAAGTGCGCAGAGCAGAGGAGCGATCCCCCTAGCTCCCCCACAGAGGGTGCTGCACCTGCGGCCCCTGCGGAGGTACTGGCTTGGCCAGCCCGGGAGGAGGGGCCCAGCCTGTTGGGACAGGAGATGGGGTGCAGGTGGAAGGCTCCAAGAGGCATCTGGGCTGGTAACGCGCAGACATCCCAGGTGGGTTGGAAGTGGGTCAAGGAGGCCTGGAGGACCCGGTGCCTGTGGGGGTGGCAGGCGGGCCACATCCTCCACTAGAACCCGAGGTGGCGGCGGGGTCAAGGATGACGAGTTATCTTCGGGACATTAGGAGGAAGCCCCACAGGCTGCAGTCACGTGGGTGGGCAAGGATGAAAGGCAAGGGAACCCAGAGAATCAAGTTACAAAGAAAAGCAAATGCCGCCAGCACAGTGGCTCACGCCTGTAATCCCAGCACTTTGGGAGGCCGAGGCGGGTGGATTGCCTGAGCTCAGGAGTTCAAGAAAAAAAAAGCCTGGCTAACATAGTGAAACCCGTCTCTACCAAAAATAAAATAAATAAATAAATAAAAGCTGGGCGTGGCGGCACGTGCCTGTAGTTCCAGCTACTCAGGAGGCTGAGGTAGGAGAATCGCTTGAACTAGGGAGGCGGAGGTTGCAGTGAGCCGAAATCGCACCACTGCACTCCAGCCTGGGCGACAGAGCAAGACTCTGTCTCCAAAAAAAAGAAAAGCAAATGCTCCAGGACCTTGGGGATTTTAAGAATATGCTGCCGAATAATTTGGAGAGTTAAACAGAAAATCATAACTGAAATCTACAAATTCCTCGAACAGAAAGGAAATGAAACTCCACATGTCACCTGGCACAGCAGAGGCTGTGATTCAAGGACAGGCTGAGGGTGAATGAATCCACACATCCGCTCTAAGATGCCTGATCCCAGCATTGTATAGAAATGGAAAGATACGGCCGGGTGCAGTGGCTCACGCCTGTAATCCAGCACTTTGGGAGGCCAAGATGGGCGGATCACAAGGTCAGGAGATCCAGACCATCCTGGCTAACACGGTGAAACCCCGTCTCTACTAAAAATACAGAAAAATTAGCTGGGCGTGGTGGCGGGCGCCTGTAGTCCCAGCTACTCAGGAGGCTGAGGCAGGAGAATGGTGTGAACCCAGGAGGCAGAGCTTGCAGTGAGCCGAGATTGCGCCACTGCACTCCAGCCTGGGCGACAGAGCGAGACTCCGTCTCAAAACAAAAAAAAGAAATGGAAAGATACTGCCCAGATGTGGTGGCTCACACCTGTAACCCCAGCACTTTGGGAGGCCAAGGCAGGCGGACCACCTGAGGTCAGGAGTTCGAGACCAGCTTGGCCAACATGATGAAATCCTATTTCTACTAAAACTACAAAAATTAGCTGGGCGTGGTGATACATGCCTGCAATCCCAACTACTCAGAAGGCTGAGGTGGGAGAATCAGTTGAACCTGGGAGGCAGAGGTTGCAGTGATCGAGACTGCAGCACTGCACTCCAGCCTGGGCAACAGAGACTCCGTCTCAAAAAAAAGAAAGAAATAAACGTGAGTGGATGGCTGTGCTGTTTGTATGGACCAGGAAAACTTCTAGAAGGATAGGTAAGGCAGTGTCCATAACTCAACCTGGGAATTGAAGCCAGGGTGGGGAGGAAAAGGCAACAGTTGGTTTCATTCTATTTTGTTTCTGTGCCTGTATTACTTCCAAAATAAACAAACTAGTTTCACTTTCACAACATGAAATGCTTTATCAGGATATGCGTTTTCCTCCAACCCCCAGTGGTGTCCCCTCACGGGACAAAAGCCTGCCAGCCTTCAGCTGCCCTCCAGAGCCTCACGGTGCAGGTGCTCCTGCCTAAGCAGCCGGACCCCCCTGCCCCCAGGAACTGCAGCCCCCTCTGAGTTGAGAGATCTAGTAGGCAGGAAAAAAGGAGAAGGAAGCTGTGGCTGCTGGGGGATGTGGCCTCGGGGACAAGCCCCTCTGTGCAGAGGACGTGGGCAGGTGGGATTTCAGCCCCCTCTCCAGCATCTCACTGGCAGCCAGGGTGGCTGGGGTTTCCCCGAGGGCGGGGGCTGGGGAATCTGACCTCTGTGCCCCGGCCATGGTGCCGTCTTGCTGGGAGGATGACAGGCTGTGTTTCACCTGCCAATTTGGCGACAGTTTCTCTTTTGGAACATCCCGGGGGACTTTGTTCTGTGCCACCCACCTCTGGACCCTGGGTCTGATGGCTGAGCTGCAGGCTCCAAGGTTCAGCGTCCAGTCTGGCCCTGCTCCGTCCATTCCCCACATTTGAGGGTTTCCCGGAGTTTGGTTCTGCTTCTTCCTCTCTTCCATGAAACTGGGGGCATTGCCCACGCCCCAGTGTCCCCCATCATCTGCCCGGTGGGGACTTGCCCACTCACGTGACTGCAGCCTGTGGGGCCTCCTCCTAGTGTCCCGAAGATACCTGGTCATCCTTGACCCCGCCCGCACCTGCCCGCGTGCCCCCTCGGGTTCTAGTGGAGGACGTGGCCCGCCTGCCACCCCGCCAGGCGCCGGGTCCTCCAGGCCTCCTCGAGCCACCTCCTGCCCACCTGGGATGTCTGTGGGTTCCCGGCCCGGATGCGTCTTGGAGCCTTCTACCCGCACCCCAATCTCCTGCCCCAACAGGCTGGGCCCCTCCTCCCGGGCTGGCCAGGCCAGCACCTCCGCAGGGGCCGCAGGACGCCTGAAGGCCCAGGCCGCAGGTGCAGGACCCTCTGCGGGGGAGCTGGGGGACATCACTCCTCTGCTCTGCGCGCTTTTATGAAAGGGCCTCTGACCCTCCGGGGGTCCAGCTCACTCTGCCCGCGCACTCCCAGGCATCTGGGGGCCGCCCCCCGCCCTCCCTCCCCGCGGCCCACTCGGCCCGCCCAGCTCGCCCCGTGCACAGACTCGAGGCCTCCAGGAGCGGAGCCAAACAGCCCCGCGGGGAACGCGCGCCGCACGCGAGCTGGACCCGCCCAGGCACGAACTCTCCTGGAAAAATGCTCCCGGCGGCTTTCCTGCTTCCTTTAGCGTGAACCGCGGGTGCGGTGCCTCCCGTGAAAATAATAAATTCACCGTCACGCTTGTTGTGAACGCGGGTGGTTCCCGAAACTTGGAGGCTTCCCGTAAACCCAGCTCCTTCCTCATCTGGGAGGTGGGTCCCGCGCGGGTCCGCCGCCTCCTCCCTGGCCCCTCCCTCTCGTGTCTTTCATTTTCCTGGGGCTCCGGGGCGCGGAGAAGCTGCATCCCAGAGGAGCGCGTCCAGGAGCGGACCCGGTGAGGCGCGGAGAGGGGCGGGCGGGGGAACCAGAGGGGCGGGCTCGGTGCTGGGGACTCGGTGCTGGGGACTCGGTGCTGGGGACTCGGTGCTGAGGGCCCGGTGCTGGGGACTCGGTGCTGGGGGCTCGGTGTTAGGGCCTCTTGGTGCACTGGGGTTGCCGGTCCGCGCAGGGATGGGGACTCTGGGGCTGCGGCGCCTCTGCCTCTGGGACCGTCACCCCCCGCTGGCCCTGAGCGTGCGTCGCAGGCCAGGCGGGCGGGGTCGCAGCGGGCGTACCCGAGTATGGGCGGGAACGAGCTGCCGGCCGGTGTGGGGACCCGCGTCCCTGCCCTGTGCGCCAGGCTCGACTCTTGAAGGGACAGAGGCGGCGTCTCGGACCCGGGGCTCCCCTAAGTCCGATGGGTCGGAGCCCCCTCCTCCCTTCCCGGTCCTCGGCCTCACCCGGGGTTCCCTGCGCCGTCGCTGCGACCAAGCTGGGAGCAAAACGCACTCGCTCATATGCGTGCACACAAGCTGGTGGACACACGCACATGAGCACACGCAGGCACGCGTGGACTGTTGCACACTCCACAGCCACAGCCTCGTGTGCACTCACAGCAAACTCATGAAACAGGAACCGTGAGGCTTCCCTCACCCGGCAGGCCCTCAGCTGCCCGTTCTCACGCGGGTTTTGCTGACTCCGCAGTAATCACCACATTCAGTTCCTTGCCCACTACTGGTGAATCACCTGCAGCTTGAGAAGCACGTTTTCTGCCGGTGGTCAGCAGAGGATCCCCGGCTTCTAGGAGGCCCAGGGCGACCGGCTGCAGGAGCCCGCGTAGGAGGCCTGTCTCCAGCAGGGCGGGGGTGGTGGCAGGGCCTCTCCACGGGGCTGCTGCTGAGCCCAGAGCGGGAGGACAGGAGGCCACCAGCAGAGGGGACAGGTGAACAGGTGCTGAGCAGGAAGGGTTAGCCCGGTCTAGCCCCAGGCCTGGGGGGCTTTGCTGCTCACCTGGGGTCCCCTCTGGGCCTGGCTCAGCAGAGACCAGGGCAGAGCCGTCCACACCGTGGGCCTGGGTGGGGTCCATGGCCTCTGCAGGCTGCAGCTGTCTTCTGAGAGGTGTTGGTGTGCTCATTCTCGGTAGAGACGTGGGGTCACCTGTGTTCCCTGAGCCCCTGCAGCAGCTGGGAAAGCAGTGTCAGCCACCCCTCAGGTGCTGTGGGGGTACAGAGTCCACTGACCACACAGGAGGACCCCAATGAACCCAGCCCGAGGGGGCCGGAGCTTCCACACACCCAGCACCCATGGGAGCCGGGACAGGCAGGCGCCCGGGGCACCAGGGAGCGGGAACAGGCATGCGCAGGCGTGCTGGGCGGTGCGTGAACTTTCCTAGGCGTGTCACTGGCATGGCTCCAAGCCTGCGCATCATCGCTTGTCAGGGAGCACTCAGACCCTGCCGTGTCTGGTGCCGGCGCCTCAGATACCGACCCCTGTGTTCGTGGTTTGAGAGAAATCTGATTGCCGCCTCCATCTTTTCCCGCTCTAGAAGTTTGTTTTTTGTTTTGTTTGGTTTGAGACGGAGTTTCGCTCTTGTTGCCCAGGCTGGAATGTAGTGGCCAGATCTTGGCTCACCACAACCTCCACCTCCCTGGTTCAAGCGATTCTCCTGCCTCAGCCTCCCAAGTAACTGGGATTACAGGCGTGCACCACCACGCCCGGCTAATTTTTTTGTATTTTTAGTAGAGACGGGGTTTCACCACGTTGTTCAGACTGGTCTCAAACTCCCGACCTCAGGTGATCCACCTGCCTCAGCCTCCCAAAGTGCTGGGATTGCAGGCATGCGCCACCGCGCCCGGCCCACTCTAGAAGTTTTGAGGCTCCGTGCGCCTCGTCTCCCTGTACCTGGTCTCCCTGTGCCAGGTCTCCCTGTGCCACACACGGAGCTGCCCGGCCAGTCACCGCCCACCTGGCCACTTTCCCTGGGGCCGCGCCCTGCCGCCTGCCCTCTCTCTGATTTTTAGCCACTGCGTGGCATTCAACTCAAGCCCACGCCTCTGGTCAGGAGGATGGCAGGAGAGGACTCAGGCAGACGGGCAGAGTGGCAGAGCTGCCAACAAAAACGCAGGATACCCAGTAACATCTGAGTTTGAGATCGTTAATCGTGTTTTAATATAAGTGTGTCCCGAGTGTCCCACGGGACAAGCTTTCACCAGGACATCATTGGTTGTTTATCTGAGACTCAGATGTGACCAGATGTGCCTGGTGACCTGAGAGGGGCCTGTGTTGCCAGGGTGCGTTTTCTTCTGATAAACGGAGCAAATTCCCACAGCAACCCAAAGTCGCTGACACCTGCTGCCCAGACAGAGCTGGGGCCACGCATGGTCCGCAGCCTGAAGCCTCGGGGTAGAGCCAGACCTGCCGCTCTCCTCCCGGTCTCCCCCCAGCTCCCTACCCCCTGAGCCCTTCAAAGTCATTCTCAAGCCAAAGACAGGGGTCTTCCAGGCCCAGGGCTCCCCTCCACGGCTGACTCATTCCACACCTTTCCCGCCACTTGCCGGGTGTGGACCGACAGGAAGGGCACCGCCACCTGCTCCTAGTACCCTCCAGCCCATCCCTTGCCGCCCTTCACCCCTGGCTGGACAAGGGTCAGGGTCGCCAACATTGGAGGGCACTCAGTGGGGAGCTGGTGAAGGTGCTGGGAGGAAGGGAGGACCGGGGAGAGGCAGTGAGAGGACCCGCGTGTGAGAAGCAGCGGCCGCCACCACAGTTGGGCTAAAGGGACTTGGTGGGGAGGCAGCATCTCCGGAACGGTGCAGTCCAGGCCGCCAGGGGCTGAGACCATGGAGAGGATGAGGCCAGAAAGACGGACAGTGCCAGCTTCTCACTCCCACCCCCCTCTCCCCAACCACTGCAGCCCAGGGCCCCAGGTCTTCAGGAAGCAATCGGCAGGGAGGCTAGGAGCCAGCACTGCAGGGTCCACCCTCGGTGGCAGAGGCATCTAGGAGCAGCTGTAGCCCCCGAGAGCAGAGGCTCCACCGAGCTGCTGGCCCCATGGAATGCACAGCGGGCAGACTTGGGACACTCAGGGTGGAGGGGAGGCAGATGCAGCCACTGCCAGGCGGGAGGAGCTTGGCATGAAGCCAGGTGCGTGCAGCTGGCCCTTGGGGGCCTCCAGGACCCAGCTGCTGAGGTCTGGCTCAGGGTGCAGCTCTCTGCCGAGTCAGGGCTGACTCAGGACACAGACGGGTGGCAGAGCCAGCACCTGGGTGGGCAGGTGGGGTGGACGCAGCGCTGTCGGGGCTCTCTGGGGATCTGTGACCTTTGGCTGTGTGCCCAGAATTCCCACCCCTAACACATGGCAGGGGCAGTCCCTGGAAGCATTTGTGAAACAGACTCAGATGGCCTCCAGGCTCCAGGTGAGGGCAGGACTCCCCAGAGCAGCCTGGGGAGAGCAGCAGGGCATCCCCTCCCGGACACGGTCGGCGGGGTGGTGCGGAGAGCAGTGGGGGAGCCCCCAGCAGCCCCGACCCTCCCTGCTGTCCATCTGCACGGTTCCAAGGTGGGTGGCTGAGCTGGCATCGTGGAGCGTGGGGTGAGGGAGCCGGACCCAGGCCCCCTGGGGTCTCCTTGTGTGAACCTCACCTCCATGCAGGGGTCTGCAGGTGGCCTGGGTCTCCCACCGCACTGGGGGTGGGGGTTCTGTGGTCGGCTACCAGTCCCCAAAGATGTCACGTCCTCATCCCAGAACCTGACATGGCAAAGAGACTATGCAGATGGGATGAAGCCTCGGGTGCTGAGCTGGGGCATGTGTCCTGGGTCACCCAGGGGGGCCCTTGATGCCATCACAGGGTCTCCAGGAGAGGGAGAGAGGAGGGGGAGTCAGGGAGATGAGGGAAGCAGCTGGGGGGCAGTGGTGGGGAGATGGCAGAGGGGCCATGAGCCGAGGGATGCGGATGCCTCTGGACGCTGGAGACGGAGAGGGACAGATTCCGCCTGGAGCCTCCAGAAGGGACCACCCTGACCCACCCCTTGATTTTAACCCAGGGAGACCCCGTCGGACTTCCAGCTAATCTAGAATGCTGGACGTATGATGGGAGATGGGGCCCGAGCCTGTCTCCAAGCCCATCTGAGCAGCCCTGAGGGGTCACAGCAGGAAAGGGGGTGTTAGTGAGGGGCCACAAAAGGTCTCAGGTGTGGGTTCCCTCCCCTTGCACTCAGCCCTGACAGGGTGGGGTGGGGTTTCCAACAGAAGGGACTGGACTTGTACTGAGCATAGCGGCTGCCTGGAGTGGGGAACCCAGACCTCAGGACACGGCACCCGCAGCCTGCGCCAATGTGGGACCATCCCTGAGCCTCAGCAGCACCTCGGGGTTGGTGACGTGCCTCCCAGCAGTGACAGTGTCCCCACACCTGCACTCTGCGGCTGGCAGGGTCTTCCACGTGGAGGCAGGACCATGGTGAGAGTATGGGAATGACCGGGTGGCTGCCTGTGGCTGTGCAGGGCCCAGGGATGACTAGAGGCATGTTCACAGGGGGTTGGAGCGCTTGGGGCAATGGGACGAGAAGGCCGGAGCCCGTCTGCAAGCCAGGTCCTCAGCAGGCCCAGACTCCAGGCTCCAGGAGGACCCCTGGTAACATGGGGTCCCCGGGGTTGGTGACGTGTCCTGCTGTGACACTTTCTGGTGGTTTATTTGTTTGGAGAAACACACATCTATAAATCTATAGACATCTATAAATAGCACGTCTGAAGGTCGCTTTACAGAGTTCCCTCATGGGAGTTCCCTGCAGGTCATCTGCACTCCGGCGTGTGGGCTGCACTGGGAGCTGGGAGAGGCAGGGCTGGAGTTGCCGCCCTACCTAGGGACTTTTCCTAGCAGGGGTGCAGGCACCCGAGAGGCAGGGCAGCCTGGCCACGAACCCTTGCCCCAGCCGCCTTCGAAGGTGGAGTTCTCTCGGCTGAAAGGCGTGTCCTGCCAGGGCTCCTGCTGGGCCTTACCCGCTGCCCCACCTGGAACAGACCCAGGCTGCCTCCCCTCACTTTCCCTTCCCTGGTCCCTTTCAAAGTCCAGCAGGAACGTCAACAGGTTCATGCAAAAGCACGTCACCTGGTCCACGTGAGGGCCTGACCTTTGACCAGCCCAGGCATCGGCCCAGACCCCACCGGCGGGACTGACTGAGTTAGGGTTGGGGTTAGGTTAGGGTAGTCTCCTGTGCAAGGCTGAGCTCCTGCGTGGAGGCAGGTGGGGCTTTGTGGAGCTTCCACACAGGGACCCTCATCCCCCAGCCACTCTCAGGGGATCCAGATCCACACGGATCCAGCACCTCCTGTATGCAGGGCATGAGTGGGGACCCCGTGGGAAGCACAGAAGCGGCGACCTCGCTGGGGCCTGTGAGAGGCTCATCACTGCCTGTGGGGCCCTCCCCCAGCACCGTGGGTGTGTGCCCTGGAGCCGCCTCTGCCTGGCGGGAGAGGAGCCACACAGCTAGGGGGCCCCTAGTGTTTGCAGGCCTGAGACAAGATGGCACAAGGAGGCTCGCCTGCTGGAAGCTGCCCAGCAGCCTGCCTTGCCAGTGAGAGCAGCAGAGGTAAAGCTGACTTGCGCATTAGGAACACACAGAGGTGTAAACGATGGATTCGAAAGGAACGCAACTGAGTGCTGCCCCGGGAGGGGGGCTGGTGGACGGGCAGGGTGGTGGGGGGGCTGGTGGACAGGCCGGGGAGGCTGATGGACAGGCTGGGGAGGCCGGTGGACGGGCAGGGTGGGGGGGCTGGTGGACGGGCTGGGGGGGCCGCTGGCTGCAGGTTGTGGTCAGCGCTGGGCTTGGCTGGGGGAGTCGGACCCTGGGTGCTGGTCATGTGAGGGTCTCTGTGAGTGACTGGAGGTCTGGACAGGACCCACGAGGAGACAGACACGCTCCAAGAATTGTAATGCCGAAGCTCTGTGCCCTGGGTGTGCAGTGATATCAAACACATGCTCCTAGGTAGACGGAAAATTGGTTTCATGCTTAGCGTTGGTGAGGGGCTGGGGCTGGAGGCTGGTCTTAGTATAGTGTTAGGTCAGACACGGCTACCAACGATTCCACCTGTCCTGACCCATTTCTATAGGAAACATGCTCAGGCACAGTTACGAGTAATTTATTGTAAAACAAAAGGGCTGACCCGCAAGGCAGATGGGGTCCCCGCTGTGCTGCGGGCAACTCTGTCTCCCGCCCCCGCGTGTCTTCTTTGTTTCGTGAGGTCAGCATTGCACACCCTCTACAGGCACAGGGAAGGGAAGGAGGGCAGGGGCTCCAGCATCCAGAGCAGGTCGGGGAAGAGCTCGGGGACCCCCAGCCTCCCAGCCCCCGCCAGGTGACAGCCGCTCCCGCTGTCCCCTTCAGCAGCTGCAGGGGGCTCTGACCCATGGGCTTTCCTTCCTCCAGGGAGTGTTTCAAGAGCCAGTGACAAGGACCAGGGGCCCAAGTCCCACCAGCCATGCAGACCTGCCCCCTGGCATTCCCTGGCCACGTTTCCCAGGCCCTTGGGACCCTCCTGTTTTTGGCTGCCTCCTTGAGTGCTCAGAATGAAGGTAGGTCTCGGGGCCCCGCCTCTCTGCTGGGGAAAGGGGGGCCCGGTGGGGGCATGACAGGGGCAGGAGGGGTGGACTGAGGTTGGGTCCAGGTGCCACCAGACCCCCGATAATGACTGACTCTGCAGACCCAGGGCCTGACCATGTGGAGCTGGGCTGCCTCAGGTGGCGGTGAGTGGACCGTGTCCCGCCGTGGGTGGAGGGTGGTGGTGAGTGGGCCGTGTCCCGCCGTGGGTGGAGGGCGGTGGTGCCCGCTGTGGTACCTGGTGGTCACTGTCAGAGCAATTGTGGGGAAGGACCAAGATCACGACCAGTTTCCAAGGGAGAGGGTCTGGGTCAGTTGCGACCTGTGCCATGGCCGGGAACAGACAGCAGCCCTGGCCTGGGGGCTCCTTAGTCAGGCGCACCTCAGGCCTGCCAGGAGTGGATCTGCATTTGAACAGGGTCCCCCAGTGAGATCCTCCCCAGCTCTCTAGATCCCCAACCTGTCAGCAAAGTGACCTGAGGGGCTTTTCTTTTCTTATCTTTTTTTTTTGAGACGGGTTCTACCTCTATCGCCCAGGCTGGACGCCCAGGCTGGAGTGCAGTGGTACAATCACAGCTCACCGCAGCCTCGACCTCCTGGGCTCAGGTGATCCTCCCACCTCAGCCTCCCGAGTAGCTGGGACTACAGGCATGCACACCATACCTGGCTAAATTGTGTATTTTTTGTAGAGATGGGGTTTTGCCATGTTGCTCAGGCTGGTCTCAAACTCCTGGGCTCAAGTGATCCTCCCACCTCGGCCTCCCAAAGTGCTGGGATTACAGGCGTGAGCCACTGAGCCACCCGAGGGGCTTTTAAAAGATGTCAGAGCTCAGCCACATCCCAAACCACATCCCAAAGCAGTTCAGTCAGAATCCTAAGAACGAACAAAAAACAAAACAAAACTGAAAGGGAAGAATCCCAGGTGGAAGAACCCTGGTTTCGGGAGATTCTGCCCCCACCCCCCAACAGTGGTTCCAAAGTGTAACTGGGCTGGGGCACCCCCTGGACAGCCGCCCGCTGCCCTCGGGACGGTGTGAATTTGTGCAGTGGCCTTAGAGGCCCTGCAGTCCCTGAACACTCAGAGCGTCCAGGCAGGCAGCCAGCCTGCTCGTCAGAGGAAACTCAGTCCAGCCCGAAGGCCAGGTGCCCCTGAAGCCCACCTCCTCCCATGGGCACCAAGGCCCCTGGCACTTGCCAGCACATGGCACCCACCATGTGGTTTTGTATTTGGTGAAATGTGGCCAAATGGCGGCTCCAACCAGCATGCTGTGTGCTCCCCGAGAGCTCACCCTGCCGTCCGTCTGTCCGTCCATCCGTCCGTGTCCAGTCACTGGTGGACGCTGACGCAGCAGGGACAGTAGCAGCACCAAGACCTCAGGCTGGTACCATGCTCGGGCCCGACGGCCTGAATCTCAGGCATCCTTGAGCTGGCTGCTGGGGCAAAGGCCCCAGACCCTCTGAGGGAAGCAGCTGCACGGGTCGCTATGGGGCAGGGTTCACCCAGGAGGCGGGAGAGAGAGACTGACACGCCGGCTTGTGTCAAGGACTTGACCTCCCAGGACTGTGGAGCTGTGTATGGAGCTGGCCCAGCAACCTGGAGCTGAGCGGGTGGCCGGGAGGGGAAAGGGAATGTTGGGGGTGGCACAAGCAGGCTGGGCCCCACAAGGACAGGCTGGAACCCATGTCTGCTCTGCTTGCCTCTGAGGCTGGCCTGTGGGTGTCTGCAGAAGCCCTGCCCTTCCTCACGCAGCCGAGCACCTGCACCTGGCCTAGGCCTTGGAGAAACAGGAGGGAGCTGGGGGCGGTGGGGCCTGGCCACTGCTTCCCACGAGGAGGGTGATTCGGCAGGTCAGTGGCAGCACTCCTGCCACAGCGCAGCCGCCCGGCACACACCTGAGGCTCTGACTTCACCCACCCCAGTGGAAATATACAGGGGAGGGAGTTGATAGGAAATGCCTTCGTCCAAGCTGACACACCCCAAGGAACAGACGTGGGTGTGAGCACGCACACACACACACATACACACACACAGAGCCACCCGTCTTTTTTGTTGCTATTTTATTCTTCCCACACGAGATATATGTGCTGATTGGGTCGGGTGGATGTATACATAGTTCACTGTGTCCCTTAGAGGCCCTGTCTCCTGCCCTGGCCCTGGCCCTGGGCACAGCAGCCAGCCAATGCCCTGAGGTCCAGCCCTGATCCGTGTGTGCCTCTGTCTGGCCCTACAGGCTGGGACAGCCCCATCTGCACAGAGGGGGTAGTCTCTGTGTCTTGGGGCGAGAACACCGTCATGTCCTGCAACATCTCCAACGCCTTCTCCCATGTCAACATCAAGCTGCGTGCCCACGGGCAGGAGAGCGCCATCTTCAATGAGGTGGCTCCAGGCTACTTCTCCCGGGACGGCTGGCAGCTCCAGGTTCAGGGAGGCGTGGCACAGCTGGTGATCAAAGGCGCCCGGGACTCCCATGCTGGGCTGTACATGTGGCACCTCGTGGGACACCAGAGAAATAACAGACAAGTCACGCTGGAGGTTTCAGGTGAGGGGAGGCTCGGGGAAGCAAGGGGGAGGGGAGTGAGAGGGGACACGGGGAGGGGAGGGGGCCTGGGCAGGGGGAGGGCTGAGACTGAGAGGGAAGGAGGAGGAAGAAGAGCAGGCATGAGCCGGGCTGCCAGGAGACAGGGTTGGCGGGTAGAGAGTTGGGGTGGAGGCCTCTTGACCTCCTGGGACAGTTCTTCCTTTGGGAGGGGCAGGGGTCAGGCAGGAGGCTCAGGGGGCACAGACCCCACAGTGGGGTGGGACCCACAGAGGGCAGCCGGAGTCCCACAAACAACACAGAACACAAAGCTGCTCCTCAAAGGAGCCCAGTCTGCCTGTCAGGGGTGGGGGCTGCACCCTGCAGCCAGGAAGCCCAGGCACCCCCCGCCTCCCTGCCACCCCCACCCCGGCTGTGTGGGGAAACTGCACCCCAAATACCTGTGCTCTGAGAGGCCCTCCAGACCCGCAGCACCTGGCTTCGAGGCACCTGCCCTCCCTTTACTGGGGTCACCCAGAGGTGCTCAAGGTCGCCCGCGCAGCACCCTTAGTGACCACGAACAGGGGCCTCCCAGGCTGCCACGGTCCTGCCCCGCCCCTCCCACTCCCACTCCCATGTTGTCCACCTCGACAAGCACCTAGACCACACCTGCCCTCGCCACTCCTGTCTTCAGGGCTGGGACCACCCCCGACCCTTCTCTGTCCCCACCCCTCTCCTCCTGCCCTCAGGGGATGCTCGCTGCCCCACTCTCTGCCTCAGCTCCCCCGACACAGGCATGATCACCACCCACTCATGTCCCCACTAGCCCAGCCCACTGCTCCCTCTGCCTCTTCTCCCCCGACTCAGGGCCCACAGCCGTCACCACCAGCTACTTATCTGGTTCAACCAGAAAGCAGTGGTGGCCAGCAGAGCAGCCCCCAGGCCCTCTGTTCTGCCCTCCAAGCCCCTCCCACCTGCTCCCTAGGCCCTGAGCGGCCACCCCACCGTGCGGGGCCACTGACCCCTCTAGTCACCAAACCCACTCCCCACCCCTCCCCTCCCTTTCCTGCAAAGCTCAGGAGCCTCCACGGCCCCTCCCAGCCCTCCCACCTTCACCACACCCGGTTCCGACCTACCCGGGTCACCCAAATTGGGTTCCGCTTTGCTCTCCACCCCCAGGGCATCTGGTGAGCCCTTCCTGGGCTCAGGCATGAGGCTCCTCAGATACCTGGCCCTGGGTGGGCCACAACAGGGCAGGCCCCTCCCCTGCCCTTGCATCTCTTCCCCAGAACCCCGAGGCCTGAAGGACCGGGCCAGCGCGCAGCTCCTGGGACCTGGCACATCCAGGGGTAGATGTTTCCCTCGCTGCCCCGACACACCTGCGCTCTGGGTCTCCTTCCACCTCTGGTCCTGCGCCCCCTCTCCTCCTGGCTCCCTCCCACCCCTGTACCTCCTGGGCAACGGCGGTGCCGTCTTCCAAGGCTCATTCTCACCCCAGGGAGTGTGTAGGAGGAGGAGGCTGGGAGCTACACGGAGGAGGTAGGGGGTGGGGGATGCCCAGCCCACCTGTACACCCCTGAACTGCCTCCTTCAGGTGCAGAACCCCAGTCCGCCCCCGACACTGGGTTCTGGCCTGTGCCAGCGGTGGTCACTGCTGTCTTCATCCTCTTGGTCGCTCTGGTCATGTTCGCCTGGTACAGGTGCCGCTGTTCCCAGCAACGCCGGGAGGTAGGAGGCCCTGCACCCCAGTTTGTGCGGGGTGGGGAGTCTTGGGTGGGGCTGCCCCAGGCTGAGGTCAGCCTTACTGTCCTGCACCTGCTGGGGCTCCAGGAGAGGGTGGGGGGAGCACCGGTCCCAGAGAGCCAGTCCCCGCCAGGGGCCCAGCCGGCTATGGTCAAGAATACAGAGCCAGGCTCCCCACCCAGACCCGCCCTGCCCTTCCTGCAAGCTCTCACTGTCCCCAGGACTCCCTGGAGGGCAGCATGGCAGGGTGCGTGGTCTCCATCAGGGACGGAACTTGGAGTTTCTGAGCCAAGGGAGCCTCTTGCTGAGGGTGCCTTGGGGAGTGGGTTCAACCTCCAGCAGTTTCAGAACCCAGGCGAGGGCTGGGAGTGTGCCTGGGGGTGGGGGTGTGCATGAGCACGTATGCCCGTGAGTGTGAACGCACGCCCCAGGGCAGAGCTGTGGGCACGGGGGCGCGCGGCTCACACAGGCACCTCCTTCCTCCCCCTGCAGAAGAAGTTCTTCCTCCTAGAACCCCAGATGAAGGTCGCAGCCCTCAGAGCGGGAGCCCAGCAGGGCCTGAGCAGAGCCTCCGCTGAACTGTGGACCCCAGACTCCGAGCCCACCCCAAGGCCGCTGGCACTGGTGTTCAAACCCTCACCACTTGGAGCCCTGGAGCTGCTGTCCCCCCAACCCTTGTTTCCATATGCCGCAGACCCATAGCCGCCTGCAAGGCAGAGAGGACACAGGAGAGCCAGCCCTGAGTGCCGACCTTGGGTGGCGGGGCCTGGGTCTCTCGTCCCACCCGGAGGGCACAGACACCGGCTTGCTTGGCAGGCTGGGCCTCTGTGTCACCCACTCCTGGGTGCGTGCAGACCCTTCCCCTCCACCCCCCAGGTCTTCCAAGCTCTGCTTCCTCAGTTTCCAAAATGGAACCACCTCACCTCCGCAGCACCCGACTTACCAGGACGCATGCCCCTCCCTCTGCCCTCATCAAACCCACAGACCCGGACTCCCTTTCTGCCACCCCAGGCTGGTCCGGCCCCAGGTGTGGGGTCCGCTCTCTCCACTCCCAGGGCTCCGCGCCCAAGTGAGGGGGCCCCTGCCGGAGCCTCAGACACACTCCAGTTCAGGGCTGTGGGGGGCCTTGGCCACATACCTGTCCCTTGGCTATGAGCAGGCTTTGGGGGCCCTTCCGCGGCAGCCCCGGGGGCCGAGGTAGGGTCGGGGGCTTAGAGGCTGGGATGGCTCCTGGCCCCACCGCCAGGGGGCAGCGCAGGCCGGGCTGGGAGGCGGCGGCGGCGGCTCGGGCTGGGGGGTCAGGTGGACGCCGCCCTCCGGGGCTGGACGCGCATCCCTCAGTCCCTCGGCCACCCGGGGGTCGCTCCCTCGTGCCCACCGCACCTGCCGAGCCTCTTTGGACCCAGATCTGTTCATGCTTTTGTCTTCGTCACTGCGGCGGGGCCCTTTGATGTCTTCATCTGTATGGGGTGGAAAAATCACCGGGAATCCCCCTTCAGTTCTTTGAAAAAGTTCCATGACTCGAATATCTGAAATGAAGAAAACAAACCGACTCACAAACCTCCAAGTAGCTCCAAATGCAATTTTTAAAATGGAAAACAAAAATCTGAAAGAAACGTCTTTAGTGGCTTTAAGCCCCAAAACGTCCCTAAGGCGTCCTCGAGATGAAGACGGGGGGGAGCCCCCAGCCAGGTGGAGACCCCGCAGGGACGCGGCGGCGCCCGGTGACCGAGGCCTCGCACAGCCGGCCGCCCTGAGGGTCGGGCCGGAGCCAGGGTCCAAGAGGGGCGCGTTTGTGTCTCGGGTTAAAATAAGGTTCCGTCCGCGTGCTGGGTCAGACCCTGTTCTGTGGGCACAGCGCCCGGGACCCCCGCACGGGGGTCACACCTGCCTACACAGGCTGAAGAGCATTGGCGTGTCTTCAGGTCAAAGTTTTTCTTTCTCTTTTTTCTTTTCTCTTTTTTTTTTTTTTTTTTTTGGAGATAGGGTCTAGATCTGCCGCCCAGGCTGGAGTACACGGTCGCGATCACGGCTCGACCTCCTGGGCTCAAGCGATTCTCCCACTCTGGCCTCCCAAAGTGTTGGGATTACAGGCATGAGCCCCTGAGCCCAGCCTCAAAGTCACTTTGAAATCGGTAGTGCGGTCGCCATGTCCCCTGCGCACCCAGGCAGGAAACCCAGGAGGAGAGCCTGGGGCTGGAGTCCGTGAGGATTTTCATCTTTTCCTGGTGGCTTATCTCTGCTTCTGTTTTCCCTACTGGGATTTAGTGCTGGTCCTCACGCTGCCTTCCCCCTCCGTGTGTGGAAGTCTGTGTCTCCCTCTGCAGCCCCCAACCCCACCCGGCCCCATGCTGTCCTCAGACACACCAGGCACGCTCTGGCCTCAGGGATTCTGCCCTACTGATCCCGCTGCGTGGAATGCTGTTCCCCGGGGCCCCAGTTGGTTTCACCCACGGCCCGTTCCTGGGTTGGCCTTTGAGGGCCACACCCACACCCTGTGTCCTGCTGGCTGTCCACCTGGCCTCCCTGAGGTCAGCTCCAGGCGGGAGGGCTCCTGGTCCACACTGCCCCCTGCTCCTGGCACAGACGCTGGCATAAAGACGCCCGGTGAACGTTGGTGACCCAATGCATGCATGGAGCAAAGGCCAGAGGAGGGGCTGCTCCGGCAAGTGCTGTTACCCACCGCCTCGAGCCACAGCCTTGCTAGGGTGCTCCAGGGTCTCTGCGCAAGATTCTGCCCCCAAACCCTCTGTCTCTCGTTTATGGAGAGCCTGGGGGAGGAAAACCGGCTCCCCCAGGACCCTCGGCCCAGCAGAAAACCTGCACCACCCCACAGCCCCACCCGTGTCTCCGCACCGGCTGCTGTGGCTGGGACTTCTGGGGAAGGAGCTCAGGGCTGCAGGTCCGTGTGTGAGTCACGGGCACACATCTCTGCACACACGCGTGAGTCACGTGCACCCTTCTCTGCACACACACGTGTCCACATGCACCCGTTTCTGCACACACGCATGGAGTCGCGCACCCGTCTCTGCACACACGCATGGAGTGACGCGCACCCGTCTCTGCACACACGTGTGTCCACACGCACCCCTCTGCACACATGCGTGGAGTCACGCGCACCCGTCTCCTCACACACGCGTGTCCACACACACCTGTCTGCACACGAGTGTCCACACATTCCCGTCTCTGCACACGCATGTCCACGCGCTCCCGTCTCTGCACACACACGTGTCCACACGCACCCCTCTCTGCACACACACATGTCCACACGCTCCTATCTCTGTACACACGCGTGGTCATGCACACCCGTCTCTGCATACATGTGTGGAGTCACGCGCACCCGTCTCTGCACACACGCGAGTCACGCACACCCGTCTCTGCACACACACGTGTTCACATGCACCCGTCTCTGCAAACACGTGTGGAGTCACGCACACCCGTCTCTGCACATGCGTGGAGCCATGCGCACCCGTCTCTGCACACACGCGTGTCCACACGCACCCGTCTCTGCACACACATGCGTGGAATCACGCGCACCCGTCTCTGCACACACGCGTGGAGTCATGCGCACCCATCTCTGCACACACACGTGTCCACACGCACCCGTCTCTGCACATGCGTGTCCACACACATCCATCTCTGCACACACGCGTGTCCACATGCACCCGTCTCTGCACACATGCATGGAGTCACGCGCACCCGTCTCTGCACACACAAGTGTCCACACACCCGTCTCTGCACACGCACGTCCACACGCACACGTCTCTACACACGCACGTGTCCACACGCACCCGTCTCTGCACACCCGCGTGTCCACACGCACCCGTCTCTGCACACACGCATGGAGTCACGCGCACCCGTCTCTGCACAAAGTGTCCACACACACCCGTCTCTGCACATGCGTGTCCACACACACCCGTCTCTGCACACACGCGTGTCCACACACATCCGTCTCTGCACACACGCGTGGAGTCATGCGCACCCATCTGCACACACACGTGTTCACACGCACCCGTCTCTGCACATGCGTGTCCACACACACCCGTCTCTGCACACACGCGTGTCCACACGCACCCGTCTCTGCACACACGCATGGAGTCAAGTGCACCCGTCTCTGCACACACGTGTCCACACACACCCGTCTCTGCACACGCACATCCACACGCACACGTCTCTGCACACGCACGTGTCCACACGCACCCATCTCTGCACATGCGTGTCCACACACACCCGTCTCTGCACACACGTGTCCACACGCACCCGTCTCTGCACACACGCATGGAGTCACACGCACCCGTCTCTGCACACACAAGTGTCCACACACAGCCGTCTCTGTACACGCACGTCCACACGCACACGTCTCTGCACACACACGTCCACACGCACCCGCCTCTGCACACGCACGTGTCCACACGCATCCGTCTCTGCACACACACGTGTCCACACGCACCCGTCTCTGCACACACACGTGTCCACACGCACCCGTCTCTGCACACACATGTCCATACGCACCCGTCTCTGCACACACACGTGTCCACACACTCCTGCTCATGTGCTGCACCTACTGGCTTTGGGCACCAACGTCAACGCTTCGTCATTGTGGCGGGAGGCCCTCAGGACAGAGAAGTGCCCCCTCCCAGAGGACTCAGTCACCCTGGGGTCAGAGCCCAGGCACAGGTCTCCCTCAGCCCCTGAAGCTGGGCACTGCGGCCTGACGCACTCCTCCCAGGGAGGTCGGGAAACCTCAGGCCTGGACCATACCTCAGACCTCCCGCCTCCAGGACATGGAACGCAGAGCCACGGTCAGCTGGTCGGCTGCAGCGTTGGGTGCGGGTGCAGGCCCAGGCTCCTTCCCCACGGCCAAACCAGGGGGTGCCAATTCTGGCCTGCCCTGTGCTCCTCTGCACTGTGTGGGTGACTCATGGGTCATGGGTGGCTCCAGATTTCTGGGCATAAATTGGGTCCCAGCAGAAAGTACCCCAGAGGACCAGGCAGGCTGGGGGCCAGCTCTGCCGCTCACTTCCAGACCCTGCCACCCGTCCCCAGCCAGGGAGTCCCTTCTCTGTCCTCTGGTCTGCCCCGCCCCAGGCCTTGACCTCCTCCCTGTGGAGATGCAGGGGCAGTGGGGGATACAGGGACGCCCTGCTCTCAGGGCAGCTCTCAGGGAGGCAGTGCTGGGGAGGGGTAGGTGAGACCGCCCCTCCCACCGGGCCCACAGCACCACCCTGGTCTGAGGCACCGCCTCCAGGAAGCCCTCTCTGAGCTCTGAGCGCCTGCGGTCTCCTGTGTGCTGCTCTCTGTGGGGTCCTGTAGACCCAGAGAGGCTCAGCTGCACTCGCCCGGCTGGGAGAGCTGGGTGTGGGGAACATGGCCGGGCCTCCGAGGCTCCTGCTGCTGCCCCTGCTTCTGGCGCTGGCTCGCGGCCTGCCTGGGGCCCTGGCTGCCCAAGGTAAGAGCTTCCCAGGCTCTCCATGGCCACAGCTCCAGAGCTCTCCCTGCCCCATGAGCTCAGAGCCCCCAGTCTGAGCCACAGCACAGCCCCCAGGAAGCGGGTGGGGTGCTGAGCGGCCTCCAGTGTCTGAGGACTCATTTAAGAGAAGGAAAAAGGGTGGACCCCGGTGGGGAGTGGCCGGGGCTGTCCAGGCAGGGCCGCTGCTTTGGGAGGAAGAAGCCCACAGTCTCGGAACACGAGGACAGCACCTCCCCCAACACCACAGCCGGTGCCCAGATCTGCTCCATGCCCCGTAAGGCACCGTGTCTTTGGCGACATGTCAGCCCTGGGCTGTCTCAGGGCCCCACCATCCCCACCACTGTCCCCTGCAGGGAGGACATTCTCTGTCCTTCTGGCCAGACTGATGGTGACAGCCCAGGTCCTCCCCAGAGGTGCAGCAGTCTCCCCACTGCACGACTGTCCCCGTGGGAGCCTCCGTCAACATCACCTGCTCCACCAGCGGGGGCCTGCGTGGGATCTACCTGAGGCAGCTCGGGCCACAGCCCCAAGACATCATTTACTACGAGGACGGGGTGGTGCCCACTACGGACAGACGGTTCCGGGGCCGCATCGACTTCTCAGGGTCCCAGGACAACCTGACTATCACCATGCACCGCCTGCAGCTGTCGGACACTGGCACCTACACCTGCCAGGCCATCACGGAGGTCAATGTCTACGGCTCCGGCACCCTGGTCCTGGTGACAGGTAGGGAATGTGCCCATCCCAGACCCCCCTCCCAACCCCAGCTGCTGGCCAGGCTCTGCTCCCCCAGCCCTTGTCGTGGGACCCTCCCTCCTACATGTGCCTGAACTGTTCCAGCTCCCAGCCCACTGCCCCCAGCAGCCTCCTAGATAGCTGCCCCTCCTCCCCTCCACAGCCTTTCCCTGCCCCGAATCCCAAACCCCGGGGGCTCTAACAGGTTCTCCACCGGGAGAATCCCTTCCTTCTTTTTTCCTTCTCAGAGGAACAGTCCCAAGGATGGCACAGATGCTCGGACGCCCCACCAAGGGCCTCTGCCCTCCCTGCCCCACCGACAGGCTCCGCCCTCCCTGACCCGCAGACAGCCTCTGCCCTCCCTGACCCGCCAGCAGCCTCTGCCCTCCCTGCGGCCCTGGCGGTGATCTCCTTCCTCCTCGGGCTGGGCCTGGGGGTGGCGTGTGTGCTGGCGAGGACACAGGTCAGTGTGAGCCCCAGCTGCCACCTGCACCCCAAAGATTGTTCCCTCTCCTGAGAGCAGCGTGGGGGGCGCCAAAGCCCCAGAGGAAAACCCTGGTACCCGCCGCCTCCTCTGCAGGCTCTGGAACTCTCAGGGTGGAAGTGGCCTCGGCGGGGAGGGAGGGGGACCAGCACCAAAGCGACCTGAGGGGGAGGGAGCAGCCCAGGCGCTGGGCCCGCGTGTGCGCGTGTGCGCGTGTGCAGGTGTGAGTGTCTGAGGGGGGATCTCTGAGGTCTGTGCGTGCAGGTTGGAGTGTGCGGGCAGAGGAGGGAGCGCCCAGGCGCTGGGCCCGCGTGTGCACGTGTGCAGGTGTGAGCCTGTGTGTGGGGATCTCTGAGGACTGTGCGTGCATGTTGGAGTGTGCCGGCGTGCTGTGTGGCCGTGGGAAGGGGAGGGGGCCTCAGACAGACACAGAGTCTAGGCGTGGCCACTCCCCTCGGTCCCTGCTGTTTGTCTGGGGCTGGAGTGGGGGTCCCGCTTGGCTTGGGCTTGGTGGGGGGGTCCAAGCCACTTCCACTCTCCTTCTTCAGAGGCACCCCAGGGTCCGACCCAGCCCTGCCTGGGGAAGGCTCTGCTGGGAAGCCCTGGGGCTCAGGAGACCTGGGGGCCAGCCCAGAGGAGCCCCGTGGGGGTCTCGTGTTAAAATTAGAAAGCTGACCGGAGTGGGGTGGGGTCCAGGACACCACGCTGGCCACTGGTTGGAGACGGCGGTTCTGTCTTTCAGATAAAGAAACTGTGCTCGTGGCGGGATAAGAATTCGGCGGCATGTGTGGTGTACGAGGACATGTCGCACAGCCGCTGCAACACGCTGTCCTCCCCCAACCAGTACCAGTGACCCAGTGGGCCCCTGCACGTCCCGCCTGTGGTCCCCCCAGCACCTTCCCTGCCCCACCATGCCCCCCACCCTGCCACACCCCTCACCCTGCTGTCCTCCCACGGCTGCAGCAGAGTTTGAAGGGCCCAGCCGTGCCCAGCTCCAAGCAGACACACAGGCAGTGGCCAGGCCCCACGGTGCTTCTCAGTGGACAATGATGCCTCCTCCGGGAAGCCTTCCCTGCCCAGCCCACGCCGCCACCGGGAGGAAGCCTGACTGTCCTTTGGCTGCATCTCCCGACCATGGCCAAGGAGGGCTTTTCTGTGGGATGGGCCTGGGCACGCGGCCCTCTCCTGTCAGTGCCGGCCCACCCACCAGCAGGCCCCCAACCCCCAGGCAGCCCGGCAGAGGACGGGAGGAGACCAGTCCCCCACCCAGCCGTACCAGAAATAAAGGCTTCTGTGCTTCCTTTTCTGACTTCTGCATTTATTCCTCAGCCAGCAGGAGCCAGGGAGGGAGATGGCTGACACTTCGGACCCTCCCCAAGCCTCCGCCTGGGGCTCTGCAGCTGTGGCCTTGAAGGTGGGGAAGGGAGCACTTCCTCACCCCAGCCCTGAAAGGAGCCCTGGGGGCCTCCCACCCTTGAGAAGAAGCACATCCACCTGTCCAGGTGGAGGCCAGACCCAGGGGCCCTTCAGGAGCCTCAGGATGGCCCCCCATGCCCCCGACCCCCACTCCAGCGACACCGCCTCCCGAGGCCTCCGAGGCCGACCCCAGGGCACACCGGGACCAGCAAGCTGAGCACAAGGCTGCCTCACTCAGCAGCCTGAGCGCTTCCCCTCCCTGCCCCGTCTTACAAGGTGCCTCCTCCTCGTTCTCAGAGGCCCCGGGGGAGACCCAGCTGGACTCTCCAGACCTTCCCCAGCCAGCGCAGCTCCCATGCTGCACGTGGGGACAGGAGCCACCATTCGCCCATTCCCGGGGGAAACAGAGGCACTGGCCCTCAGCCACTGCCTGGGGAGCCGCTAGGGCGCCACACACTGCACTTCATTGCCTCCTGCGACACAGGTGGGGAGCAAAGGCGGGGCCTTATGTGCAGGCTCCTCACCCACCCCTCACACCTGCCCCTCACTCACCCCACACCCACACCTCAAGCCCTTCCTCCTGCCGCACTGGCGCGTTAACCCGGGGTCCTCCTTGTGCAGGACGCGCCCCACAGCCTCATCCAGCTGCCTCTGTGCAGGCTCTAGGCCACTGTCCTGGTGTCCAGGACTCACGTCCAGGAGCCGGCCTCTGGTCAGCACCCCTAGCTTCACATGGGCAGCCTGGGGCGGCCTCCAACCTTGAATGTGGTCTCTGTGACACCTGGAGTAGCTTCTGGGCCGAGGCCCAAGTCCTCTCCAGCCCATCCAGGCCCACCGTCAGGAGGAGAAATCAGAGTGCCCTCTCTCCCCAGGCTGCCGTCATCCCAGGCCGCCGTCATCCCAGGCCGGCAGGGTTGGGGGCTGCTAGCATCCCAGCCACGCTCAGCTGGTGGTCCACTTTGGCCACGGTGGTTTCCTCGGCCCTGCACACGGAGGACCCCCGTCAGTACGAGAGAGTGCCTGGCTGAGAAGACAGCTGCAGACCCAGAGGCTCCGGAGCCCCTGACCGCAGTCACCATCAAATCATCCATCGAGGTCACAGAGACAAAAAACTAATACAATCAACTGCACAGTGGGAACTATTAAACTCTATAAAAACACTACAAACAAAAATAAACAACAAACGTCTACAAATCAGGGTGAAATATTTGACAAGTAAATTACAAATCAAAGGTTAGTATGTTTAATTCATACACAGCCGTATCAATCCATGGGAAGAAAACACCAACTAAAAATACGCAAATTCCAAAAATGAGCGATAGACACAGGAACCATTCCCACTGCTGGGTGTCGACGCAACACCAGTTGAAATGAGGTAACCTTTCGCCAACTGGGTTTGCAAAGATGTAAATATCATTAAAATATAATGCGACCGGGTGAGGTGGCTCACACCTCTAATCCTAGCACTTTGGGAGGCCGAGGCGGGTGGATTGCCTGAGCTCAGGAGTTGGAGACCAGCCTGGGCAACATGGTGAAACCCCGTCTCTACTAAAATACAAAAAAAAAAAAAAATTAGCCGGCTGTGGTGGCGGGTGCCTGTAGTCCCAGCTACTCGGGAGGCTGAGGCAGGAGAAGTGCTTGAACCCAGGAGGCGGAGGTTGCAGTGAGCCGAGATCGCGCCACTACACACCAGCCTGGAGACAGAGTGAGACTCCGTCTCAAAACAAAAACAAAAACAAAAACAATAAAATATAATGCCCCTTTTACCTGGAAATTCCACTTCTATAAAAGTTTCTTTGGGAAATTATCTTTAGGCACAGAAACAAGTTTAGAGGTATAGTGATATTCATTGCAATGTAACTTTCAATTAAAAAATTAACAACTGAAGCCGGGTATCGTGGTGTGCACCTGTGGTCCAGCTACTTGGGAGGCCAAGGTGTGAGGATCACTTGAGCCCAGGAGTTTGAGGCTGCAGTGAGCTGTGACTGTGTCACTGCACTCCAGCCTGGGTGGCAGAGCAAGACCCCATCTTTATCTTTATCTTTTATATATATATATATATATATTTTTTTTTTTGAGGTGGAGTCACCAGGCTGGAGTGCAGTGGTGCGATCTCAGCTCGCTGCAACCTCCCACTCCCTGGTTCAAGCGATTATCCTGCCCCAGCCTCCTGGGTAGCTGGGACTACAGGCGCCCGCCACCACGCCCGGCTAATTTTTTGTATGTTTAGTAGAGACGGGGTTTCACCATGTTGACCAGGATGGTCTCGATCTCCTGACCTCGTGAGTATTTTTATTTTTTATGTTTTAATATTTATTTTAATTTTTAAATAGAGACAGGGTTTTGCCATGTTGCTCAGGCTGGTCTCAAACTCCTGGGCTCAAGCAATCTGCCCGCCTTGGCCTCCCAAAGTGCTGCTGGGATTACAGATGTGAGCCACCGTACCCAGCTGAGACCCTATCTTAAAAATATATATAACAACTAAGGAAGGATGTAAGTCTCCAAGCAGGATAATTTTGTTACAGTGATTATGGCACATGCAGCGTGTGTTAAAAGGGCACCATGGGCCGGGCGCGGTGGCTCACGCCTGTCATCCCAGCACTTTGGGAGGCTGAGGCGGGTGAACCACTTAAGGTCAGGAGTTCGAGACCAGCCTGGCATCATGGTGAAACCCCGTCTCCAGTAAAAATACAAACACTAGCCAGGCATGGTGGCGGGTGCCTGTAATCCCAGTTACTCAGGTGGCTGAGGCAGGAGAATTGCTTGAATCCGGGAGGCGGAGGTTGTAGTGAGCTGAGATCACGCCACTGCACTCCAACCTGGGCGACAAGGCGAGACTACATATCAAAATAATAATAATAATAATACTTAAAAAATAAAAGGGCACCATGGAAAAATCTGTGACTTCACCCTAGGACCTTCACACGACCCCGTGAAGCCACACAGACGGCTGCAGAATAGACGTATGAGGCACATTTGTTACAATATAGATGGTGGACGTGTTGCTTACAGGGATGCATTCTGAGAAACGCATCGCTAGGCAGTGTCATCATTGTGTGACTGTCACCGAGTGTGCTTGCGTGACCTAGACTTAGAGCCCAGGGCACACCCAGGCTTCCTGGTGGAGCTGCTGTCATCGTATGGGACCATCGTGGCATGTGCCGCCCGTCGTTGACCAAAACGTCTTTTTTTTTTTTTTTGTATTTTTAGTAGAGACGGGGTTTCACCGTGTTAGCTGGGATGGTCTCGATCTGCTGACCTTGTGATCCACCCGCCTCGGCCTCCCAAAGTGCTGGGACCCCAGGCGTGAGCCACTGCTCCCGGCTGACCAAAACATCTTTATGCTGAGCATGGCTACACCTGTATGTATGTTTATTTCTGCATGACTGAAATAATGGAATAGACTTACGAGGTGCTAACAACGGTTCTCTCTGGGTGATGAGCTGTGGGTTTAGTTCCTTCTTTCTCGTACTTTCTCAGGACTTGTATTTGACAATGGCGTGTTAGCCGGGGCAGGGAGTCGCCAGCCACGACGGGCTTGGCATTCCAGGACACGCTCCCCCAGTTCTCACGGGTTCCCAGGGCTGCAGTCAGCAGTGTCACACTGTCCCCAGGCCCTCATGGTGGCCTCTGCGGTGTCCACGGCCGCTGCTGCTCTCGCTGAACCTGATGCTCGGGCCCTCGGCACCAGGAGACCACCAAACTCTTCTGTAAACATGGATAAGTCACTAAGGTACCCGCATGTGGGGAGCCCCTGGGACCTGTTCACCAGCAGCTGCGTGCCCGCCCGGCTCATGCTGGTTCCCGTGCGTCCAGCACTGACGGGTGGGACCCAGACAGTGACCAGGGAAAAGCTAAGGGGACGCAGGGATAAGGGGCTGGGGCTCGAGGTTCCAAGAACCCAGGCGCTCCACACAGGGGACCTCCGCCAATACGAGAGACAGCCCGGTGGCCTTGGACAAGTCACTGCCCTTCTGGGCCTTCCTTTGCCATCTGTAAATGAGGGAGGTGGGTTTGTGCTCTCCTCAACGGCAGGACTGTGCTTTCCAGGCCGTGCTGGCCAACCTGCCCACACCCTGACCCTCAGCTCCCACCAGAGTGCTGTCTCCACGTCCCCTGTCCTCTTGTCCCTGATAAGCAGAGAGCACCACGAGCCCATCGGCAGAGCTCCTGTCATCTGAGGCATCCCCGGCAGCCTGACCCCACCCCAGGGACCAGAGGCCATGCAGGGACAGGCTGTGCTCCCCAAGGTCCTTCTCCTCTCCCTTAATCCTCTCCGTGCTCAGGGCTGTGCTCCCTGAGATCTTCCTCTCCCTTAATCCCCTTCATGCTTGGGGCCGTGCTCCGCAAGGTCCTCCTCCCCTCCTCATCTCCTCCATGCTCAGAACCGTGCTCCCCGAGGTCCTCCTCTTCCTTAATCCCCTTTGTGCTCAGGCCCGTGCTCCCCAAGATTCTCCTCCCCTCCTCCTGATTCCATCCAGCCTCCACCGCTCATCTCAATGCCCATAATCGTCTCTCCACTTCTCTGTCCACAGCCAGACTGAAAGGACCTGGAGGACAGGGAGGGTCCTTCATAGTGTGTCCCCACCCCCACCCAGGCTCAGGTGTAGAGGGCCCCTGACTGAGCATGCTGTGTCCTGGGCGTGTCGGGTCAATGTGCACACCGGTCGAATTCTCGTGACAAAGAGCATGCACTCTGCCTGAGTCCTGTTTCCCCCACCGTCTATTTCCAGGACTGAGCCTCTCCGGGCTTGGTTTTCTTATTCGTAAAATGGGGACAAGACAATACTTGTCAGAGCAAACGCTCCCCAACTGTACAGGCTTGGCTGGACACCACAGGACACAGAAAGTAAAGCCCTTGACCATGAGGGGAAACCTTTCAGACTTCGAGAAACAGAGTAAGCACCAGCCCAGGGCAGCCCCGTGCTTTGGGGAGTGGTGGAAACCCCCAGTGTGGAGCATTCACCCCTCACCCCAAAGCCCGAGGGTGGCCATTGAGCCCCTACTTCAAGCTCTTAAAGCTAAGCTCCTGGCCGGGCGCAGTGGCTCACGCCTGTAATCCCAGCACTTCGGGAGGCCAAGGCGGGCAGATCACGAGGCCAGGAGATCGAGACCATCCTGGCTGACATGGTGAAACCCTGTCTCTACTAAAAATACAAAAAATTAGCTGGGCGTGGTGGCTCATGCCTGTAATCCCAGCTACTCGGGAGGCTGAGGCAGGAGGACCACTTGAACCCGGGAGGTGGAGGTTGCAGTAAGCCGAGATTGTGCCACTGCACTCCAGCCTGGGTGACAGAGCAAGACTCCATCTCAAAGAAAAAAAAAAAACTAAGCTCCCAACACGAGGTGTTGGCCAAGGAACAGCGGCTGACAGGGAGGGGGTTGTCAAGGCGGGCAGAGGGCTCTGAGGGGCAGGGCCTGTGCCACCCAGGGGCTCGCCCCTCCCACTCCAGGCTTGGCCCAGCCCCAAAGCCTGGACCAGATCTGGGTGCCCTTGAGGCTCATGGCCTGAGAGCTGGCATCCTGAGGCGGGCGCTCTGTCCGGGAAGCAGACGGCCGCACGGGCCACACGCACCTGAGGGAGCCAGGGCAGAGCTGCACCCGTCACGGCCAGCAAAAGGCACACCCTCAAAGGACGGGAGCAGGAAGAAAAAGCCGTCAACACCCACGCGGCGCGGCACGCCAGGGACGAAAGACAGAATCCCTGACCCAGGGAAACCACGGATGGAATGAGCAACAGGAAAGCCGCGTTAGGGAGGCAAGATCCAGCTGAGGAAGCCCCCAGAAGGAAAGAATAGAGAGAGAAAAAAAGAAAAAGCTAAGAGACACAGATAACGGAAGAGAAAACATATCCAATAAATGAGAAAGAGAGGGAGAGAAAGAGAGGGAGAACGACGATAAATCTCCCAGAAGCAGAGAAGAGAGAGCGCTCATATCACAGCAGTGCATCGACGGCCACACAGGAGAGAGAAGGAAAACCTGCTGGACACATTCAAAGGACTAGAACGTCAAAACCAGACAGAGAATCCTCAAACTCAGATGATCTCAGAATTCTCAAAGACAACTCTGGGTTCAAGGAGACGATGGAAAAAATATGCTTCAGTGTGGAAAGAAAAGAAGTTTGTACCTGGAATGTCGCCTCTAACTAAATTATCATAAAATTTAAGTATATAATAAAGATATTCTCAGGCATATAAGGGTTTTTGTTTTGTTTTGTTTGAGACAGAGTCTCACTCTGTCACCCAGGCTGGAGTGCAGTGGTGCAATCTTGGCTCACTGCAACCTCCACCTCCTGGAGTCAAGTTTTTCTCCCGCCTCAGCCTCCTGGGTAGCTGGGATGACAGGCGTGTGCTACCGCGCCAGGCTAATTTTTGTATTTTTATTTTTAGTAGAGACAGGGTTTCACCATGTTGGCCAGGATAGCCTCAAACTCCTGACCTCAAGTGATCCGTCTGCCTCCCACAGTGCTGGGATTACAGGCGTGAGCCACCGCGCCTAGCTGCATATAAGGTCTTAAGACACATCCGAGAAGTTAACTTTGAAACCCCTCTTGGAGGCAGGATCCAAGTAAGAAGAAACCGAAACAAGAAGATCCTTACAAGAGAAATAAGAAGCAATCAGATAGTTTATTTTGTCCAAAAAAGAAAAAGCAATGACAAAAAAAAAAAGCGCAGAATCTACAATGTATGTTCAATCTACATAACAATCTAGAACTAAAATTCTAGATAATACCAATGTCATGGAGAGAGGGAGGCGGAGACTGACGGACGTGGCAACATGTGGAGACATTTCTCCTGTCAGAAACAAGATGTAGATGAAGATGAGGTTTAGAAATCAAGCTGGGTGGCCGGGCGCCATGGCTCACACCTGTAATCCCAGCGCTTTGGGAGGCCAAGGCAGGCAGATCACTTGAGGTCAGGAGTTTGAGACCAGCCTGACCAACATGGTGAAACCCCGTCTCTAAGAAAAAATACAAAAATTAGCCCAGCGTGGTGGCAGGTGCCTGTAATCCCAGCTACTCGAGAGGCTGAGGTGGGAGAATCACTTGAACCCAGGAGGTGGAGGTTACAGTGAACCAAGATCGTGCCATTGCACTCCAGCCTGGGCGACAGAGTGAGACCCTGTCTCTAAACAAATAAATAAATAAATAAATGTAAAGATTCAACAATATGTTGTCTACAGAAGATACCTATTTTTTTCTTTTCTTTCTTTCTTTTTTTTTTTTGGAGATGGAGTCTCGCTCTGTCACCCAGGCTGGAGTGCAGTGGCGCAATCTCAGCTCGCTGCAAGCTCCGCCTCCCGGGCTCACGCCATTCTCCTGCCTCAGCCTCCCGAGTAGCTGGGACTACAGGCGCCCGCCACCACGCCCGGCTAATTTTTTGTATTTTTAGTAGAGACGAGGTTTCACTGTGTTAGCCAGGATGGTCTCTATCTCCTGACCTCGTGATCCACCTGCCTCGGCCTCCCAAAGTGCTGGGATTACAGGCATGAGCCACCGCGCCCGGCTTCTTTTCTTTTCTTTTCTTTTCTTTCTTTCTTTCTCCTTTTTTTTTTGAGACAAGGTCCCACTCTGTCACCCAGGCTGATGTGCAGTGGCTCGATCACAGCTCTGTGCAGCCTCCACCTCTCAGGCTTACGCAATCCTCCTCCCTTAGCCTCTTGAGTAGCTGAGACTACAGGTGTGCACCACCACACCCAGTTAATTATTCTGAATTATTTGTAGAGACGGGTCTCACTGTGTTGCCCAGGCTGATCTCAAACTCCTGGCCTCAAGTGACCCTCCCATCTCAGCCTCCCAAAGTGCAATGATTACAAACATGAGCCACCACACCTGTAAACACACTTTAAACAAAAGGACACCAATAGGTTGGAAATAAAAGGATAGAAAACTTATGAGGCAGATAGGAACCAGAAGAAAACAAAAGTCATCAATCTTATGTTCTGACAAAATGGAACAATAGAATAAGATATAACCAGTATGAACACAGGTGAAACTAAAAATAAAGACAAAACATGCAAACCAGGAATGATATAGCCACAGAGAAAACCAGATACATCACCCATTTAAGCCCAAGCTTTTAATGTGCTCCTTCAGATCTAAGTCATGAATTAGTTAACATGGACCTCTACGCTTGTGAAACAGAAAACAGACACTAGCATCAGTGTACATGAAACCTTGTTTAAATGCTCATTTACTGTCATCAGGAACTAAGCAAGAAAATGAGAACGAGGCCGGGCGCGGTGGCTCACGCCTGTCATCTCAGCACTTTGGGAGGCCGGGGTGAGTGGATCACTTGAGCCCAGGAGCTCCAGACCAGCCTGGGCAACATGGCGAAACCCAGTCTCTACAAAAAATACAAAAATTAACTGGGCGTGGTGACGAGTGCCTGTAATCCCAGCTACTCGGGAGGCTGAGGCAGGGGGATATCTTGAGCCCAGGGTTTGAAGTTGCAGTGAGCCGAGATTGTGCCACTGCACTCCAGCCTGGGTGACAGAGCAAGGCCCTGTCTCAAAAAAAAAAAGAAGAAAAAGAGAATAAAAATTCTTAATTCCTCCACACCCAAAGATAACCATACTTGACCACACAGACAGGCAGGAAGCTGCCTCTGGGGGCTCACACACGGTGTGGTAACGGAAGCCCGCATGCAGGGCAGCGCAGAGGGTCGGGGGGAGCAGTCACTCAGCAGAGTGGATCACTTGTATTTTTGCTGCTTCGTCTTGCTGCCTGCTCTCTGGCCGCCTCTTCAGGTGGCCACAGTGTCGTGACATCATTTGTTTCCCTCCAGAGGCTCTGAGGGAGAACGGGCTCCAGGCCTCTCCCAGCTCCTGGGGCTGCCGGCGGCCCTGGCGTTCCCGGCTTGTGCCTGCGCCGCTCCAGTCTCTGCCTCCATCGTCACGTGGCCTTCTCCCAGGCCTGTGGTTTCTCTCTTCACATCAGGACACCAGCCGCGTGGGATTCAGGGCCATCCAGTAACCTCAACTGGATGACATCTGCCAAGACCCTGTCTCCAAATAAGGCCCTGTTCAGAGGTTCCAGGCGGACACGGATTTCAGGGGACACCATTCAATCCAGGGCAACATCCCTCTCTCAGACAGCTGGAAACAACATCCTCAGTCTCGGAGCAACTGCACAGCCATCAACATACCCCACTAAGCTAAGCCCAGCTAAACACCCCAGCTCAGTGTCCCTCAGCTGGGCCCCAGAACTGCTCCGGGCACCTGATGCCAGAGGAGACGGCAGTCTGGACCAACTGCTGTCAAAACAGCTTGAGCAAATTGTATACAACCCCAGCCGGGTGAGGACATTGCCAGGCCCCCTCCAGGGCCTTAAGAGGGCTGAGGTCTGTGGTCAGGTGCTTCAGGGTGAACAGGCCTCAGCGAGGTCCAGCCAGACAGGCTGCCTCGCGGAGCCGGTGGTGTGTGCGCAGCATCAAAGGCCCTGAAGGTGGGGTTGTTAGTTCTGTGTTGCAGGAGGGAGGGCGCCAGCACGGATCCCATGTCAGAGATCCCATCTGCCGCAGCTTCTCCAAGGGTCGACCGGGAACTCAGGGGCAGGACTGAGACCACCCCCGAGCCCCATGGCAGGAATTTCCAGCCCCCAGCCTTCCACATGTCCCGTTTTCCCTAGAGCCAGTGCTGGGCCTCCCCAGGCACGAGGATGCCCAGTTGAGTGGCAATGGGAGCTCCGGGCCTGAGTAACATCCTCAAAACCAAATGCCAGGTTAGGAGCAAAGCTGGAGCCAGGAGTAGGTTCTTGTTCCTCAGAATAAGTGACTTTTACACTCAGTCAACTTTTTCTTTTTCTTTTTCTTTTCTTTTTTTTTTTTTTTTGAGACAGGGTCTCTTTCTGTTGCCTGGGCTGGAGCGCAGTGGCGCGATCACAGCTCACTGCAGCCTCCACCTCCTGGGCTCAAGTGATCCTCCTGCCTCAGCCAATGCTGTTGGGAAAATGGCCTCAGAAGACAGGACAGGGAATCACTGTGGCCTGGGCAGCTGGAGTGGGGCCCGGGAGCTGGCGTTGGACATGGGGAAGAGAGGAAGGGAGGAGGGAGAGGGAAGGAGATAAGGGGGCAAGGAGCGGAGGGGTGGGGAGCAGGGGGAGGGGAGGGGATGGATGGGGCCGGGCCACCTCCAGGCTCGCAGAGTCAGCAGGGAGAACATGAGTCGGCTCCCACCAGGGTGGGTCGGCCAGAACCCAGCAGCCTGGAGGCGGGGAGCCTGGGGCTCTTGGTGCTCAGAGGCCAGAGGGCCTCAGAGGGCAGCTGGAAGAAGGGCGGGAGCCTTGTAGAGGGGCCCTAGCCTCCCCGTGACAGGGCCAGGTCGCATCTGCTCCTCTCTCCTCCCTTCCTCGCCTCCCCTCCACTCCCCTCCCCTTCTCTCGCCCGACAAGCCCCTCTCCCCCAGGGCTCCTTCTCCTTCCCACCCCCAGCCCCAGGGGCCCCCTCAGCCCCTCCACTTGCTGGAGTGGTGAAGGACAGTGGGGTGGGCTGACTGATGGGCGGCCGCCGGGCCGGGAGCTGCTGTCCCGCTGAGACTCTCAAGCTGCCCTGCATCCGGTGGGCAGCCTCCGGGACCCTCGAGCCTCCCGGTCTCCAGGCTGTGGCAGGTGGCTGGCCTGCTTGGAGACACCCCTGGGCCTGGGGCTCCTCAGGTGCCCCCCGAGCACATCCGCCTCTCCCTCAGGTTCAAGCCATCAGCTTCACCCCATTGTTTAATGCATTTAATCTTCTTGGGCTCACAGGGAGCCAGGGAGACCCAGCCTCTCCTTGAATAAAACCAAGCCTGAGCCAGGAGGAGGTGGCCCCGGTCAGGACAGCGAGGTCTGAAGGGCACTCGCCTGCCCCAGGTAACAATGATGGAGAAGGAGAGGTCCCCTCCGGAGAGACCTCAACCTCCCCTGCCCCACAGAAGTGGGGAGTCGCCACCAGGGCCTGTGGCCACAGCTGGATGAGCTCTTCAGAAGCTGTGCAGGGTGGAGGAGGGGCTCAGTGCGGTGCAAAGACCCACAGGACGCGGTGCCCCCCGACACAGGGACACAGGCACCAGAGGCCAGGGCCACCGCAAATGGCCAGGGCCGTTCCCACGCTCAGCCTGCCTACCCCAGGTGCTCCACACCGTGAGACCACACAGTGGGTACCCCTCCCCTAGCTTCTGGGGCAACAGCCTGCGCCGTCCTGTGCACGAACTCTTGGTGCTTCCTGAGTTGAAGATCAAAGTCCGCCCTAGACCACGGAGGAAGATGCCAGAAACCGGGGGAGGGTGAGGACGCTGTGGGTGCTGGCCACACAGCTGCCCCTTTCCTTCCTTACCCACAGACTGGGGGCTGCTGTGGGATTTGGGAAATGGCTCCCAGAGGCTGGAGCAGAAGGCCTGGCTCCAAGGCTGGAGTGCCTGGCCATCCGTGGCCATGGAGGGAAAGCCGCGGTGTAGAGGTGCGGAGCCGGCCAGACCCACGCCCCCAGCTGCTCAGCAAGCTCAAGCTGAGACTCGGGCCGGGGCTGACCGCTGGGGGCTGAGCTCCCTGATTCTCACAGTGGTCGCGGAGGCGGCATCCTGCCTCTGTCTCTCTTCTGCCACAGAATTCACCCCCGGAGCAGGGCTCCAAACCACCGCCCACCCCTGGCCTGGGGCCTCCAGCAGGCGCCCTAGCTACCTGGGACTCCTCCATCCATGACAGGACTGCCTGTCCTAATAAGACCCCTGCCTGGGTTTCTACCCCAGCAGCCCCTGACGGCCTCTGTCATGAAGGATGGAACTTCCCAGCCCTGCTAAAGGCTCAGCACCCGAAAGACCGCCTTCAGCTTTGGGCCCAGCCGCTCCCAGCCCCATAATGCAGGCCGGGAGAGGGTCACCCAGACGGAGGACGCCCCGCCTGCCTCAGGCCTCCTGGGTCCGTACGCTGGTGGTGACTTGGAAGAGGGCTTCTCTGGGGAGGGGCCCCAAGCCCCATGGAAGTGGTTTTGCTCAGGTCGGGGGCTGCATCCCCTCACCCTCCCCAGTCTCCCTCCCAGGAGCAGCAGCTGGCAGCCAGGTCCCGGGGCGGCACCAGGAGATGGTCACTGCCGATCCTGCCTGGCTGAGACCCCGGGCTCTGGGACCAGGCTGCCCCGCTCCCTGCATCCGCCCTCACCCCGAGCTTCAGAAACCTCAGTACAAGGGGGTGATCTGCAAAGGGACCTGGGCTTTTCCAACTCCCTCTCCTTGTGGCGGGTCCTAATTTCACGTTTTCTGGTCTTCAAAGTCCCAGCCTGGGAAGCCGAAGAGACCCACTTCTCTTTAAGGCCTTGGGCCTGGCCACTCGGCCGCCGGCCTCCCCAAGCACACCTCACACTCGGAGAAAGGGCCGAGCAGCCTGTGTGGGCGGGTAAACCGCGTTCCCACCAGCGCAGACACCACTTCCTACCTGCAGCGGAGGCCCAGTGCCAGCTGCTGCTTAGCTTCCCAGCGAGCCAGCCCCACCCAACCCCTCCTTGAAGACAAGAGGGGTCCAGGAAGAGCAGTGAGGGGGGGCCCAGAAACTGGGGTCCCTGTGGGGGAGACAGAGGACTGCAAAGGGAGTACAGGGCGTGTGGGGTAGCCCCCTTCTCACCCAGATGTGAGAGGATACAGGCCCTCCCTGGCACTCCCAGGAGAGACCGCCTTGACCCTCAGAGTCCTCTACCGTTCCTCCCACACCCTCAGCGGGGCAGGACCGAAACCTCAGATCCCCCAGGCGCCTGCCTTTCCCACACCTGGGGGTGGTGGCTGGGGACCGGGCTAGTCTGCACAGGCCCCCTGCTGCTCTCCCAGCTCCGTGGGCCCCAACCTCCCTGCTGAGGGCTGTCACTTGCCGGGCTAGGGGACCATGGGCCAGAGAGCAGGGGTCCACCCCAGAAGCCCCTGCACTCCTGCCATCTCCGGGACCAGCTCTGGGGCCCCAGCAAGGACATGCACCCCCTGGTCCTGGTCACCAAACTCCATGCGGGGGGCCTTGAGACAGCACAGTGGGGGGCCTTAAGACGGACGAAGTGGCCAGTCACATTGTCCCCATAGCTGCCAGGAAGGACATTGTGTGCACCCCAGGGCTGGCTTTCAAGCACGCTGGGACCCCTGCCTGGGCCCTCTCTCCACACCAACCCAGGGCTCCAAGGCCCCTGCCCCTTTCCCACCATCATGAGCCACCCCTGCCCCTGCCCTCAACACCCTGATGAGAAAGCCCGCGTCACCTTCTCCCTCCTCCCAGGGAGAGCCCTCAGCTCAGCCTGCGCTGCTGTGCCCTCCGGCCCTGCTCCCTGGTGTCTGGGCTGAACCCGACTGCCCACCCAGCCATCCAGGGCACTGTGGCCTGGGGTCCCCAGGGATGCACTTCAGTGGTCCCCCTCCTGCCCAGCTCACCCCTCCTGGCCCTTTCCCCACCTCGGCCCATCAGCCTGGCACCTCAGTGCCACCCGGACCTCCCCCATCAGCCTGGCACCTCAGTGCCACCCGGACCTCCTTTCTGGGTACATCTGGGTTTGTGGGGCCTGAGGCTTCTCCACGTCCGGGGGCAAGAGAGAGTCCCAGGGGGCAGCTTTCTTCACACACGCCCTGCACACCTCCCCCGAGGCCCATCTGGAACCCCTCCTCTCTGCTGAAATCTTCTGGGCCAGCCCCGGCCTGCCCTGACCCGGGTTGGGCCTGCCTCTGAGGCCTCTACTGCCCGCAGGCGGCTCCAGCATGTGGCCTCCCAGCTCGGTGGGCCATGGCATCCTGCAGGAGAAATGCCAGCTGCGCCGGGCTGGCCCCAGCCGAGAAGGACTGCCTGCCCTCTGGTGGCGGGACGGGGCGTGGGTGGGAGACCGCCTGCCAGCGCTTCCTGGCCTGGAAGGGAGTTGGGCTAACAGGTGGGGAAACTGAGGCCCAGAGGTAGCAGAGACTTTTGACAAGAGATGGAGCCCCCCTCCCCGCCAGGGCACCTCAAGGTGAATTCCCAGTCGGCTGGGCAGTCATGGACCAATGGGAAGGTCCCCCCAGGGCTGTCGCCCTCTCACAGAGAAATGTACATCCCACACGTTCTGCATGCTTTGGGGAGAGTCCAGGGTTAGGAAGCCCAGAGTATGGGATTTGTTTTTTTTTTGAGATGGAGTCTCGCTCTGTCGCCAGGCTGGACTGCAATGGCATGATCTCAGCTCACTGAAACCTCTGACTCCCTGGTTCAAGCGAGTCTCCTGCCTCAGCCTTCCGAGTAGCTGGGATTACAGGCACGCGCCACCACACCCAGCTACATTTTGTATTTTTAGTAGAGACAGGGTTTCACCACGTCGGCCAGGATGGTCTTGATCTGACCTCGTGGTCCGCCTGCCTCGGCCTCCCAAAGTGGGATTACAGGTGTGAGCCACCGTACCCGGCCCAGAGTATGGGACTTTAAGAGCCAGCCTGAGAGCTGGGGTTTGTTGGGAGCAGCAGGGCTCACACCCCAAAGTCAGCGGTGTGTGGAACTTCAGGGGACAGTGGGCAAGCAGCCCATCTTCTCAGCACACAGAGAGGTCCCGAAGCCAGTAAGGAAGAGAAGAATGCACGGTCCGGTCTCAAACAAGATAACAGCTTAGATACATGTGAAAATGCCCAACTGCACTCACTGTTACAGAAATGCAAAGTGCAATTTGCACCCATGAAATTGTAAGCTTCAAAAATCCGTAGTCCAGTATTGGCGACAGCTTGGGAACACAGACGGTCTCCTGCACCAGGTTTTGTTCACAGAATAGAAGAGGAATGCACACAACACAAGAAGAGAATAGCAACCTGGCCAGCGCAGGACTCAGCCTGTAACCCCAGCACTGTGGGAGGCCGAGGTTCAAGACCAGCCTGGCCAACATGGCGAAACCCCGTCTCTACTAAAAATACAAAAATTCACTGGGCGTGGTGGCAAGTGCCTGTAATCCCAGCTACTCAGGAGGCTGAGGCAAGGAGAATTGCTTGAACCCAGGAGGCAGAGGTTGCAGCGAGCTGAGATCGCACCACTGCACTCCAGCCTGTGTGGCAGAGTGAGACTCCGCCTCAAAAAAAAAAAAAGAAAAGAAAAGAAAAGAAAAGGAAAATAGCAACCCACCAGAAAAGTGGGAGGTGCCTGAGGAGATGCAGAGGCCGGGACTCAGGCGTGCCCCTCACCGTGTCGGGGACCTCGCAGCCTCAGAGCCTGGCCACCCATTGGTCCCTCGAAGGAGAAAGACCTGACCTTGGTCCCATAGTCCAGCCCCTTCCACCTCTTGAATTTTTACCATGGACCTCGGGCCTCTTCTGGGTTTGTTGGTTGGTTGGTTTTGTTTTACTGAGTTACTCCTGGAAGGCTGGCAGGAAGTTAGGCATTCACTTGGTTCTTTCCACAGCAATTGTGGGGACTTTATGTGCCCGGCCCAGGCTCAGTGTTGGAGATGGGGCCCAAATCCCTGCCCCGCTGCCCTCCCGCCGGCCTGCCCTGTGACCTCCAGCTCCCACGTGGCTTCCCAGATGCTCCTCAGCCAGCCCCACAGTCGCAGAAGGCCAAGGCCCCTTAAATCCCCCATTTTATAGAAACCTGTAGGTGCCCCCTAGAGCTTCTGCTGCTCTGAACCCACCCTGGTGCATGGCGTGTCCCTGCATCACGTGTGCCCACCTGCCTCCTCAGATGCAATTCTGACATCTTCAGACGCAATTCTGACATCTTCATGACCCCACATTCAACTCCCTGCAGGGCCCGAGGCCACCGTCCAGTGAGGGGCATGCCCTGGGTCCCGTCCTCTGGGACTTTACCAACATTCGGTCACTGTGGATGCCTGGAGCTCCAGGGCTTTTGCCAACAGAGTGGAGAGCTCCTCCTTCTGAACACGGTCTCCAGTCCCATCTCCCAGACCTCCGGCTTGTCACCCCAGGCCCTTCGGGAGTGAAAATCACGACCCTGCCCACTGGGCCCGTCTGCAAGGCTTAAGCCAGCGTTCTGCAGGTGGACAGTGGCTGTCCCATTTCCCGGAGCTCCCTGGGCCCCCTGCCGCCCCCCTGGAGCCCTGGTCTGGCTGTTGGCAGCCTCCCCTTCTCCTCTGCTGCCTTGGAAGGTGTGGGAGCCTCTGCGGGGTCCCGCCTCTCCCTCATGCCACACTCTCCCCTCTGTGCCCTTGCTCAGCCCCAAGTTCCCTGGCCACATCGCAGGTGGCAGGCGCTGACATTGCCTCTGCCAGCCCCAGAGCCCGGCCCCGGGCACCTCTACCACCTACAGGGTCCTCAACTGTAGCTCTGACCCTGGAGGACTGTGGAAGGCTGCTCTGGCTAGAGTGACCCGCCAGGTCCAGGGATATCCTGTGGGGACAGGGAGGAGCTTGGAGCTGGGCGAGGGGGCGCCGTCCTCAGGAAGGTTGCCCAGCCGCTCGCTGCAGCTCTGAGGTTTGGCAAAGGTTCCACTCTGCCGAGCTGGTGTTTGTGTGATCATTTCCTTGCAATGACGTGGGTTCCACTGCTCACAGTCCCCAGGGCATGTCATCCCTCCCAGCCCACAACTTCCGGGTAGACGGTGCCGGGGGTTTACTGAAGGAGACAATCGGGGTGTTGGATGGAAACCTGCCCCTCAGGGCAAGCATCTGGGGTGGGGACACAGCACACGCAGCCTCCAGCAAACACGAGGGGCCGGAAGGGGCTCAGGCCCAAGTGCGCCCTCACCAGACCCGCTCCCCACACGCACGCACACAAGCTTCCTGCACACACACGCTCCCGCACCACACGCCCGCCTCAGCCCTGCGTGACTGTCCCCCAGCCTCGCCCCTCCCGGCCGGCCGTTCCTGTTCCAGCGCCTCCTCCTCCTCCCCAGCCTCGCTGGCTCTTGCTCAGCCCTTCTGGCCTCCGTCCAGGAGGAACCTGGGGCCAGGCGCTTCCCGCACCCAGCACAGCAGCTCTCACCTCACTGTACCGGGAACCGGAGATGAGTCTCTGTTTTCTGTTTCGTCAGCTTATGAGTAATTTATAAATGTAAAAACAAGGACAATAAGAAAAACCTTTATTAACATGTTTAATATGAACATAAGCAAAGAAAACCTCCTTGTACCTGTGGCCAGTAAGTTTGCAAGCACAGACATCTTAAGCAAAGAAGAAAGCCCTTCTGCTCACGTGAGTTGTGGTCCAGGGGCTGGTCACAAAATAGCGCGTGATGACATCCTTCCTGCCACCGACTGCAGGAGAAATCCACCGTCCGCTCGCTCACCGATCACCCACAGGACATTGTGTTCCCCCACCGCTGGCGTCACCGGCCGCGGGCTCCTGGCTCCGTCTGACTCATCTTCTCCCACCAGGTTTCTTTTTGCCACTGTGGGCAGCAGTTGGAAGATCCTGAGCTCTCGGCTGTGTTCTCATTCCACCTCGAAGAGGATGCAGGACCCAGGGCAGCTTGCGGCAAAGCTGCAGGGTGGCACGGTGTTGGGCCATCCTTCCGGATGCCCAATCTTAGGATTGCAGTCACTGTGGCATAGCTGGGAGCCATGGATGGGTGATAATTCCATGGATAATTCCAGGATGATGGACTAGCAGACATCTCATGATAGGAAAGATAAGACCACTGGGATACATAAGTCATATGTTTTACAGGTTTATGAGAAGTTTATCTGCCTGACAAGATGGGTTGATTTGTGCATCTTAGGTCAGGATAGGATGCGTTTTACTCTATTACAAAAGCAAAAGTAACTTTGTGTTCTCTTTGCACTTTGGAAGACCCATAAGAATATTAAACTCATGAGCTGCCAATCCTTATAACATAACTGCTCCAAAAAGCCATTCTAAAACTAGCTTCATGGGGCGCTGGGGGAAGGCGGGAAGGGAAGGAAGGATGGGAGGAGGAAGAGGAGGCTGAGGGGGGTGGAGAGGAGGGAGGGAGGGGCAGCCAGCAGCTGGCAGGTGGTTGGGAGCTCAGGTTCCGGGGCTTCCAGGCATCATGCAAGCTAATGTTTACATCCCCAGGCAGAAATCAGAATATAGGCTCTTTTCATATGTAACATTTCATTTGGCCTATTTGACAGAACGTTAAATAAAATGTCCACTAAACCTCATCACTACTGAGTTGCTAATACTCTCCTTGCAACATGACTGAAACCAGCAGTGCAGGGAGCTGCCCAGAACCAGGAGACCAGAAAGCCATCCTTAGCAACGTCATCTGCAACGCAATTTAAGTGGTGCCTTTTAGACCAACTGCACTGTTGGTATTTTACCCAAGGTTTTGGGGCACAGAGGTATTGGAAGATTCCTTTTCTGGATCATAAGCCACTTCAAAAACCCTCCTGTAATAGTTCATTTCCAATGAAATGCCATTAGGGCAGCATTAGTCACTGCAATCAAGGTACGGAACTCGCCTAAGTGTCCGTCAACGAATGAATGGATAACGAAGAATGCCGGGTCTGTCCCGCAGATCCTGGCCGACGGGTGAAATGAGTACTCAGACACAGGTATGCAGTGTAAGACCAGCTAGGGGGCTGCCTGGCTCTAGTGGCCAGAGAACAGCCTGGAGAAGCTGGAGCTGCTTGCTTTTTTTTTTTTTTTTTGAGATGGAGTCTCGCTCTGTCACCCAGGCTGGAGTGCAGTGGCACAATCTCGGCTCACTGCAAGCTCCGCCTTCCGGGTTCACGCCATTCTCCTGGCTCAGCCTCCCGAGTAGCTGGGACTACAGGTGCCCGCCACCACGCCCAGCTAATTCTTTTGTATTTTAGGTAGAGATGGGCTTTCACCGTGTTAGCCAGGATGGTCTCGAACTCCTGACCTCATGATCCGCCCGCCTCAGCCTCCCAAAGTGCTGGGATTACAGGCGTGAGCCACCGCGCCCGGCCACTGTCTGCTTTTACTCAGTGCAGGCACAATGCCGAAAACCTGGAGCCCACACAACCTGTAGGTAATTAACATTTATCGTTCCCCTTTCAGGGAACGTTGGACGGATGATCAAAGGTCAGTTCCTGGTCAACATAAGTAAACAAGCCTGTTTAAGATAAATTCCCCTACACTCCTTTGTACCAACTCCTTGCCCTCTGCCTCAGAGTTGTAGGACAGCTGCCTTCAGCTATTCTCCCCGGGAGCTCTGCAGAACCCTCCGCCCTTTCAGAAGGTTTGCGTCCTTTCCCTATAGTTTTTCACACCACTCTGACCTATCCCCCACAGAAAAAAACACATTTACACCTTAGAATACCATTGAACCTTTAAAAAGAAGGAAATCTTGTCATTGCTGACAACACGGATGAACCTGAAGGACATCACTGAGCCAGGCACAGAAAGACAAATCTGCATGATCCCACTGATATACATGTGGAGTGCAAAAAAGTGGAATTAGTAGGAGAGTAGAATGGTGGTTACCAGGCTGGGTAAGGGGGCTCACGTCTGTAATCCCAGCACTTCGGGAGGCTGAGGCGAGCGGATCACCTGCGGTCAGGAGTTCGAGACCAGCCTGGCCAACGTAGTGAAACCCCATCTCTACTAAAAGTACAAAAATTGGCCGGGCGTGCTGGTGCACACCTGTAATCCCAGCTACTCAGGAAGCTGAGGCAGGAGAATCACTGGAACCCAGGAGGTGGAGGTTGCAGCAAGCCAAGATCACGCCATTGCACTCCAGCCTGGGTGTCAAGAGTGAGACTCCGTCTCAAAAAAAATAAATAAAACGGCTACAACACATACACACACACACACACACACACACACACACACACACACACACACGCTGGCATTACCAAGTGCTGTGAGGATGTGGAGGAAATGGAAGACTCAGACTCCACTACTAATATGGAAGCAGCCAGTGGGGAAATCTGGCAACTTCTCATAAAACCAAACATACTCCTTTCCTTTGACCCATTCCTCAGTATCTGCCCAGAGAAATAAAAACATGTCCACACAAAGACTTCAAAAAGAAAGTCAACAGCAACTTTATTCGTGATCGCCAATAGCCAGACACAGCTCCAAGTGTCCATGAATACAGCAGATAAACACACCGGTGTGTTTACACTGGACTGCTTGGCAATCAAAAGAACAAACTCCTGAGACATGAAACAACACAGAAGAATCTCCAGAAACATGACGCTAAGGGAAAGACGCCTTACACAAGGACATGTACCCAATGATCCATTAGTATGAACTCTTAGAACAGGCGGAAGCATAGTGGAGAAATCAGCACAGGTGGCATGGTAGCAGTGGACATAGAATGGAAAGGGGCATAAGAGAATTTTCTGGGGTGAGGGACGTGTTCTATTTGTCTTGATGGCATCTTCGGTTACACTACTGTATTTGTTAAAACTCAGCAAAAGGAGGCTGGGCATGGTGGCTCACGCCTGTAATCCCAGTCCTTTCAGGAGGGTGAGGCAGGAGGATCGCTTGAGGCCAAGAATTTGAGGTTACAGTGAGCCATGATCACGCACTGCACTCCAGCCTGGGCCATAGAGCAAGTACTGCCTTTAAAACAAATAACCTCAGCCAATGTATAATTAAGTTTGTGCACTTCATTACAAACTTAACATTAAAAAACTACAAAAATCATATGCTAGTGGTATGCACGCTGTTTTGGCGGTGATGGATACTGACATTTGCAATTTAATACTGTAACTAACATCGTTTTACTACAACAGCGTAATAATATAACGAGCACCTGCAAGCCCCCCTCCAACAGCAAAACCAGGTATTTCCAGTGACTTAGATCTACTCGTGTGCTTATCCTGTCCCAGTCCCCAGAATGTGCAGCACGTTCTTGCCTTACGAGGATTCCCCCCATGCGTATATACCTAAGTCATATGTTTTATTTATTTATTTTGAGACGGAGTCTCGCTCTGTCTCCCAGGCTGGAGTGTAGTGGTGCAACCGCGGTTCACTGCAACCTCCGCCTCCCAGGTTCAAGCGGTTTTCCTGCCTCAGCCTCCCGAGTAGCTGGGATTACAGGCGCCCATCACGACGCCCGGCCTAAGTCATCCGTTTTACAGCTTCATGTTGATCTGCCTGACGAGATGGGCTGATGCAGGGACAGGCGAGGCCGTGAGCGCGCACACAGTCGCTTTCACCGCAGAATCCAGGCGGTGCTCATCGCAAAATCATTCCGACCTTGCCAGATGTTTGACGTTCTTCATTAAACAAAAACCCCTGAGCAGAACGCCAGGGGCCTGCGCGAAGGCGGGGTCGGGGGAGCTGTTTGGGTCTTTTTTATTTTTCATCCTGGTGACCAGCAATCTGGTCCGCGGTGCCCAAGTTCTCTGCAGCCGGCCTCAGGCCTGATCCAGGCGGTGCCCCGGGCGGGGCCCACAGCCCTGAACCCGCCCCTCCCTCCCCGCAGCCCCGCAGCCCGCGCCCTCCCCTCCCCTCCCCGCCCTCTCCTCCCCTCCCCTCCCCTTCCCTCCTTCCCCCACCCTCCCCTCCCCTCCTTCCCCCACCCTCCCCTCCCTCCCCCCGTCCCCTCCCTCCCCCCGTCCCCTCTCCTTCCCGCCCTCCTCTCCGCACCCTCTCTCCTCCCCGCCCTCCCCTCCCCGCGCCCTCCCCTCCCCGCGCCCTCCACTCCCCTGCCCGCGCCCTCTCTCCTCCCCGCCCTCCCCTCCCCTTGCCCTCCTCTTCCCTCCTCTTCCCTCCTTCCCTCCTCGCAGCCCCAAAACCCGCGACCCCTCTCCGACCCCTCCCGGCGCCCTCCCCTCCCCGCACCACCGCACCTTCCCATCTCCCACCCTTCCCAACGCCCGCCTCGGCAGGGATGCGGCCCTAAGACTTGCAGGAAGCGCGGGTTCGACCCCGGCGCCCTAGCAACCCCTGCCCTCGCCGCTCTAGAGAGCGGGTCTCCTGGCCGGGCCCTCCTGGGTCTCCGTAGCCGCGATCGCCAGACGCGGCGAGCGGAAGGGCCCAGCCCCGCCCTCTCCGGGCACATGACTCGGGCCTGGCCATTCACAGTGCAGCATCGTCCAGCCTTAGTGATTGGGCCATCGGAGAGCACGTGACAACAGCTAGGCCAATTAGAGCTAGGCCAATTAGAGACCACCCGTTTCTATTTATGGTGGAGCCGGCGATCGGCGTGCGGTTGGAAGTGGTGTCCCTGAGGCACCTGCTCGCCCTTTTCCTGCGCCTCCGCAACGTCGGCTGCGAATGAGTCTCCTAAAGGACGCCCGGGAGGATCGGAAACAGCCGAGTCCCGGCGCGGGCAGTGTCCTGCGCTCCTCCCCGGGGTCTGGCCGGGGTGGGCCCGAGGCCCCCGGGCCCCCGGTTACCGCCGCGGGCGCGTCTGCGTCCTGACCCGGAGGGACCCGCGGGCCGGGCCGTACCAGGTGGCGCTGGGGTTAGGGTTGCCGCCACGGAAGCCCAGCTCTGTGGACGCCTGCAGGGCGCCCTCACCGCCCGGGACGGGGGACCCAGCCCAGCCGCAGGGGAAGGACTGGGGCTCGCGGGGACGGAGGGCGGTTAGGATTGCTGGATACAACACGGAACGCCCAATTAACGTTTTTGTTTAACGTGTTTTTTGTAGAGATGGGGTCTCGCTATGTTGCCCAGGCTGGTCTTGAACTCCTGGCCTCAAGCGATCCTCCCGCCTCGGCCTCCAGAGTAGCTGGGACTAGAGGCCTGAGACAGCACGCCCGGCTCAGTTAAGATTTTAAAACAGATTTGTTGAAATATAATGCACTTACTGTGAAATTCACTTATTGAAAGCTTATGGCTTTGCCGTATATTCGGAGATGGGCGGCCATGCTCACTATCTCATGTGACACCGTTTCTGTTGCCCCAGAAAGAAACCCCGTGCCCATGAGCGTTCACTCCCCACCCTGCCCACGGCCCAGCAAATCTGCTTCAGCCCCTATAGATTTACCTCTACCGCGTTGGGCATGTACTAAAAATTGTTTATCTGAAGTACAGATTTATCGGCATCCCATATTTTTATTTGCTAATTCTGGCCATCCTAAAGGTGGCATCGCTCGCTCTGACCAAGGAAGCCTCAAGCAGGCAGGCACGAGAGTCCATCCCTAGCCCTGCCTGGCCCCTCAGAGCCCATCCCTGGCCCTGCCTGGCTCCTCAGAGCTGTCCCTGGCAGGCTCCGGGCTCAGGTGCGCTGCCAGGAGGGGGGCAGTGAGGGCTGTTTTAGGTATAACAATCCTGGATATTTCCTGAGTATCTTGTCCGAATGGTTCCTCTTTCTGTATTTTCTAGCTTCCTCTGTATATTTAAAAATGGTCTTATTGGTGTGTTTCTTCACGACATTTCAATTTTTTGTTATCATTTCCCACAATTTCAGTGATGCAAGATGGTCCTTTCTGAGCAGAGCTCCCCTCGCTCAGTGCTCCTTTGTTTCACGTAGAAGATCTTCTTGAGGGGACTGTGTGGCCAGTGCAGCCCAGGCCTCCCCACCCTGCACCGTTCAACAGAAGAGCAGCTGACGCAGGGGGCCCTCAACATGCTCACCCAAAAGTCAGCGAGATTCTGCACCGGCCCACTAGCCTTCCAATTGTAAACTAAAAATAAAATCTTGGCCAGGCACGGTGGCTCATGCCTGTAATCCCCGCACTTTGGGAGGCAGAGGCAGGTGGATCACCCTGAGGTCAGGGGTTCGAGACCAGCCTGGCCAACATGGCAAAACCCCGTCTCTACTAAAAATACATAAAAATTAGCCAGGCGTGGTGGCACACACCTGTAATTCCAGCTACTCGGGAGGCTGAGGCAGGAAAATCGCTTGAACCTGGGAGGCAGAGGTTGCAGTGACCTGAGATCGTGCCACTGCACTCCAGCCTGGGTGACAATGAGACTCCATCTCAAAAAAAAAAAAGAAAAAAAAATCCTAAGCCCCCCAACTACTGAAAAGACCCCTCTTGGCCAAGGGGTCCCAGAGACACCTTAAAAACTGAGTTTCCAGCCAGACGTGGTGGCTCACACCTGTAATCCCAGCATTTTGGGAGGCCAAGGCGGGTGGATCACCTGAGGTCAGGAGTTCGAGACCAGCCTGGCCAACATGGCAAAACCCCGTCTCTACTAAAAATACAAAAAAATTAGCCAGGTGTGGTGGTGGATGCTTGTAATTTCAGCGACTCTGGAGGCTGAGGCAGGAAAATTGCTTGAATCTGTTTCAGTGAGCCAAGATCGTACCACTGCACTCCAGCCTGGGCAACAGAGTGAGACTCCATCTCAAAAAAAAAAGCCAAAAAACTGAGTTTCCAGCCGTGACGGGATGGTAGGTCAGAGGCACCTCATTCTACCCCCTCCCTTGTGTGGTTTAGACAGAATTGACCGGTGTTCATGTTAAAATAGAGATCATAAGACTAAGAACAGGCTCTGTGGCAATAAAATACCAAATTATAAACAGGACCTCAGGCCAGGCCTGGTGAAAGTAAGTCGTGCATCCCTGCACGTGAAGAATCAACTCTGTTCTAAAGGCCGCAGGTTTCTCTTTTTCTGTAGCAGCTAAACAAGCACTAGCCTCAAGATAAGCAGCATTGAAACAACCGCAGCTCCTCCCCCTGCCGACCCTGGCCCCACACCCCTGCTCCACCAGCCGTAACTAGAGCTTTCCTTGGACAAGAGACTCGTTTCAGTAACTTTTCCCTGATAAGAGACCCTGACCATAGACGGGTTCTGGCTGGTTTACAGAGATTGCACCCTCATGTGCCTTCATGTCCTGAAAGTACTTTTTGAGGTATACCACCTAATTGTAATACGCTTACATGCTGCCTTCACCCCAAGGTGAACATGGGTCATATGTAACATGCATGTTTATCCAGCACACGTGTCCGAATAAACATGCATGTATATTCGCAACGCCTCCTGTAACTTGTTGAGTATGTATACCTGACCAACCCATTCGGCTTACATTCCTGTCTCACCGCACCCTCCCTCCAAGTACCTGTCTCTGGCCTTAGGCTGGAGGCCACACTTCCTAGCCTGTCAGAATGGCCACCTTACAGGCTATAAGACTTTATAAGAAGTAAAGTCTCCTTTCTGAGTGTATAGATCTTGTGATTTTTAACTTAACACAATCCACAGCCGGTTTCCTTCTTTTTTATTTTTATTTATTTTTTTTGAGATGGAGTCTTGCTGTGTCCCCAAGGCTGGAGTGTAGTGGCGCGATCTCTGCTCACCACAACCTTTGTCTCCCGGGTTCAAGCGATTCTCCTGCGTCAGCTTCCTGAGCAGCTGGGATTACAGCCAGTTAATTTTTGTATTTTTAGTAGAGATGGGGTTTCACCACGTTGGCCAGGCTGGTCTCGAACTCCTGACCTCAGGTGATCCATCTGCCTTGGCCTCCCAGAGTGCTGGAATTACGGGCATGAGCCACCGCACCTGGCCCTTCTTTCTTTCTTTGGCTGGGCCTCCCGAAGAGGGTCCCAGGTGTAGAATATGGTCAGAACAGGCAAGGCTCCTCTGATTTCATCTGTTTCTTTGTTATTCAGCCATCCTTGCTGTCATTCCTCTGACTCGTAGCCAGCCCTTCCACTGCGTTTTGTGTACATGTGTTTTTTCCATCTTGAGATGGTAGATTTAAATGGCCATTGTTGTTACCACTATTAGCAAGCTAGGAACGACGGGGGAGAGCCTAACCTGCTATGGGAGCAATCAGGAACCTACAGCAACTTTTTCCTTTTTATTTTTAGATAAATGTTTTATTTTAGAATAGATCTGGGTTTCCAGATAAGATGTGAAGATAGATAGGAGGGCACTGTTGTTAACATCTGACATTAGTTTGGTGTTTGTTATGTAATTAATGAGCCAATACTGACACATTGTAATTGACTAAGGTGTGCACTTGATTCCTATTGCCTCAGTTTCACCTGCTGTCCTTTTCCTGTCCCAGGAGCCCATCCTGGACACTCAGTCCTCGGGTCTCAGGCTCCTCTCAGCTTCTCTCATGTTTGATGACCTTGGCAGTTTTGAGGAGCGCTGGCCAGGTGTGTCGGAGGGTGTCCCTCTGTGGGGATTGGTCTGATATCTTTCTCCTGGTTAGACAGGGGATATGGGTTTTGGGAGGAAGACCGCAGGGTTGAAGTCCCGTCCTCATCGCAGCCTACCAAGGGTGTATGGTCTCCACCTGCCGGGTCACAGGTGGGGCTGGCCTGGGTTACCTGGCCAATGCGGAGCCTGTCAGGTTTCTCCACCACGAAGTCCCCCTTTCCACATGGTGCCCTTGGTGGGGAAGTCAGTATTTGCAGCACCCAAGGAAGGTGTGGGGGTTAGGCTCCCCTCCTTAGGGGCAGAGTGTCTACACAAACTACTTGGAATTCCTTTGTGATTCATCTCTCCTCCCCACTTATTTATTTACTCAGTCATTTCCTTATATCGGTACGGACTTGTGGAGATTTATGCTGCAAGTTATGAGCCAACACGGTGCTGGTTTTGTTTTTCGATCACTTCTTCACCTTCTAACTATATTACCAGGGCTGCCACAGCTAAATGCCACAGCCTGGGCAGCTTAAACAACAGGTGTTTCTCTTCTCACAGTTATGGAGTCTGGACGTCTGAGATCAGGCTGCCGGCAGGGTGGGTTCCTCCTGAGGCCTCTCTGTGGCTTACAGACAGCATCCCTGCGTCCTCGTGTGACCTCTCCCTGCATTCTCCTATAGCCTGTCTGCATGCTCACGTGGCCTCTCCCTGCGTCCTCACATGACCTTTCCCTGTGTCCTCATGTGGCCTCTCCCTGCGTGCTCACGTGGCCTCTCCTCTGTGTGCTCACGTGGCCTCTCCCTGCATGCTCACTCCTGGTGTTTCTTCCTGTTCTCATAAGGACAACAGTCTTGGCTGGGTGTGGTGGCTCATGCTCGTAATCCCAGCGCTTTGGAAGGCCAAAGCGGGAGGATCACTTGAGTCCAGGAGTTCAAGACCAGCCTGGGCAATATAGTGAGACCCTGCCTCTACTGAATAAAAAAAAGACACCAATCTAATCAGATCAGGGCCCCTGACCCTCATGACCTCATTGAACCTTAATCATTTCCTCAAAGGCTCCATCTCCAAATGCAGTCACATCGGGGGCTAGGGCTTCCACCTGTGATTTGGGGGCAAAGAAATTCAGCCCATAACACTAGCACTGCAAGGCACTCCAGGATCATCTTATGTATTTGCTGTTCCAGTCCTCAAATCAGCCACTTAGCCAAGGACCTGTGGTTCTTTTAACTGGAGAAGGGTCTTAGAGACCAAGATCTGAAGGCTAAGTGTGCTCATTGCTTCTCAGCTGACAGAACAAAGAGATAGATGTGTGTATACGAAGCTGTGTGTATACACATCTGTTTGTACACATATCCAGAAGTAGCTACATTAAGCATGAAATTATACCAATGTCTCTAATTCTGTTACCACATGGATCATTCTAGCCTTTCCATTTGTTTATCTGGAAGCTCCCATTCCCATAGTGAGAAACCTGACCCCTACCACCTGCCACCACGTACTCAGTTTTTCACTTCCAGAGTAGATGTATAGTGGTTTCAGAATTATTAGCTGGTATCCCCGTGGGAAATGCCTTTATCACCTAGAGGAAGTGTTGACATCCTCTGTCTTTAGTCCTACAGACTCCACGCGTGTCCAAAGTTACTTAGGTCAGCACCCTGCCGTGAGGCTCTCTGCAACCTGGGTGAGGCAGGTACCACCCAGGCATCAGGCCTAACTCCTCCCCTGGCTCTGGAGGAAAGGACACCATCCTGCTGGGAGCGGCTGTCCAAGTCACAAATGAGGGCAGTGGCAAGGACACATCATTCCTCCTGCATGGAGCGCTGGCTTCTCAGCCATTGCAGACAGTGCACCCATGCATCTGTAATGCAGTTAGAGTCTCTTGTCACAGTCTGAATTCCATGCTGGGATCCTCCATCTCCCAAGTGATTAAATTTGCATACCTTAAGGCCAACTCTCTCTCCTGTACAGTCTATGGATTTTGACACGTGTAGTTTTGTGTATTCCGCATTATAGTAGAATACTACCACATTATAGTAGAATACTACACTATCACGTAGAATCATTTCACTGTCCTAAAATCCTCTGTGTTCCACCTGTTCACCCCTCCCTCTCTCCTCTTTTTTTTTTTTTTTTTTTTTTGAGACAAGGTCCCACTCTGTCACAGAGGCTGGAGTGCAGTGGTGTGATCTCGGCTCATGGCAACCTCTGCCTCCTGGGTCCAAGCAATTCTCTTCCCTCAGCCTCCCGAGTGGCTGGGATTACAGGTGCCCAGCACCACGCCCGGCTAAATTTTTATTTTTTTATTTTTTATTTTTTTAGTAGAGACAGGGTTTCACCATGTTGGCCAGGCTGGTCTCAAACTCCTGACCTCAGGTGATCTGTCCGCCTCGGCCTCCCAAAGTGCTGGGATCACAGACGTGAGCCACCGTGCCCAGCCTCCGACTGGCTTCTTTCACCCTCATTCACAATTCACGCATGCCTTGGTGTGGCGTGCTGGCACCTTCTATCTTATGTCATTGAATGGATGTACTGATACCAAAGAAAGGATATCTCGGTTGCTTCCAGTTTGGACAGTTGTGGACAATGATGAATAAAGATGCTATAAACATTCACATGAAGATTTTTGTACAGGCATAAGTTTTCAACCCAGCTGAGTAAATGCCAAAGAGCACGATTGCTGGATCGTGTGTCTCTGAGGCCACGTGAGTGTCTGAGGCTCCTGGTGTGAACCAGGAGCACATCATTGGGCATTTTGTCCTGGTCATGGACTCAGCCACTGAAGTTTCTCCATCATATACGTGGTTGTTGTGGACATGGGTGTCTAACCTGTACCATTGAAAAGTATGTCTATTGTGCTAAGAGCTTTTTAATCATAAACAAAGTAGGTGAAATCAATTATATTCCATCTAATGCTTTTCTATGCCTGAGTTAGAGTTCTTCTGTAGCGTATTGGCGGAACAAATTGCACTGATATCGTCTGATATTAAACTAGAGAAACTCAGACCATGAGGTCCAGTTAGCCAATATTTTATTTCAAATTTTTTCTTTTTTCTTTTCTTTTTTTTTTAGAGAGAGGAGCTCACTCTGTCACCCAGGCTGGAGTACAGTGGCACGATCACGGCTCAGTGCAGCCTCAAACTCCTGGGCTCAAGTGATGTTCCCGAAATCAGCAACTCAAGTAGCTGGGACTGCAAGTGCACGCCACCACGTTGGCTAATTTTTTTTATTTTTTCATGGCGACAAAGTCTCACTCTGTTTTGCCCGGGCTTAATTTTTAATTTTTTTTTTGTTTTAAGTAGAGACAGGGTCTCAGCATGTGTCCCAGGCTAGTCTTGAACTCCTGGGCTCAAGTGATCCCCGCCCTTTTAGCCTGCCAAAGTGCTGGGATTACAGGCATGCGCCACTTCACCTGGCCCCTAATATTTTATTTCGTATTTTCTGCACCTAAAATCCGGAGTGAAACGGGCCTCTCATGTTCTGCTTTTGTCTGTTCTTGTTGGTTTGGAGTTGCTGTCATCCTAGCCTTATAAAGTGGGCTGGACACATCCCACTCTTTTGACTTTCTGGAACGTTTTGTCCAAGACAGGAATCAACTGGCCCCGGGAAGCTCAGTGGAACTCACTCAAACAGCAGCCTAGGCCCCGTGCTGGAGGAGGGGAGGGCCCCAACACACACTTTTAATCTATTCAGTTTTTTGCCTTTGTTTTGTTTTGTTTTTCTCATTTTATAGTTCTCTAGGAGTTTAGCAACTTCATGTCGGTTTTCAATGTTATTGGTTTGTAAATGTTTCCAATTCTATTATTTAAAACTCTGCAGTCCCTTCCTTTCTTGTGTTTTGTTTGTGCTGTCTTGCGTTTTCCTTTCTTCATTCCTGCAGGGTGCTTTCACGGGGTCATTCCTCCCACGCCCCAGCTTTTGGGTTTTTTTTTTTTGTTTTTTGAGACAGAGTCTCGCTCTGTTGCCCAGGCTGGAGTGCAGTGGCACAATCTCGGCTCACTGCAACCTCTGCCTCCCGGGTTCAAGCGATTCTCCTGCCTCATCCTCCCGAGTAGCTGGGACTACAGGCCCAGCTAATTTTTGTATTTATTTATTTATTTATTTTTGAGATGGAGTTTCGCTCTTTTTGCCTAGGCTGGAGTGCAATGGCACAATCTTGGCTCACCACAATCTCCACCCCCACCCCCACCCCTGTTCAAGTGATTCTCCTGCCTCAGCCTCCCGAGTAGCTGGGATTACAGGCCTGCATCACCATGCCCGGCTAATTTTGTATTTTTAGTACAGACGGGGTTTCTCCATGTTGGCCAGGCTGGTCTCGAACTCCTGACCTCACGTGATCCACCTGCCTCGGCCTCACAAAGTGCTGGGATTACAGGCGTGAGCCACCGCGCCCGGTCCAGTTTTTGGGTTTTTAATCCTCATTCTTCCCTCTCCCTCCCCCACTGCTTTCTGCCTTTTTTTTTTTTTTTTTTTTTTGAGACGGAGTCTTGCTCTGTCACCCAGGCTGGAGTGCAGTGGCATGATCTCGGCTCACTGCAAGCTCCGCCTCCCAGGTTCACGCCATTCTCCTGCCTCAGCCTCCTGAGTAGCTGGGACTACAGGCACCTGCCACCACGCCCAGCTAATTTTTTGTATTTTTAGTAGAGATGGAGTTTCACCATGTTAGCCAGGATGGTCTCGATCTCCTGACCTGGTGATCCGCCCGCCTCGGCCTCTCAAGGTGCTGGGATTCAGGCGGGAGCCGCCGCGCCCGGCCCCTGCTTTCTGCCTTTTTAATTTTTTCCTCTTTGTTCCTTTGGGTCTGCTCTGACTTGAGTTGCCTGCCTTGAGTGGATGCTTCAGTGCTGCGTTAGAGCAGACAGAGCTGGTCTGGAGTCAGCTGCCTTCAATGCCTCCCTGTTCCTCGACGTCATCACAGCTCTAACAGTTGTGCGGCCGTCCCTCCTTGTCCCTCCCTGAGCATCCCGCATCCCGCATCCTGCATCCCGCACTGTGCTGGGCCCTCCCAGCAGCTCCTCTACCCGCCCCCAGCTTCCAAGCATGTGCTCAGAGCTCTGTTTCAGAGGTCCCAAATCTTGCCTTAATTTGACCCAGAATGCCCTCAGCCTGCTCCAGCCCCAGGGACATACCTCCCAGTGGCCTCCCCAGGGAACATGCTTGGGACTGGCCAGGGCTACCCCGTGTTACCTGGTCACTCAGCCTGACCTCTAGAGCTCTGCCAGCTAAGTTGGGTGGGATGTCCTGCCTGGAGGAGGCGGCAGAGAAAGGAGGTGGCCTGGGTGGACACCCTGGGGAGGAGGTGCTAGGGAAGTTCCCATGGCTGCCGATTCACTGGGTGGCCCCTGCAGAGGCCGTGCTCACTTGGGGCAGGTGGGAGGCCTCAGCGGCTGATGACTCATGCCCAGTCACCCCGCAAAGCTGTGAGATGCAGAGAAGAGGGATGTCGAGGGCATCTGGGCACAGACGCTCCCCAGCCGGCTGGGATGATGCCTGGGGCGCTGAAGAGCATGCAGGCTGGGCCTCTCTGCTGGCTCTGTGCCAGCCACGAGAGAGAAACGAGACCTCTGGGAGCTGGGGACAGGCATGACCCTTCCAGTTTTGCCCTGACACATTGGTGGGAGGGGAATGGGGGGCAGCAGCCCCAGCTCTGATGGGGACCCCTCCAACTTCCTGCAGGCTGGGCCAGGGCCGCATCCACTGCACTCGTGTGGGCATCACCCCACCACCTGCCCACACCTCCAGTGGCAGAGGCTGCCGAGGAATAGCTCTCTGCGACCTGGGTGAGGCAGGTACCGCCCGGGCACCAGGCCTCACTCCTCCCCTGGCTCTGGAGGAAAGGACACCATCCTGCTGGGAGCAGCTGTCCCAAGTCACAAATGAGGGCAGTGGCAAGGACGCATCGTTCCTCCTGCATGGAGCGCTGCCTTCTCGGCCATTGCAGACAGTGTACTGACGGCGCCCGGTGTGCCCAGCCCTGCGCAGGGAGGGTGGAACAGGGAACAGGGACTTCAGTCACTGCCGGTCACCCTGGAGAAGCTGACTAGGGGATACACGATTTGCCCAGGGCTGCCGAGCTAAGGACGGGCCCCAGGGCTGAGGGAGGGTGCTCCTGAGCCAGGGACGCAGGGCTGGGCCTGGGAACCCTGGAAAACCTCTGGACACAAAAACTGGGGCAACACCCAGCCCAGATGGCCCATCACCTCATGGGCTAGGTGGGAGAAGGTGTGAGGGTCCAGGTACGGGGCAGGTTCCACCCCCAACAGGTTCCCAGCTCAGGACTCAAAATGTCTGATGGGAAGCAACTCCATCAGGGGCATGCAGCCCCCTGCCGTGCCATGACCACAGACGTGGGCCACCCTTAGCCCTACCCAGGGCCAGCGCAATCAAACCCTCCTCCCACCTGGCTTCTTCAAGGCTCACACCCTCACCTGACCAGGTAAACCAGCATGGCAGGAGCCACATGCATGGAAAGCTCTCCCTCATAGCCAGCTGTTACCCTGGATGCTGCCAGGGCACAAATCAGGGCTGGGTCTGGGGCAGGGGGTAGGAGGTCTCCGCCTCAGCCCTACTGACTCATGGCCAGGCCATTCTCTCTGGCGGCAGCCACATCTCCTGGGGAACGAAATCACCTCTGGTCCAGACCACTGGTCTCCAGCAGCCCTGAGCACTCCGAGTATCACTGAGCACTTGAAATGTGGCTTAGGAGCCTGAGGAACTGCTTTTTACTTTTATTTAATTAATTTAAATAACCACACGTGGTTGGCGGCTGCCGCATTGCACAGGGCACCTCTAGGGCAACCTCATTACAGTCCCAGCCTTCGTGGTGGCCTCGTCTGTGCCTGGGTTAAGTCGTGGGAGGTGGGACATGAACTCACTTCCGTTCCTTCCTGGCGTGGGCTGGGCATTGCTCGCCTCTGCCCAATTAGTCACCAGTGCTGGCTAGGAGCCCTGGGAACCTGAAGGGCTGAATTCCTCAGCTCTACCTGTGCACCTGTCTAACCCCAGCCCTGGGTGATCCCAGCACTTCCTAGAGTTACCCTTGGCCAGCAGGTGGGTGAGAGGTTTGCCCAACACACACACGCACACACATGTATGCATGCATGCACACACGTGAACACGTGCACATGGACACCCATGCACACATGCACACGGACACACATGCACGCACACGTGCACACACAGCACACACATGCACACACGGGCACATATGCACACATACGGACACAGGCACACACACACACAGACACACACAGGAACACACAGGCACACATGCACACATACGGACATAGGCACACACGGACACACATGCACACACAGGCACACACGCACACATATGGACACATGCACACATGCTCACAACGGACACACATGAACACACAGACACACAGACATGGACACACATGAACACACACACATACACGGGCACACATGCACATGTGCACACACATGTACACTTGTATGCACACACGCATACATGCTCACACGCAGGAACACATATTGCCTCTAGCTCCTGGAATACCACCCCCAGGTCCCACCTGGGAACCTCCACGCTGGCATCCTTCATCGGGCTGAGGTCCCCTCCCCCTGGAAGCTGCTGGAAGCTGCAAACCGCAGCCCCCCTTGTGCAGCTGTCAGTGGCCTTCACCTGTGCAGGGCTGGCTCATCCACCTTCATCACCCCCAGGCTCAGGGGCGGGGTGACATTGATGCCTTCAGGAAGCTGCAAGTGGTTCCTGCGGGGAGGGCAGGAGGTGAGGACCTCTAACCCAGCAAGGAAGTTGGCTCTGGACTCAGGGCTGCCTGGTGGGTTTTGGTGGTTGAATTTGGCTCTGGACTCAGGGCTGCCTGGTGGGTTTTGGTGGTTGAAGTTGGCTCTGGACTCAGGGCTACCTGATGGGTTTTGGTGGTTGTTTTTGTTTCTGGGTTTTGTTTTGGTTTATTATTTTTTTTTTGAGACAGAGTCTCGCTCTGCACTCTGTCGCCCAGGCTGGAGTGCAGTGGCGTGAACTCAGCTCAATGCAACCTCCGCCTCCCAGGTTCAAGGAATTTTCCTGCCTCTGCCTCCCAAGTAGCTGGGATTACAGGCATGAGCCACTGTGCCCAGCCTCTTTGTTTTGTTGTTTTTGAGACAGGGTCTTGCTCTGGCCCAGGCTGGAGTGCAGTGATGCAATCTCAGCTCACTGAAGCCTCAAACTCCAGGGCTCAAGCAATCCTCCCACTTCAGCCTCCAGAGTAGCTGGAATCACACGCACGCGCCACCACGCTGGGCTAAGTTTTGTATTCTTTGTAGAGATGGGGTTTCGCCATATTGCCCAGGCTGGTCTCAAACTCCTGTAGTCAGGCCATCCTTCTGCCTCAGCCTCCTGAGTAGCTTAAACTACAGGCGTGAGCCACCACACCTGGCTAATTTTTAATTTTTTTGTAGAGACAAGGTCTCACTAGTTGCCTAGGTTGGGTTTTTTTTAAATTTAATTTAATTAATTTTTTTGAGACGGAGTCTCACTCTGTCGCCCAGGCTGGAGTGCAGTGGCACAATCTTGGCTCACTGCAACCTCTGCCTCCCGGGTTCCAGCGATTTTCCTGCCTCGGCCTCCCGATAGCTGGGACTACAGGTGCGCACCACCACGCCGGGCTAATTTACATATTTTTTAGTAGAGATGGGGTTTCACCTTTTTGCTCAGGCTGGTCTCGAACTCCTGACCTTGTGATCCACCTGCCTCGGCCTCCCAAAGTGCTGGGATTACAGGCGTGAGCCACTGCACCTGGCCTTTTTTTTTTTAAATGTAGGCAAAATTCACATAACAAAATTCATCATTTTAACTATTTAAAAGTGTACAATTCAGTTCATTTTAGTATATTCGCAATATTATGTAACCCTCACCTCTGCCTAGTTCTGAAACATTTTCACCGTCTCGAAAGGGAAGGAAACCCCCTCCCGATTAGCAGTCACTCCCCACATCCCACCCAGCCCCTGAGGACCGCCGATCCAAGGTCTCTGTCGATGAATCTGCCTATTTTGCACATCCCGTGTAAATGGACTCACACAGTATATGGTCTTTTGAGACTTGCTTCTGCTGCTGCTGAGCATCATGTGCTGCTTTTTTTTTTTTTTTTCAGATGGAGTCTCGTTCTGTCGCCCAGGCTGGAGTGCAGTGGTGCAATCTCGGCTCACTGCAAGCTCCGCCTCCTGGGTTCACGCCATTCTCCTGCCTCAGCCTCCCGAGTAGCTGGGACTACAGGTGCCCGCTGCCACGCCCGGCTAATTTCTTTTTGTATTTTTAGTAGAGACGGGGTTTCACCGTGTTAACCAGGATGGTCTCGATCTCCTGACCTTGTGATCCGCCCTCCTCGGCCTCCCAAAGTGCTGCAATGACAGGCGTGAGCTACCACACCCGGCCTCATTCTTTTTTATGACTGAATAATATTTAATTATATGGATATAGCACAATTTGTTCACCTGTTCATCAATTATAGGCATTCTGATGATGATAAATAGTGCAACTGTGAACATTTGTGTACAAGTTTCCGTGTGGATAGATGTTTTCAATTCTCCTGGGGCAGAGCCTGGGCGTGGAATTGCTGGGTATGTGGTAAGTCTATGTTTAAGCTTTTGAGGAACTGTCAGACTGTTTCAAAAGTGACTGCGCCATTTTACAGTCCCATCAGCAAAGCACACAGATTCCGGCTCAGGGCTGCCTTTAGACAAGATGGTGCCTGGGCAGGATTTGAACTATAAAACACCTCTCTGGCTGCGGTGGGGACAGTGGCCTTGAAGGGAGCGAGAGTAGTCTTCACGTTGCGGGAGGTCAGCCGGGAAGTACATGGCTCAGATACCAAGTGAGGGCCGGGAAGCACGTGGCTCAGATACCAAGTGGGGGCCAGGTGCGAGTCCCAGGAGGTCAGCCGGAGAGCACGTGGGTCAGACATGAAGTGGGGGGCTGGGCACACCAGGGCCCCATGGGAAAGGCAGGTGTTCCTGCTCCCCCAGTGTCCTCCTGGCTCCCTGGGAAGTCCCTGTGTGTTTTCCTTCCTTAACTGTGCTTATCAGGTGGTCTTTGTTCCAAAGTCATTCGCAAACAAGACACCAACAGTTTCCCACCACGTGGCTCTACTCCTCACACCCTCCACCCGATAAGATGAAATCTGTAGAAGACATTGATCTCCCTTTCTCCCCTCTTCCCACTTTTTTTTTTTTTAATTTTGCCATCTGTGTAGTTCCTTGTAAAATTTTTTTTTTTTTTTTTAAGACAAGGTCTTGCTAAGTTGCCTAGGCTGGTCTCAAACTCCTGGGCTCAAGTGATCCTCCTGCCTTTGCCTCCCAAAGTGCTGGGATTACTGGTGTGAGCCACCGTATCCAGCCTTCCTCACTTCTGATGGGAAGACTTCCACTCCTCACTGCTCCCTGCCTCCAGGTTGTAGTGCTAGCCTACGGACGAATTCCTTGCAGCAGCATTTCCTGTCGAAAATCTGTTTAACACTTACTTTCCCCAGTTCCAGAGAGGTGATCATTATTTATTCTCCACCATATGTTAGCATGCATGCAAGTATACACACACACGCATGCTGTGTGCATGCACACACGAACACATGCACGTACACACACGTGCACATATGCAAACATATACGTACATGATGTGCATGCCCGTGTAGTGTCTGTGCATAAATGCACAAACACATGCAGACACATGCACACATCCATTTCTAACATGTCCATACACTCACAATACACACGTCTGCATGCAAGTGTGCGCAGGTGCCGACTTACACAGAGTGCTGCTTGACATGGTACCCCTCCCCTTCCCCGCCCTGTCTGAGATCTGGGATCTGTTTCATTCGTTGTTCACGAGGAGGCCTTCCTGGCCCCTTCCTGGCTGGGCTCAGGGTGTTAGACTCGGAATCCTCCCACACTCACAGACGCCTTTCTTTGCCCTGCCAGGCAGATGGTGTCTGTGCCAGGCACGAGTCCTGGGAGCCGTCTCAGCTGTCTGAAGATGTTTTTCTGCAGCTTCCGGTTACATGTAAGCCGCTATCTCAGTCTGTTCATGCTGCTGTAACAAAACACCATGGACTAGGTACTTATAAAGAACAGAAATTTATTTCTCACAGTTCTGGGGGCTGGAAAGTCCAAGATGAAGGTGCTGGCATGTTCAGCGTCTGGTCAGGGCCTGGTGTCTCCTCCCGAGATGACAGCTTGTTACAGCATCCTCCAGAGGGGAGGAACATGGTGTCCTCACACAGCAGAGAGACAAAAGGGGAAAAGGGACCAAACTCCCTCCATCAAGCCCTTTCACAAGGCACTGAGCCATTCACGAGGGCGGGGCCTCACGATCCAAGCCCCTCTCCAAAGTGCCCCCTCCACTGACGCACTAGGCAGGTCAGTCTCTAACACACGCTTTTGGGAGGTCACGGGCAGGGGACAGCAGAGTCCCAAGCCAGTCTGATTCTTTCCTTTTGTTGTTGTTGTTTGTTTGTTTTTGAGACACAGTCTCGCTCTTGTTGCCTGGGCTGGAGTGCAGTGGCAGGATCTCTGCTCACTGCAACCTCTGTCTCATGAACTCCAGCAATTCTCTTGCCTGGCCTCCTGGGTAGCTGGGACTACAGGTGCACGTCACTACGCCTGGCTAATGTTTGCATTTTTAGTAGAGACAGGGTTTCACATGCTGGCCAGGCTGGTCTCAAACTCCTGACCTCAGGTGATCCACCCACCTTGGCCTCTCAAAGTGTTGGGATTCCAGGCATAAACCACCGCGCCCAGCCTGATTCTTTCCCTTTGTTAGCAGATTCTTTCTAAATGGGTATCTGTAAACTTTCCTCTTTCTCTGTTTCTATAGTTTGGGTGTTGGTCCCCTTCAAACCTCAGGTTGAAATCTGAGCCCCAGTGTTGGAGGTGTCTGGGTCATGGGGGCAGATTCCTCACGAACAGTTTGGTGCTGTCCTCTTAGTAATGAGTGAGTTTTCACTCCTACTAGTTCCAGCAAGAGGTGCTTTTAAAAACACCTGCACGGCCGGCACGGTGCCTCATGCCTATAATCTCAGCACTTTGGGAGGCTAAGGCGGGCGGATCACGAGGTCAGAAGTTCAAGATCAGCCTGACCAACATGGTGAAACCCCGTCTCTACAAAAATACAAAAATTAGCCGGGCATAGTGGCGCATGCCTCTAATCCCAGCTACTCAGCAGGCTGAGGCAGGAGAATCGCTTGAACCCGGGAGGCGGAGGTTGCAGTGAGCCGGCATTGCGCCACTGCGCTCCAGCCTGGGCAACAGAGCGAGACTCCATCTTAAAAAAAAAAAAAAAGGCCTGTACTTCCCTACTCCTCCAGCTCCCTCTCGCACACGGTCTGCACACACTCCAGCTGCCCTTCACCTTCTGCCATGAGTGGAGGCAGCGGCAGCAAGGCCCTCACTAGAGGCAGACGCCCGATCTTGAACTTTTGAGACCTCAGCATCGTGAGCTGTGTTAGGCTGTGGTTGCCTTGCTATAAAGAAATACTTAGGACTGGGCAATTTTAAAAGAAAAGAGGGCCGGCATGGTAGCTCATGCGTGTGATCCCAGCACTCTGGAAGGCCAAGGTGGATGGATCACTTGAGCTCAGAAGTTTGAGACCAGTCTGGGCCAGTAAGACCCCATGTCTACAAAAAATATGAAAAATTAGCCAGGTATGGTGGCGTGTGCCTGTAGTCCCAGCTACTCAGGAGGGTGAGGTGGGAGGATCACCTGAGCCCAGGAGGCAGAGGTTGCAGTGAGCCGAGATCACGCCACTGCACTCCAGCCTGGGCAACAGAGCGAGACCCTGTGTCAAAATAAATAAATAAATAAATAAATAAATAATGAAAAGAGGTTTACTTGGCTCCTGGTTCTGCAGGCTTTACAGGAGGCATGGTGCTGGCCTCTGCTCAGCTTCTGGGGAGGCCTCCGGAAGCTTCCAATCATGGTGAAAGGCAATGGGGGAGCGGGCACGTCACATGGCCAGAGCAGGAGCGAGCGAGCGAGTGAGCGAGAGAGAGAGGTGCCCCACACTTTTTAAATAACCAGATCTCAGGAGAACTCACTATCTCAAGGACAGCACCAAGGGGATGGTACTAAACATTCCTGAGAAATCCACCCCCATGACCCAGCCACCTCCAGCCTTGGGGTTTACAATTCAACATGAGGTTTAGTGTGGACAAATATACAAATTACCTCATGATTCTTCATAAATTTCCCAGCCTCAGGTGTTTCTTGATAGCAACAGTAAAGGAGCTAAGACACTGTGGCGTTCAGTTGTATCAGGACAGACCTGGGTGTGGGCTGGCCCTCATACGTCCTGCCGGGAGCTCTGGGGGCTTTCCAGTCTGCAGGTCGGGACGTCCTTCTACTCTGAGATGTTCTAGTATCATCAAACCGCCCCACAGACCATGCCTGGAGACTCTGCCTCACACATCCGTTCCCAGCGGTCACCAGCCCCGCATCCCTCCCTCGTCACCGCATCTGTGCGTCTCCTCTGTGACGGAGGCTGTTCCTTGGCAATGACTATCCTCAGCTTCAGCCCCCTGCTGACAGTTTTCTAGCTCAGAACCTGGCCATGTCTGCACCCTCCCTGTCTTCTCGGAAGGGGTGCTGTCATTCCCTGGGCTACACACCTGCTTTGTCCTCCTCTCTCTGACCCCAGGGCTCCAGGGTACCACTGTCCTCTTCCTTTGTCAGTTTGTTGTGGCTGGGGCTGGTGGTGGGGGAGCCACAGCAATCAGCCTGCCTCACCTTGCCCAGCCCGCATGTTCCCAGGGCTCCTGCCATCCCCACTACACCACAGCCCAGTCCGTGTGCACGGGTTATAGAGTCAAGACACAAACACACAAAAGCCAGGCAGACGGGCACAGTACCTGCCGCAGCTGCATGAAGCTTGGGGCACTATGGGTGAGAAGAGCTAGAAATGTTGGGGCCATCAGAGCCCAGGAGGACCAGCCGAGGGAGGAGCAGCTGACAGGTGGGCAGGTGCCCCTAGTCAGGGACAGCAGGACTCCCCAGGAAGAAGGATCACAGCCACCCGTGGGAGAGCTGGACTCTGTTCATCAACAGAAAAGCCGTGAGCGATTCCGCCAACAAGGTCAGTTTTACTAGTCTGGCAGCCCCCCACCCCCGGCTTCTGTAACTCAGAAACTGGGCAGTTCCGACTGCCCATCCCTCATTAGTGACTGATGGTGGTCTGGCCGGCGGCATCTCCTGTCTCCAGGCCCTGCTATGTAATTTCGGGAATGGACGCCCGTCTCCCCGACCTGACCTCCAGCTGTTTGGAGCTGAGGGGTGGAGAGGAAAGACTGGGGGGTGGAGAAAGGCGAGCACCACTGTGGGGCCTGTGGGGGCTGCTTTCCTCTTCTGCAGTGACCTGGACGGGCTGAGGCTGCTGTCTCACTCACACGGCGGTGCCCACACCACAGCCCTGGTATGCTAATGCGTCAAAACACACCTTCACCTGTTTCACATTCTTGAGTTTCAGCGAGGATGCGACAGGTCTCGAGACACATGGACGTGGGACCATGGGGACGGGTTCTTCAAGGTCCCCATGCACCTGCAGCCTGGGGGGGCTTGTCTGAAGGGCTTTCTTCCCAGTGATGGGAATCAAAGGCCCCGATCTTTGAAGCTGGCCATCAGCCTGAACGTCCACTCCTTGTTTCCTTTGCAAGGAGGAACATTCAGATCCAACACAGATAAGAATGTTGACTCCGTCTCCAGGCCGCAGGGACTGGAGGGAGGCAGGTGGTCTGGCCTCATTTTGTGAAAGGTGGTGGCTTTGTCCTCAATCTTCAGGCTGGACATCAGGACCTCCCAGGGCGCGGGCCTGCTCTGTCTCTGGCCTTAGGTGTCAGGAGGTAAGGCCGCAGACGCTGACGTACTGGGATGCCCCAAGCCCGGGAACTGGCAGCCCAGTGAGGGGGTCTCACCTGTGTCCCCTGAGCCTGGCCTGTCACTCTGTCCACGCCTCAGCTACCTGTCCCCTCCTGCAAAGGGCACCGCCTGTCGCGAGGAACTCACCTGGCTTCCTCGACATCTCGGGGGACACACGAAAAGCCCCCGCGAGAGCAGCAGGAGCCTGCACGTGGAAGGGGCTGGCGGCCCGAGGTCCCGGGGTAACAGGAGGGCAGAGGGGCTGGGCACGGCGCAGGGTCGGGAGGAGGCCTGGAGCGCTCGCCCCGCCCGGCCCCGCCCCTGGAGCGCCGCGGCCCCGCCCCGCCGGGTTGCTAGGGGAAGTGACGTCACAGCGCGATGGCGGCGGCTCCTTTAGGCAGCTGAAAGGGGATTTAGGCCCGGAAGATCCGAGTCCATCCGCGGCGGGGAGAGGGCAAGCGGGACCGGTAGGGGCCGGAGCAGCGGCGGCGGCGCTCGGACTGTCCCATCCGCCCCGTATTGAGGCGCTGGGAGCGGCGGGGCGACAGGAAAGCGATGGTGAAAGCGGGGCCGTGAGGGGGGCGGAGCCGGGAGCCGGACCCGCAGTAGCGGCAGCAGCGGCGCCGCCTCCCAGAGTTCAGACCCAGGAAGCGGCCGGGAGGGCAGGAGCGAATCGGGCCGCCGCCGCCATGGAGCTGAGAGTCGGGAACAGGTACCGGCTGGGCCGGAAGATCGGCAGCGGCTCCTTCGGAGACATCTATCTCGGTGAGGCCCCGCCGCCCCCGCCCGCCGCCCGAAGACCCGGGCCCTGCGGCTGCCAAGACCAAGCGCGATCGCGGAAGGAAGTGGTGGCCCCCGCGGGGTCTCCGCGCAAGTCCCGGCACCGCCGGATCGTGGCCAGAACCCAACGGCCACTAGGCTAGCGCGGCCAGGGGTGGGGAGGGCAGTGGGGAGCGGACGTGGGGGAGGGGCAGGACCAGGTCGGGGGAGCAGGGTCTGGAGAGGGGAGGGTTGGGGAAGGAGGGGATAGGGGAGCTGACCCGGGGTGGGGCATGGTCTCTGGGGAGCCGACCTGGGTAGGGGCAGGGTCGTGGGGAGCGGACTCGGGAAGGGCTGGGTGGGGCGTGGGGAGGCGGGCCTGGGGGAGGGGCAGGGCGGGGGTGGGGGCAGCGGGCCGTGGGAGGGGAGGGGGTAGGGCTGGGGCCGCGAAGCGGGCGTCGGCTTCCTCTACGCCTAAGGTCACCGCAGTAAACAAAGGCCACGCTCTTTCTTCCGCAGCCCGGTCCGGGGCTGTCTGGCTGCCCCCTCAGAGGCTGCCCCGGTGTCTTGCATTCGTGGGGGAAAATGTCAGAAAGACCCAAATGCCGTGTGGAGCGGGGGAGTGGCCCGGCTAGGAGTGGGGCTTGCCCTCCCGCTGGGGGTTCTCTCTGAACGGTTCCCCTTGGCCTTGGAGCGGTGACTGAGTGCAAATGAGCAAGGGTTAAGTTTAGGTGAATGTAGAGAAAGTCACACAGGATTAAGATGCTGGCAAGATGAGAGGCAGATGAGGTAGTTGTACTCATGAGGTGTCCTTTAGACTGTAACAGTCTCAAGGTAGATTTCAAAAACAATGGGATTAGAAGGTTTTGGGTTGTGTCATATTTACAATGGAAAAATATGCACGTGAACACAAGTGTGATGAAAGGTTGGCTTAAATCTTCAAGTTTGTAATTTTTTTTTTTTTCCTGAGACGGAGTTTCGCTCTTGTTGCCCAGGTTGGAGTGCAATGGCGTGATCTCGGCTCACCGCAACCTCTGCCTCCCAGGTTCAAGCGATTCTCCTGCCTCAGCCTCCCGAAAAGCTGGGATCACAGGCGTGCGCCACCACGCCTGGCTAATTTCGTATTTTTAGTAGAGACGGGGTTTCTTCATGTTGGTCAAGGCTGGTCTCGAACTCCGGACCTCAAGTGATCCGCCCAGTTCGGCCTCCCGAAGTGCTGGGAAGCCACCGCGCCTGGCCCAAGTTTGTAATTTTAAAGTAACTTAATTTTCCGCACTTGTTAGTGGGATTGTGCAATGCACGAGTTATTCCAAGATCCCCTGAATTTGAGGATATGTAGCCTGAGGCGGTGTGCCTGCAGAGGGGCTGCTGCAGACCTTTGAGGGGAGCTGTTTTCTGTTCCAGCAGCCCTAGCTTTGGGGTGTGTTTTAACTGGGGCACCTGTCAGCTAGGGTCAGGAATCCCCTGGGATGTCAGTAATGCCTCTGGTCATACCTTTTAGATGAAGCCACATGTGGACAGTCTCCAGTTCTCACACCCTTCCCACTTGTCACCAGAGAGAGGACTCAGGACCCGGTGGGCTGACAGCGTTAGGACGAATCCACACATATGGGTGGCTCATACTTTCGGTGCCTGGTTAACCTGCCAGGTGACCCTGTCACATGCCATATTGTTGCTTTTGAACCTGTACATATGCCTTAGTGGACTGCTGAGTAAGCAGGCTTTAGACATTTGGGTTTGGCTATTAAACATTTATACCAGGTGGTCAGCTGGATGTGTTCTTGGCAGTGTTTGGGAAGTCAGAGTGCTTGGTCAATGGAAGTCGTTTGGCTTATTTATAGAACAATGGATTTTGGCGAAAGTTTTAACCCCAGGATCTGAGTTACACTGCAAAGCCAGTCCATTAGCCACCTTTAGGCAGGCATCAAAAAGGAGTATTTTGGGCCGGGTGTGGTGGCTCACGCCTGTAATCCCAGCACTTTGGGAAGCTGAGGTGGGCGGGTCGCTTGAGGTCAGGAGACCAGCCTGGCCAAAGTGGCGAAACCCCATCTCTACTAAAAATACAAAAATTGGCCAGGCGTGGTGGTGGCTGCCTGTAATTCCAGCTACTTGGGAGGCTGAGGCACGAGAATTGCTTGAACCTGGGAGGCGGAGGTTGCAGTGAGCCAAGATCACACCACTGCACTGCAGCCTGGGCGATGGAGTGAGACTCTGTCTCAAAAAATAAATAAATAAGAAGTACTTTGAAACTATCTGTTCTCTGATCTGAGACCTTGTCAAACAACTTTGTGCTTTCCAAAGATAGATTAAGACAAATTTTGGTGTGGTTGTCACCAAGTAATTCCAGAGGTGGAGGGTGGAAGGCTGTCTCCTCACTCAGCATTCTACCCTCCAGGCCTCACCTCGCGCTGGGCATACAGTCATGCTGGATACGGGATTGCGGGCGGCTGTGGCTCTGACACCCTGGGGTTGGAGCCCCCAGACAGCCGTCCCAGACAGCCACCCATCAGGGTACACGTCCAGTTACTTGAGTGGGGTTAGGCACAGCTGATTTTTTTTTTTCCCATCAGCATTGGCTCCTAGCCTACACTGTGGTCCTTTCAGACGACCCCACGGAGGAAAGGCGAGGTGGTCACGTTAGCCGGAGTAAGGCAGTTTGAAAGAAGCGTGGGTCTGAGCAGAATGGCAGTTAGAGTCAAAGATGGCTGATCTGAAGACTATGAGATGGATCGGTCATCCCCACCATAGTTTTGTTTGGGCAGCCAGTTACACATAAATCGAGGAACTAGGTCTTCATCTTGACCTCTGTGTGTCGTGTATATTCTAGTATGAGTATCGTTAAGACCATTCCTACTGTTGTCACTTTGGTATCCTCCAGGTGGGGTTCACCTTGCTTTGAGCTTGGCTTTTGGGTTCTTGTTTTTCTACCGGGGACTTTCTGTGCTTTCAGATGTTTGAGACCAGGAAGGGGGGAAGGCTGTGCTTCAGTGGAGTGCCTGTGGGCTAGAAGCGTGGTGTGGGCCTGCCTGCCCCGACCCTGCTGTGACAGTTGGAGGGCGGGTGCTCACTGCAGGGCCCTGCCAGGTTGTCGTGTTCCAAAATTGCCCCTTCAAAGGGGGCAGTATTTTGGGGCTATTTCTTGAATGCCCAGGCTTTGGAAAGTGGGACCCCAAAAAGAACAATCTGTCTTCAGTCTGAGATTGCCAGATCCGCAAGGCCCTTCAGGAGGGCAGGTTGGGAAGGTGACACAGCCCACACACACCTGTGGAGCGCACACCTTGGCAGCCTGTTGTGTGACCTGGCCCCGGCCCTGTGCCGCCCTCCGCATCCGTGTCCATGTGGTGTGGCCATAAACCAGAAGTTCTTTCACTTATGCTGGCAGAGTACCACTGGAAATAAACTTGGTAACATTTGAAAACAGCCAGTGTCCTTAATGTGGACCATGAGTTCCCAGCCCCAGAACCACAGGGGTGTCTGGCGGAAGAGGACTGTTCAGCTGGGCTAGGCTAGAGGGAGAGGCCTGCTGTGTTCACCCCGCAGGCGGCCCATGCAGAGAGGCAGTGAGAGCCCAGCTGGTCCTGCCTCTGTTCTCACCTGTAGTGTGTTCTGGAGGTTAGTGGCAGGACTGGATTACCTGGCTGGTGGGCTGGACAGATGAATCTGTTGGCATCTGTACTTGATCCCATCGCACCATCAGCTTGTCAGGGCCTCCATTTGTCCACCTGTTACCTGGATGGACTGACTTCATAATGTGCACAAGCATCTTTTGGGAGCTAACTGCTTCATCTCTGAAGCACACGTTTTTCCCCTCACTGACTGATTTCTCAAGAGGCAGCCTGCAGGGTGCCTGGTATGCAATAGGGCCCCAAGATGCTGACCAGCCATGAGAGGAGAGCGACCACCTGTTCTTCCTGTAGCTTCTGGGGTCTCCTCACTGCAGTGTTAGGGCTGTAGCCTCTGTTGACCTTGGACTCTCCTTAACTCAAGCATCTGTAATGAGAAGTCGTGGTACTGCTGACCGCTGCCCTGCGAGTTGACCTTTGTCCTGCTGCTCAAGGCGTCTCCCTGTTTTTTTTGTTGACAAGACAATCCTTAATGGGAGTTGCCAGCATCCAGGCTGGTAATTCAGAATTACCCTCCTGTGCCAGGACAGGGCCACACTCTGGTTAGGTTCGCTTAACTCACCATCTGCTTTTTTTTTTTTTTTTTTTTTTTAAGACAAAGTATCATTCTGTTGCCTAGGCTGGGGTGCAGTGGCGCGATCTCAGCTCACTGCAACCCCTGCCTTCTGGGTTCAAGCAGTTCTTCCGCATCAACCTCCTGAGTAGCTGGGGTTAGAGGCGCACACCAGCATGCCTGGCTAATTTTTTTTGTATTTATAGTAGGGACGGGGTTTCACCATGTGGGCCAGGCTGGTCTCGAATGCCTGACCTCAAGCGATCCATCAGCCTCAGCCTCCCAAAGTGCTGGGATTACAGGCGTGAACCACCACACCCGGCCACCATCTGCTTTTGGCTGCTGAACTTGAGGGACGTAATTTTGTTTTTGTAGGACTAACATTAACTGATACCCAAACACGGACTGAGGAAAGCCCTGTCTCACAGCAGACCAGGATTGTTGAGCTGCAGGGAAGAGTTGAATTTGTTTTGTTGACAGAATGTCTTTTGTATAAACAGACAACCCAGACAACCTGGTGATCTGCGTGTCACCAGGTTTTGGTTTGTTTTGAATCTGACACCCAGGGCTCAGGGTCTTTCAAATTCTCATTCCCCTTCTAGTAGTGCTTCTCGGATTTAACCTGTGGTGAAGAACCAGGCTTGTAATTTTCAACCTGTTGCATGCCAAAACTTGTGTATAAGGTCAAAATGCTGCAGCGATGCCAGATTGCAGCCACAGTTACTGAGCGCCTCTGTGCTGCCTTGTGCACTGATGGCAGCTTGAGGATCTGACTTTCAGCAGCATGGCTGGTAGAGTGTGGGGGTGCCCCCGGTGGGCGAGGTGGGACAGGGCTGCAGGCCAGGGGGTCTGAGCAGTGCTCAGCGACCTTGAGGCAGGTGGTGCCTTTGGAATGCACAGACCTTGGTGTTCTGCTTCTTGATGCTTCTGCCCAGCAGGTGACGAGGTCCCTGCTGCAGGCCCCAGAGAGTTGCCATCCTCACATCTGTGTACAGGACCTGCATCCAGCTACTCCCCTGTAGAGACTCGGGGCGACCTTGGTGTCGGTTCCACAGGAGGGCTGGCTCTGTGTGCTTGCACATCTGTGTGCTTGCACAGCGAGAGGTCCCGGCCCCATGATAGGGTGTGATTCGTGTTGTGTGCCAGAGCGGCTGGTGATGACTTTTGCCCCACGACAGTCAGTGCTGCAGGTGTGACTGGCAGACATTAGCTTTATCAGCTACAGAGAAGTGGAGTGAGAGATGCTAGTCAGCAGACTGTGTGGCCCCAAGCCATCGGCCCCAGGCCATGGGGTCACTGGGCTGCCAGCTGGCGAGGGTGGCGGTACTGTCCGAGGCTGCACTGCGCCTGCTTGGGGGTGCAGGGAGCTGCTGACATAACTAGTGGGATGAGTCACCCTCCCTCCCGGCTGGCGAGTTGAGTTCAGAGTCCAGGTCCTTAGAGGAACTCAGAGTGGTTTTTCATTTACACAGTACATTTTTCGATGAAGTCATTTCTCTTGTAATTGGATAGACTGTCCCAACTGTAGGCAGGAAGAACAAAATTTGTTACCTCGAGTACTCTGAAGAGTCTCTGTTGATAGTAAGTGACGTTCTTAAATCTAGAATGGTCACTGGCGGTGACCCGGTGGTGGCGATTCCTGTGGAACGCAGCAGTGGCAAGGGGTTTGGGGCCCAGGCTGGAAGTGGCACATCTCATGCCGCCATCTGGGCAGACGAGGGGCTTCCTGGGTGTTCAGTGGACGTGTGGATATCAGCAGACTGCTCTAGTGCTCACTTGACCTTACTCTGCTTTTCATCAGGGAACCTTATCTTAAAGAGCAGTAAAAGAAACTGTTAACCCATTCATCTCCACAACTCTCATGAAACAGACGTCAGACCTCACCACTGATCTCCATTGACAAGAGAAACCGAGTCACTAAGAACTAGCCAAGTTGCTTTGCCCAGCACCACAGTCTCTCAGGGAAGGAAGTCTCCCAGGGCTTTGTCTGGGCTGCTGAAGCTAGTGTGAATTCTTTTCCACATAGCCACGCTGTTGGGAAGGATCCAGTGTCCTTTTTTTTTTTTTTTTTTTTTTGAGACGGTGTCTCGCTCTGTCACCCAGGCTGGAGTGCAGTGGCGCGATCTCGGCTCACTGCAAGCTCCGCCTCCCAGGTTCACGCCATTCTCCTGCCTCAGGCTCCCAAGTAGCTGGGACCACAGGTACCCACCACCATGCCCAGCTAATTTTTTGTATTTTTAGTAGAGATGGGGTTTCACCGTGTTAGCCAGGATGGTCTCAATCTCCTGACCTTGTGATCCGCCCGCCTTGGCCTCCCAAAGTGCTGGGATTACAGGCGTGAGCCACCGCGCCCGGCCGATTCCAGTGTCTTATACTCTGAAGGGACTCGTGAGGGAAGAGGAGAGAGCTGGGTATGTACTGTGTGCAGCTTCTTTTTCTCTCCTGTTCGGTTAAAGCTCCTTGGATGCCTCATGCAGTGGATTTGGGGAAGGCTTTGGGCCAGATTCAAACTCAGGAGCATTTGTGGGTGAACCTGAGAGGGATGGTGGTTGTCACATTTGTCATTTATTGGAGTAAAGCAGAGATGGAACATTTCTAGATAAAAAGTGTAATTTTGCCTCCAAACTCATAGTCCGATCGTCATGGTATTAGATGTGTCATTGGTTTTAGCCATAGACTGATGAAAGATGTGTGACCGGTGCGTGTTGGTAGGTGGTACATTTAGGGCGTTGAAAACAGGCGATTCTTCTGGCTTTGTGTCCCCAGGAAGGGAGAAGGGCCTCCCTCCGCCTGGTGGAGGGTGTTTGCCTGCAATAGGTTGGCTAGAGATGACTCCCGCTGCCTGTGATGCCAGGCCTGGGTGGACTGGGACTGTGGCTATTGGGTAAAAACCTAGCCCTTCCTCAGGGGGAAACTCAAACCACCCCCTCGGAGGCCTATCAGGCAGCATGGAGAAAAGGGAATGGCACCGTGGAGCTCTACCACAGGCTGTCTGGGGCGGGCAAGTGCAGGGGCCTTGGGCAGGGCTGATGGGAGGATGCAGACCAGAAGGGCCACTGTGGAGAGGGAGCTGCAGCACCTGAAGACTGGTGGGCGGGTGATGGAAGCCACATAAACTTTCTGTGCAGTTCAAATTCGTCCTGTTGTGAAAATGGGAATATGGATAACTTCCCCCAGAGATGTGTCAGCCGATTAGCCCGCCTTACTATGCTAGGAAGGAGAACACATCCCTCACTTGGTCCTTCATGGAAAACACATAGTGCTTGTTGTTTCTCCAGCATGTTGGGTTATTTGGTGGATACCAGGTAATTCCTGTTGTGGTTTTCTTTCTTTGCCAAGGTACGGACATTGCTGCAGGAGAAGAGGTTGCCATCAAGCTTGAATGTGTCAAAACCAAACACCCTCAGCTCCACATTGAGAGCAAAATCTACAAGATGATGCAGGGAGGAGGTAGGTCTTTACCAGTCACAGAGCAACACCAGGGTTCTGTTTGACAAGGGAGAACAGCAACTCAGCATTGCTGGTTAAAATAAACCCAAAACTGGTTCTGGGCAAAAGGGAGGGAAGTGTTCTCCACACCCTGACAAAGCAGTCACAGCTTCCTTCAGAGAGTCTTGGGTCCAGAGACCCTCCCTCAACACAAAGAAACATCTTATGGGCCGGGCATGGTGGCTCACGCCTGGAATCCCAGCACTTTGGGAGGCCAAGATGGGTGGATCATTTGAGGTCAGTAGTTTGAGACTAGCCTGGCCAACGTAGTGAAACCCCGTCTCTACTAAAAATACAAAAATTAGCCAAGTGTGATGGCGTGCACCTGTAATCCCAGCTGTTTGGGAGGCTGAGGCAGGAGAATCGCCTGAGTCTGGGAGGCAGAGGTTGCGGTGAGCCGAGATCACGCCACTGCACTCCAGCCTGGGCGACAGAGTGAGACCCTGTCCCCCCCAAAAAAAAAAAAAATCTTATACCATCTTGTCCTTTTGTTTAAATTTTGCTTCATATTGGGTCATGGTTTCTGAAATCAAGAGTGTGTGTGAATAGGCCAGACGCAGTGGCTCACACCTGTAATCCCAGCACTTTGGGAGGCCGAGGCAGGCGGATCACGAGGTCAGGAGCTCGAGACCATCCTGGCTAACACAGTGAAACCCCGTCTCTACTAAAAATACAAAAAAAGTTAGCCGTTCGTGGTGGCGGGCGCCTGTAGTCCCAGCTACTTGGGAGGCTGAGGCAGGAGAATGGCGTGAACCCGGGAGGCAGAGCTTGCAGTGAGCCCAGATAGCGCCACTGCAGTCCAGCCTGGATGAAAGAGCGAGACTCCGTCTCAAAAAAAAAAAAAAAAAAGATTTTGTGTGAATTTCAATGCATGCTCCCCGTGGTGTCGTGTGCCCCTCAGTGGTCACTGGAGCTGTTGCCAGTGGCACGTGTGTTGCTCAGTGGGGCCTTCCTGATGTGTGATCCCTGAGTGAGGCCTCTGCTCCTTCGCATGCTTTGCTTATAGCTTGGGGGAAGTCCCTTCATACTCTCTGGGCTCGTTTTCTCCGAGCAAAACAAGGGTTTTGAACTTGGCGACCATCATGACCTCTTCCAGCTCAGTTACTGTCCCAGTTCTGCGAGCCCTCAGCCCAGGGCCTTAGGTACCTGGTGTTCCACGGTGGGCCAGGTGTGGAGCAGAGCGCTCCTGTCCTCCCCTCAGAGTCCAGCTCTTGCGAGTTCCCTGGACTTTCAAACAGTTGGGCTGATGGAGCAGGAGGGTATTCTCTGCGGGGATTTCAGAGCCATGAAGCGTGTGTCTCAACAGCAGAGCTTCGGTCTGGCAGGAGCCCTCTTTGGGAACAGAGCTTTTTGTCTGAAGAGTGGCTGTGCCACGTCTGTGGAGCCCTCCCAGTGAGAAGGCTCCGCGGCACATTTGTAGGTGGATGGTTGGGTGAGTCCCCTTGGGCAACTGGCCAAAGGAAAACCTGTTCAGGGCCTCTGTTAGCCCTTTTGTCACGGGAAAGGGAGGACTGTTGATTTGATTCTTTGACATCTTTTCTCAGCACAAGCACGTAATCTGTGCTACTACAAGAAACCGACGTTTCTAAGTTTATGTGACACAAAATATCTTTGGCAGCACCTGTGGTCCTGGGGAACCCGTTACAGAGAGGGGCACCCAGTGTGTCCCATCACGGGCCTCACGTGACCAGAGGAGGCCACAGGAATGAAAAATCCCATCACCAACCCAGGGAAAGCTCAGCAGAGACTCCGCCCTGGGAGCCTGTCTGGCGGCCCTTGGTGGTGGACTGGCTTCTCAAGGGCCTGGAGCCTGCATTGCCTTGAAGGTGTGACGAGCCAATAGAGCAGGGTGGTGCGGGGTGTGGCCTTGGCCTGCGGGAGCCTGGTGCTGGGGTCAAGTAAAACCTGCAAGCTTAAAAACACCTTAAGTTTTTACGAGAGATGTCTCCAGGAGAACTTGCAAGCCAGGGGTACACAAGGGCAAAGGGAAGAAAGCCAGTCCTTAGAAGCCCGGGATGGTCACTGGGGAAGCCAACCCTGAACCAAAAAGTGCTACGTGGTTCCGGACAGGACTTCTCCACTCGGCACTAGTGCCATTTGTAGTGGTGCGTTCTCTGCATGGTAGATGTTGGCAGCACCCCTGCCCCTAGTTGTGATACTCAAAACTTTCTTCAGACAGTGCTGAAGGCCCCTGGCAGGCAAAGTTGCTTCCCCTGTGGCCGCTGGCTTAAGAGAGTAAAGAAGCCTGCACCTTCATGTTCCTGCCCATGGCACCTTCTCTAGGATCCTGGAAACCAAATAGGATTTCAGAAATGGTTTTTCTCCCATTTGGGCTTCGAGCGCATTGCCATGTCCCTGACCATTCCAAAATGTAGGTCAGGTCTTCTGTGTTAAATGCACAGACACCTGGTGGATACTGTCAAGGTTTTGGTTTTTGTTTTTGTTTTTTGTTTTTTGTTTTTGTTTGGAGACAGAGTCTCACTCCGTTGCCCAGGATGGAGTGCAATGGCGCAATCTTGGCCCACTGCAACCTCCGCCTCCTGGGTTCAGGCCATTCTCCTGCCTCAGCCTCTGGAGTAGCTGGGATTACAGGCATGAGCCACCCTGCCTGGCTAATTTTTGTATTTTTAGTAGAGATAGGGCTTCACCACGTTGGCCAGGCTGGTTTTGAACTCCTGATCTCAGGCGATCTGCCCACCTTGGCCTCCCAAAGTGCTGGGATTATAGGCGTGAGCCATCGCGCCCGTCAGATACTGTAAAGATCTAAAGATCTGCATTTTAGAAAACAAATGATGTCCGAGAAGGCAAAAGGCCTAATTCTGGTGGTGGTTCTTGAATTCACTTTGAGACTAAACCGGGGAGTTGACAAATAATGGGAAGAAATTGTTTCATCCAGAAGCCACCAGATCTTGCCACTGCCATTCTTGTGCAGTGTCTGCTATGGATGATGCAGATTGTCCCCTTGTGCAGATTGTCCTGTTATGGGTGGTACAGATTGTCCCCTTGTGCAGTGTTTGCTGTGGGTGGTCCAGATTGTCCTGCTATCTCTGAAAAAAAGGGCAGCAAGCACCACTCATTGCGGTTTTCCTTCCTTTCACGTGAAAGTCAAGTGGTGGTGCCAGGTTCTGATCTTTACGTTTGCTTGATGGATGCTGCCTTCCAGGAGAAAGCTCCACAGCGAGTGCATTCTGTTCTCTGCAGCTTGGGAAGAATGAGCCTTAAAAACACACTGGTCACTGCCCATAGCAGCCCTGGGCAGTGGGTACTGAGCTCTTCAGCCTTATGTTGCAAATGAGGAAACTGGGTTTAGAAGGCTGTGTAACTTCACAGAGGACAGACTTGAACTTGGGCATTCTAGCCCCCCAGGCTACTGCTGAAGCAGCTGTCTGCTCCCAGAGAAGGAAATGGCGGCCACCCTACGTGGCCTTCAGCTGTCAGGAATGTGCCCCAGATGCTCCCACCTGTCCCAAATCTGGTTGGGACAATAGATTCAATACCTGAAATAGTAGAAAGAAACTAAAAGTAGCTATGTTGGTGGAAGATTTGGATAGACACCTAGTTTTTATGAAAACCTACTGGACTGGTGGGCAAAACCTGGGGACAGTTGTAACTGCTCTTTCCAATCCTAACATCCCCCAAAAGCAGCCTTAGCTCACTCCCTCCTTGGGGAACCCCTCAGCAAAGGACATTTACTTAGTTCACAGCTGCTTTTCGTCAAGGCTGAGATGGTAGGCATGGTTTGAGGGAGGGAAGAGGGGAGTACGTGTGTAGAACCCGGGCCAGTGGGTGACGGTTCTGTGGCTGAGGGTGGGCGACTGTCTTCCATCATCTTTTTCTTGTGAAATATTGTACAACACCAAAGAATGTATGTAACATGTACGGTATCGAGGACATTAAAATCAACAACCAGGACCCTGCCCTGCCCACCTGAGAGGGAACACTCCCTGTGGAGCCCATTCGCCCGCCCAGCCCCATGTCTGTGCCAGGACCTTGCTCACCTGTTTGTAAGTTTTTGTTGCTTTGTCATCCTACAAGAAACTTTTTTCAAAATCCAAATAATGAAATTATCTAGAAACATTTTAGTTATATAAATCATTTTAGGGTTCAACTGCTGAAAACTTCATGAAAATTTCTATTTGCATTAATGCTCAGTCCCCACATTTATATTGAAACTTTTCACAGATGAGAGTGGAGCATGTCTTCATGTATCTGGCCTTGTCCACCCGATTTTTATCCCCACGCATATGTTTAGCTACCTTCGGGCACCATGAGGGAAAAGTGTTGAGACTACAAATAGCAGCATGAGTGGCCGCTTCCCACCGTGACAGCACCTGGGCAGGGCAGCAGGGTGGCCCTGGATGACTAGCACACTTGGGCGCAGGCAGCCTTGGTTCTCTTTTCAAACCCATTGGCTTCACTTGTTCCTGCAAAATCACCAGTAGCAGTAAGTCCATAGAGCACAAGTGCATTGAGAGGCAAGAGCATGTTGCTTTTACTGTATTTTATTCATTCTCTAATGCCATGGATGACGGGGTACATTGTTACTTACAGCTAACAAAAGGGGTGATTTCTGCTGAGACATTTGGGGGGTAGGGAGGAAAAAGAAACAGGCCAGGTGCAGTGGCTTACATCTGTAGTCTCAGCTACTCTGGAGGCTGAGGCAGGAGGATGGCTAGAGTTCGGGAGGTTAAGGCTGCAGGGAGCTGTGATGGTGCCACTGCCCTCCAGCCTGGGTGACAGCAGGACCCCTGTTAAAGAAAGATGGTGTCAGTAAATACATCATCAGTCACATCAGTCGGTACACCATCAGTCAGTACACCATCAGTCACATCACTCAGTAGACCATCAGTCTCATCACTCAGTACACCATCAGTCACATCAGTCAGTATACCATCAGTCACATCAGTCGGTACACCGTCAGTCAGTACACCATCAGTCACATCAGTCAGTACACCATCAGTCACATCAGTCAGTACACCATCAGTCACATCAGTCAGTACACCATCAGTCACGTCACTCAGTACACCATCAGTCACGTCACTCAGTACACCATCAGTCAGTACACCATCAGTCCCATCACTCAGTACACCATCAGTCACATCACTCAGTACACCATCAGTCACATCACTCAGTACACCATCAGTCACATCAGTCAGTACACCATCAGTCACATCACTCAGTACACCATCAGTCAGTACACCATCAGTCACATCACTCAGTACACCATCAGTCACATCACTCAGTACACCATCAGTCAGTACACCATCAGTCACATCAGTCCGTACACCATCAGTCACATCAGTCAGTACACCATCAGTCACATCACTCAGTACACCATCAGTCAATACACTATCAGTCGCATCACTCAGTACACCATCAGTCACATCACTCGGTATACCATCAGTCACATCACTCAGTACACCATCAGTCACATCAGTCAGTACACCATCAGTCACCACTCAGTACACCATCAGTCACATCAGTCAGTACACCATCAGTCACATCACTCAGTACACCATCAGTCACATCAGTCAGTACACCATCAGTCATATCAGTCAGTACACCAGTACACCATCAGTCACATCAGTCAGTACACCATCAGTCACATCAGTCAGTACACCATCAGTCAGTACACCATCAGTCACATCACTCAGTACACCATCAGTCACATCAGTCAGTACACCATCAGTCATATCAGTCAGTACACCATCAGTCAGTACACCATCAGTCACATCACTCAGTACACCATCAGTTCAGATGGATCAGGAGTCCATGCCACATAGTCTTTTGAATACATGAAAGTTTTAGTGTTACGCGATGCAGTCTGTATTCTGTACCTTTCTTTGACCCAGAGTATTCCTGAGATTCTTCCCCATCGATTGCAGCTCTAGGTAATTGATTTTCATTGTTTGATCATCTACATAGCTGTATACAGTAGCTTCGTCTGACTCATACTGCGTTGAGCCCTGGGGAGCTTCTAGCATTTGCTGTTAGGGACAGTGCTTTTGTGCACATCTTGTCCATGTGTCTGGGGCACACATGCCAGCACCTACGTGTGAAGTTGCAGTGGCTGTTGCTTGGTACGTGCAAATGTCCAGTTCTGCAGGATAACGCAGACGTCTGCATATTGATACATATCGATTTTTCCAAGGTGGTTATGTAGATTTCCATTCCCCCCTGCAGTGCAGCCAAGTTTTGTGTAACCCACATCATCCTCAGCCTCACAACACTGTTTTCAGCAGGGCAGAGGGTGAAAAAGGCAGAAATAAAACTGCTGTTACTGGCATGTGATGTGATGTAATTTCCTAAATAGGGATCTCAGAACAGATTAGAGAGTTGAGCAAATTTAAGATCAAAATATAAAATCAATTCATTTTGTTAAACCAACAATTTAATTGGTTACAAAATGTAATTTAAAACATAATGCTTACAGTAGCAAAAAGGTATCTGGGGTAAATTTTAAGACAGATAAGATCTGCATGCAGAAAATATATAAACTTTATTGAAGGACATTTAAGGAAGATTTGCTTAATTCTCCTCTATGTTCAGAGAAAGGAAGATGCCAGGTGTCAGGTCTCCCAAAGTTGCTCTTAACATTCAATGACGTTCCCATCGACATCCAGCCACTTCTCTTTCCTGACAAGGTGACTAGAATTCACTGAGAAGAGTGCAAGTCCAGGATTAATTAAAACACTTGTGAAGAAGAGGGCCATTTGCCCTGCAAACACCAGCACTTACTATAAAGCTGTCGTGATGATACTTTGTGTGGTTCTGGCCACGAGAAGGGCTTAGAAGGAGGACAGCCTAGAACACTGAGCACACCGGGCCTCAGGGGTTTCTAAGTATTTATCATTCTCTGTTAAGAGGAGTCCTGAGTGCTTGGAGAAGCAGCTGATTCCAGGGCTGGGGCAGAAAGAAAGAAGGTGAATCTGGAACACATGGCAGGCATTTGTTATGAGGTACGGGAAAAAGTTTGAAAGGTGATCTGTTGCCTAAATTTGGGACAGTGAAAACTCCAAAATGAGTATTAAGAAGAAGGAACTGTGACTCATTGGAGTGGAGAAAGGGAATTTGGGAATCCGTAATGCTGCATCTAGAGAGAGAAAAGAATTCACAAATCCGTAATAAGGTTGAGTATCTGAAACACCCAAAGTCGGGAACTTTATGAGTGCTAACATGATGCTCAAAGGAGATGCTAATGGGGGCAGTTTGGATTTTCAGATTAGGGATGCTCGACTGTGACGCAGAATGCAACTATTCCCAAATCTGAAAGTAGATGTGTATTTGCATATATATAATATATATATATACACATATGTTCAGGTTTATATATACATTTATGTTTTTTATATAAATATATACATATATATAAAAGACCGAAACATAAATACACATATATATGTATATGCCTCATGCCTTTAACTTTTTTTTTTTTTTTTTTTGAGACGGTCTCATTCTGTCACCCAGGCTGGAGTGCAGTGGTGCAATCACGGCTCACTGCAGTCTCGACTTCCTGGGCCTAAGCCATCCTCCCACCTTAGCCTCCCGAGTAGCTGGGACTGTAGACACACAGCACCATGCCTAGCTAATTTTTAAAATTTTTTTGTAGAGACGGGGGTCTCAGTATGTTTTCTTTCTGGTCTCAAACTTGGACTTAAGTGATCCTCCCACTTCCACCTCCAACGTGCTGGAATTATAGGCCTGAGCCTGGCCAGTTAAAAAACTTTTCGACGGTGGAATACAGTCGAAATCTGTAGTAACGTTTCATGGCTTTCCCTGCTGATGTGAACATCCGGGTCTGTTCAGTTAACCTCTTACTCCAGGTTTGTTTTCCACTTTGGATGCCGGACATTGAGAATGTCACGCATGCTGTGCTCTTCCACATTCTGCAGGCTCCTCCTCAGCTCTCTTCTGGGATGAGGTTGGGTTCCATGGATCTGTTCAGTCTGGCGTTTGTGCTTATGCTCCCAGCAGTGCAGGGGGCAGCCCAGGGCGCCCTCTCACGGCTCCTTCCCGCCCTCAGGCACAGCTGTCACTGGCTGGCACGGCTGTCAGTCATTGGCCGGGCCCAGTGTTGTGGAAACCACCCTGTGATGTGTGAGGGTGTGTGTTTTGTTCTTTCCCTTAGTTACTTAAGGTGTGAGGGCGAATCAGGCCCCTATTACTGTTTTTGTTAGAAGTAGAAGTAACTTTAACACTTTAAAAAAAAACAATAGCATCTCTTTTTGACGCTGAGGGCAGAAACTATTTTTTTAATGTAAGATACTGAAAGCACTCATAAAGCAAAAGATTAAGGCATTCATATTCATGAAAAGTCTTTTCATCAAGAAACTCCAGAAGAAAATAAAAAACATGCCATTAACTGAGAGATACTTGCCTCACAAAAAACCTGCAGTGGTTTAGTATCTAGAAGTTATAAAGAACTACTATGAATAGGAAAAAGATACCATGATAGAAAAACTTAGCCAAAAAAAAAAATACATGCCTTCAGAGGAGAGGCGATACATGTGGCCAGTAAAATGAGCTGGGCATGGTGGCGCCCACCTGTAGTCCTACCTACTCAGGAGGCTGAGGCAGGAGAATTGCTTGAATCCAGGAGGCGGAGGTTGCCGTGAGCCGAGATGGTGCCACTGCACTCCAGCCTGGGTGACAGCGAGACCTCGTCTCAAAACAATAAAATAATGAAACAATTTTTTAAATGAATTGAATTTCCCTAGTGGTACCAAAACTTGCTTTAAGACTAAACTAAAAATCTGTCTTGCCATGGAAGGACATAAAAGGTTTATCCAGGCCGTTCACAAGCCGTATGTGTGTAGAGCCATGTGTATAGTTGCGGATCCAGTGCTGTGAAAACATACCGAAGAGACATGTTCTTGTGGATATGAGAAAAAAAAATAGGACCAAAGGACGTATTTTGGGGGTGGCATTTTGAGAAACCCACCTGTTGCTGCAGCATTTGAATTTGACTGTGGCGTGAGGCTGCGGTGCACATTCCTGTGCATGTTTTTACCAGCATGTGTTTTCCATCTCTCTGAGAATCTTCTTGTGGTCGTTGACTTTTCATACGTAACGTCTTGGGTGAAGTGTCCAGGTCTTTCACCCATTTTTTCTAAAATGGATTTTTTTTTTTTTTTTTGACAGGGTCTTGCTCTGTGGCCCAGGCTGGAGCACAGTGGTGCCATCACGGCTCACTGCAGCCTCCATTTCCTGGGCTCAAGTGATCCTCTTGCCTCAGCCTCCCAAGTAGCTGGGACCACAGAAGCGTGCCACCACACCCACCTAATTTCCAGAATTTTTTGTAGAGACAAGGGTCTCCCTTTGTTATCCAGGCTGGTCTCGAACTTCTGAGCTCAAGCAGTCCTCCCGTTTCAGCCTCCCAAAGTGCTAGGATTACAGGCATGAGCCACTGCACCTGGCCCGTGTGCCTTTATAGTGTTGATTATGCCTTCAGCACTGATACTATGCAGCCATCTTTAAATTCTTCCTGTTGGATTTATTGTGTCTTTATTTTCACTTCCCTGATTTGTATATTTCAATCCTGGGTTACTGTGTAAATCCCCAAAAAGTTTTCATTGCTTTTGCTTTTCTCTTATCCAGTCAAATACTTCTACCAACATCGGAGTAATTGAACATATTTTCTTCTCTCACCTAACCCACGGTAGCTGCTTTCTCTCCTCCCATCTCCTGTGTGACGTTTCTGGCGGGCTCTGCTGCTCCTTTATGCCTGAGCTCTTTTCTTTCCCACATCGTGGCTGCTTTCTGTGTCTCCTGCCCCCCTGCCCTAGAAGACGGGAGTCGGGGAGGTGGGGCTTCGATCCCCTCCTTGTCCCCCTTACAGCTCCTGTCTGCTTGGCCCTCATCCAACGTCTGCCTCAGGCCATTTGCTAATAGATGGGGCCTAATCTCGAGGATGGGTCCCTGAGGAGCGGCGTTGCCGGGGTCTTCTACCTCCACCACCCCTCCCCCGTTCAGGATTGTCACCATGACCCCTTGGTGTGCACAGTGCAGACTTAGTGTGGAGCTGAGGCAGGGCCTGGACTGAAACACTGTGTCTGATTTCCTTGCCTAGTGGGCATCCCCACCATCAGATGGTGCGGGGCAGAGGGGGACTACAACGTCATGGTGATGGAGCTGCTGGGGCCAAGCCTGGAGGACCTCTTCAACTTCTGCTCCAGGAAATTCAGCCTCAAAACCGTCCTGCTGCTTGCTGACCAAATGGTAAGGACTGTTTCCTGACAGTTGGCACACACTTGCTGTCTGATAGAATCAGCCACTCGCTTGTGCTGTTCTTGCCATTATTATGGCCATTAATTCACAGAGGAAATGGAAATTTGCTGAGCCTCAGCCTTGAGGCTGCAGTGGCTCAGCTCACTGGCTTCTCGAGGCTCCGGTGGCTCCGCTCACTGGCTTCTCGAGGCTCCGGCGGCCCAGCTCACTGGCTTCTCGAGGCTCCGGCGGCCCAGCTCACTGGCTTCTCGAGGCTCCGGCGGCCCAGCTCACTGGCTTCTGGAGGCTCCGACGGCTCAGCTCACTGGCTTCTCGAGGCTCCGGCGGCCCAGCTCACTGGCTTCTCGAGGCTCCGGCGGCTCAGCTCACTGGCTTCTCGAGGCTCCGACGGCTCAGCTCACTGGCTTCTCGAGGCTCCGGCGGCTCAGCTGACTGGCTTCTGGAGGCTCCGGCGGCTCAGCTCACTGGCTTGTCGAGGCTCCGATGGCTCAGCTCACTGGCTTCTGGAGGCCCCGGCGGCTCAGCTGACTGGCTTCTCGAGGCCCCCGGCGGCTCAGCACACTGGCTTCTCGAGGCCCCGGCGGCTCAGCTGACTGGCTTCTCGAGGCCCCGGCGGCTCAGCTGACTGGCTTCTCGAGGCTCCGGTGGCTCACCGCACTGGCTTCTCGAGGCTCCGGCGGCTCAGCTCACTGGCTTCTCGAGGCTCCGGCGGCTCAGCTCACTGGCGTCTCGAGGCTCCGGCGGCTCAGCTGACTGGCTTCTGGAGGCTCCGGCGGCTCAGCTCACTGGCTTCTCGAGGCTCCGGCGGCTCAGCTCACTGGCTTCTCGAGGCTCCGGCGGCTCAGCTCACTGGCGTCTCGAGGCTCCGGCGGCTCAGCTGACTGGCTTCTGGAGGCTCCGGCGGCTCAGCTCACTGGCTTCTCGAGGCTCCGGCGGCTCAGCGCACTGGCTTCTCCAGGCTCCGGCGGCTCAGCTGACTGGCTTCTCGAGGCTCCGGCGGCTCAGCTGACTGGCTTCTCGAGGCCCCGGCGGCTCAGCTGACTGGCTTCTCGAGGCCCCGGCGGCTCAGCGCACTGGCTTCTCGAGGCCCCGGCGGCTCAGCTGACTGGCTTCTCGAGGCTCCGGCGGCTCAGCGCACTGCACTGGCTTCTCGAGGCTCCGGCGGCTCAGCGCACTGCACTGGCTTCTCGAGGCTCCGGCGGCTCAGCTCACTGGCTTCACAAGGCTCCGGCGGCTCAGCTCACTGGCTTCTCGAGGCTCCGGCGGCTCAGCTCACTGGCTTCTCGAGGCTCCGACGGCTCAGCTCACTGGCGTCTCGAGGCTCCGGCGGCTCAGCTCACTGGCTTCACGAGGCTCCGGCGGCTCAGCTGACTGGCTTCTCGAGGCTCCGGCGGCTCAGCTGACTGGCTTCTCGAGGCTCCGGCGGCTCAGCTCACTGGCTTCTGGAGGCTCCGGCGGCTCAGCTCACTGGCTTCTCGAGGCTCCGGCGGCTCAGCTCACTGGCTTCTCGAGGCTCCGGCGGCTCAGCTCACTGGCTTCACGAGGCTCCGGCGGCTCAGCTGACTGGCTTCTCGAGGCTCCGGCGGCTCAGCTCACTGGCTTCTCGAGGCTCCGGCGGCTCAGCTCACTGGCTTCTCGAGGCTCCGGCGGCTCAGTTCACTGGCTTCTCGAGGCTTCTGGAGGCTTCGGTGGCTCAGCTCACTGGCTTCTCGAGGCTCTGGTGGCTCAGCTCACTGGCTTGGAGGCCACCTTCTCGGTACCAGCATAGCACGTTTCCATTCAGTGGGTTCCTCAGTCTCTCAGGAACACACGTGATTCCTAAGCACCTCCGTGCAGTTTCTCTGCTAATCCTGGTGTGTAGTCTGTGCAGAGAACAGTGCTGGGAGAGACCGATGTCTAGTGGCGGGTTGTCCCCTCTCTGTCGCCTCACCTCTCTGTTTTGTGGGAGCTGAAGGCAAAGCGCCTAGGCCTGTGGAGGGTGGAGTGTGGAGGGTTGCTGCAGGCACCTGGGGGAACAATTTGGTCAGTTCGGCATCCCCCTCGCTAATTGTTAAACTACCCTGCTGTGGCTGAGGGGCAGGAACAATGCAGCCACTGATGTAGTGTCCCACAGTTGAGCGGTCCCTCCCTGAGACTGCCCTGGGGTGCCATCTCGCGCCCTTGCTCTGCTCACAGATCAGTCGCATCGAATACATTCATTCAAAGAACTTCATCCACCGGGATGTGAAGCCAGACAACTTCCTCATGGGCCTGGGGAAGAAGGGCAACCTGGTGTACATCATCGACTTCGGGCTGGCCAAGAAGTACCGGGATGCACGCACCCACCAGCACATCCCCTATCGTGAGAACAAGAACCTCACGGGGACGGCGCGGTACGCCTCCATCAACACGCACCTTGGAATTGGTGAGCCCCTGGGCATGGGGTCACTGACCTGGGGTGCCTTTGGGCGCGTCCATGCCTCAGCCCAGGGAGAGGCCAGCCTCTCGGGGAGCTGGGGCTGCAAGCGTGTCATCAGACCTTTGCGGCAGACAGGCTGGCTCGTGACTGCCAGGTGTATGGGGGCAGGCGGATGCTGGGACATTTCTGAGTCACCTGTGATGTGTTTGGGAATTTCCTTAGTATGCATGAGGGGCAGCTCTGGGTGAGAGTGATCTGGGCATGTGTGTCCGAGGTTCGTCTCCACTGGAAGTGCCAGCTGGAGTGATCTGGGCATGTGTGTCTGAGGCTAGTCTCCACTGGAACGGCCAGCCGGGTCTTTTGCTTTGACGTGAGCACGCAAGTGCCGTTCTTCACGCCTTTCCCTTTTCTTTTCAGAACAATCCCGAAGAGATGACTTGGAGTCTCTGGGCTACGTGCTAATGTACTTCAACCTGGGCTCTCTCCCCTGGCAGGGGCTGAAGGCTGCCACCAAGAGACAGAAATACGAAAGGATTAGCGAGAAGAAAATGTCCACCCCCATCGAAGTGTTGTGTAAAGGCTACCCTTGTAAGTCTCTGGAGGCCTCTTCTCAGCGGAGCTGCTCACAGGGGTTGCATATGTGTCGGGTGTGCCGAGACGGCTCAGTCTGGGTTTTGTCAGAAGAGTTGCTCACCTTCCAAAGGGGTGGTGGCAGGAAAGCGGGGCGCTTTTGTGTATGGAGGTAACAGCCTGCCCTCCTGTTCATCTTGACTTACTTGCCAAGTGCCCATCAGCGTGGGGAGTACTTGGAGGCCCTGGAGAGATGGCAGGCAAGGCAGGCCCGAGCCTCAGGGCCCCAAGTGGCTGGAAAGGGATGGACAGGCAGTGGTGGGGCCTCTCTCTGCAGTGGCTGCCCTCTCTGGCCCCCTCCAGGAGCTCGGGAGATTTCCTTTGCATTTGTAGGATTGCCCCAGGATACACACCTCAAATGAAACTAAATTGTGCTTTATGACTTCTTTTTTTTTTTTAAGACACAGTCTCACTCTGTCGCCAAGGCTAGAGTGCAGTGGCGTGATCTCGGCTCACTGCAAGCTCCGCCTCCCGGGTTCATACCATTCTCCTGCGTCAGCCTCCCCGGTAGCTGGGACTACAGGCGCCCGCCACCACGCTCTAGAACTTTTTTTTTTTTTTTTTCAGTAGAGATGGGGTTTCACTGTGTTAGCCAGGATGGTCTTGATCTCCTGACCTCGTGATCCGCCCTCCTCAGCCTCCTAGAGTGCTGGGGTGACAGGCGTGAGCCGCCGCACCCGGCCGTGACTTGAATACTTTTCGATGCTTTCTCAAGGCTTCAGGTCTTAGAAATCTGACAGGTGTTTTGCATCTGTCCTTCTCCCCTTGAGTGTGCAGCAGCAGGAGGTAGACAGCGACGTTGGCAGAGACACCTTGAGTCGCAGTTGGGTTTCATGAGTTAGCTTTGAGTTTCTTGTTTTGTAGCCGAATTTGCCACATACCTGAATTTCTGCCGTTCCTTGCGTTTTGACGACAAGCCTGACTACTCGTACCTGCGGCAGCTTTTCCGGAATCTGTTCCATCGCCAGGGCTTCTCCTATGACTACGTGTTCGACTGGAACATGCTCAAATTTGTAAGTCGCACTGCCAGCACGTTCGCTGAGTGTGGTGTGCGGGGGATGGCTTGTCAGTGAGAGGCCGGCGGCCGTCTTGTTGAGGGGCTGTACCATATAGGGAGTGTCTCTGGTTGTGAAGGGCAAGTGTGTAGTGGGCAGGACCTGGACTGAGTGGGTGTCTGCCTGCCAGAAAGGGGTGCCAAGAAGTAAGACGCCATTAGGGAACGCAGAGGGGTCCATGGAATTCCTGGGTGTGGACAGCAGGAGGCCCCTTCCCTCCCTGTCACCAAGCGGAGCTAGGGCCCAGAGCATGCCCTGGGGGCAGAGGGTGGGGGCTGGGGGTGCGCATTCCCATTCGCTGTGCCACATGGTCGTGGTGCCCACGAGATGAGTGGGGTTGGGGCCTGGTGAGGTGCTACCCGTCTAGCCTGACTGACCCTGTCATGAGCTGATTTTCCCTGTGGCTTTCTTGATGCGGTGTGAGTATGCAGTGGAGCCTCTAAAACAGGCAGCCCAGCCCTGGGTCCATGTCTGAGCTGAATTACTTTTCAGACACCGCTGTCAGAAATGAAGCTCCTGTGGAACTGTTGTGTTCCTTCATTAAAAACTTACTGTTTTGTTGTCAGTTTTAAATAGAATTTGGAGCTTTTCCAGGCAGCAGTCTGATGGAGGAGCAGAACTGCCTCTTGGGAGGGTACAAAAACGGCAGCCTTGTCCAGTAGTCGTGCAGGGGCCAGGGAGGGGCGGGGTCTCCAGATGCTGGGAGGGGTGCACTCTGTTCATCTTGACTTACTTGCCAAGTGCCCATCAGCGTGGGGAGTACTTGGAGGCCCCGGAGAGATGGCAGGCGAGGCAGGCCCGAGCCTCGGGGCCCAGGTGCCGGGAGGGGTGCACTCGGCAGGGCAGATCAGTCCCTCTGCCGGGGCTGTGCTGCCTCGGGAGGAATCAGAGCGACCCTCCTGCGGCATTAGAGTCACCCGGCCCTCAGAGCAGGCTAGGCCAGCGTTTTCCGTAAATGGCAGCATGAGGAGTCTGGGCGGTGCTGGCCGCACGGTGCTGCAGCCGCAGGTGTGTCGGTCTGTGTGTTGCCTGGTGAACGTGGCTGTGTCCAATGAGCTGTACTTGCAGGAAGAAGTGGCACCTGGGTTTGGCCCCGGGGCTGTAGTTTGCAGGCCCCTGCCGCACAGCATTGGCAGTTAGAATCTGCTTTTTCATAGGTTGCTGTCTCGGCTTAAAATCTGACCTCCCCACCCCCGTGCATCTGGATAGTGCAGCACAGATCCGGCTGCCGGCTGCTGGCCACGCCACCACACCTGCACAGGCTGTTGGAGGCTGCAGGGTCCGGACCCTGAGTGTACTCCTCGTCCGACCAAACGCTCTCATCCCCACCCCGCTTTCCTCCCCAGCTGTCACCATTTGGGGCCTGTCTTTGGCCTCCGATGGTTCCTGTCCCTCTCCTCTTTCTGCACGTGTTAGTGAGCATGTTCACAGAGCAGCAGGGGGTAGCTGCTGCCCATTTGGAAGTTTAAGGAAGTTCTGAGCCCACAGGGAGATGCCATGGCGAGTGGGGTTTTTTCGATTGTTGGGGGAGCTGAGAGGCCTGGCTCTGACCCCTTGTGGGGATGATGCTGTCATCCCATGAGGAGAAACGTGCAGCCTGTGGGGGGCTTTGCAGGCAGTCTCGTCCCAGTGCCCTTTGGTAGGTATTTTCTCACGTGGCCGGGGCAGCCTAGGACCTAGGGTTGCTTTCTGCCAAAGCTGGTTCCATTCCGGCCTCACCTCCTGCCTCCTCAGGGTGCCAGCCGGGCCGCCGATGACGCCGAGCGGGAGCGCAGGGACCGAGAGGAGCGGCTGAGACACTCGCGGAACCCGGCTACCCGCGGCCTCCCTTCCACAGCCTCCGGCCGCCTGCGGGGGACGCAGGAAGTGGCTCCCCCCACACCCCTCACCCCTACCTCACACACGGGTGAGTGCCCCCCTCCCAGCGCTCTGGGGCTGGCTCTGGGGTGACTTCTTGTGTCTTGGGGTTGGTGGGGACAACAGGGTACTTGGTGGTGGACACTAAGTGCCCTGTGTCAGGCGATGCTCGCTCCTGAGGGTGGATGAGCCAGGCTGCCCAGGCGCCTTTAGAAATGCCGGCACCTGCTGGTGTGCGTGATTCCTCCCGCATCTCACGTTCCTCCCCTGTGAGCCCCTTGACCTCGCTCCCATGTCCCTTTGTGTCCCTCCGGCCGGATCTGAGTGTTGGTGGCCATCGGCCACAGCCAGGTCCTGACTGTCCAGGCAGCCCAGGGTCCTCTCTGGCCACAGCCTCTCATAGAAAGCCCCGAGTGAGAGGCAGCAGACGGGGGCGGCCCACTCCGTTTCTCTCCCTGTCCTCAGCTAACACCTCCCCCCGGCCCGTCTCCGGCATGGAGAGAGAGCGGAAAGTGAGTATGCGGCTGCACCGCGGGGCCCCCGTCAACATCTCCTCGTCCGACCTCACAGGCCGACAAGATACCTCTCGCATGTCCACCTCACAGGTAGGTGCAGAGCTCCCGGGCGGGCGCTGGGCCTCGGGCTACCCCGTCCGAGTCAAGAGCGGGCTGTGGTTTCTCCAGGGCTTCTTCTTTCCTTTCTTCCCCCCATTTTTGAGAGTTTTTAATCTCGCCAGGGTGTGGCGTCTTGGTTGCAGATGAGGCTTCTCGGGAGGGCCTGGGAGACATGCTGGGCCGTCATGGGGCTTGTCTCCTGGTTGCAGGTGGCCAGTCTCAGGTCTCAGGTCCCTGAGGCCAGCAAACCGTGGGGGCTTTCTCCTGCTGTTTGAGTGCCCCGCTGCCCGCAGCCGTCCCCAGGCAGCTGACACCGCTCGCCTGCTTGCGCCCCATTGTGGGTGCCCCCAGCCCGAGGGAGCCTTCCTCATTCTTCCTCATTCTTGCCACTGGCCAGGGATGGAGGCCCGTAGGGACCTCCACGGGCTTCTTGTGAGACCCTCCCTGGTGGCATGCCCTGCAACGAGGCTTTCCTTCTTTTGACGGCCTCACCTGTCTTCCCTTGGACGAGAAGTACCCTGTTGCGCAGCCCAGGCCTAGCCACGGCCACCGCCTCTTCAGCATCCTGCAGCGGTCTCTCCTCTCCTCGCTCTGGCTTTTGTTGTCTTTTGCGTTTGCTAACGTGCTCTTTGAACTAGAACAGCTTTCTCCATATGGATCCATTATATTTCTTCAAATAGTTTTCTGGGTTGTTCGCCAACAGGGGCAGGGTTAGTGGGGCAGGGCTGTTTCACCAGCAGGCATCCTGGGGGGTGCCCAGATCCCCCACGGGTCTTCCGGATGAGCAGGAACTCAGTTCAGAAATGCCCTGGAGCCTGGCTCTGGGCTTGTGGGGAGGTGTTTGTTGGGATCACAGGATGGAGCCAGGCCTGCTGCCGTGAGCGGGGCTGGGTGTAGCTGGCTAGCCAGGAACATGCCGGAGTGGGGAGCACTCTTGACCACTTGCCGTCTTTTAATGATTGGGGTTTTACTGCACGTTTCTAATTCACTAATAATTTCACTAGAAACAGACCTTTTTGTATAACTTCTTCCCAAAGAGACCAAAGATGCAGGGATTTTGGCTTCGTGGTTATTTTGACTTTGTGGTTATATGAATTGGGCTCGAGGGGTCTGGGCTGCGTCACGAGAATGGGTCCCTTACGTGCACACAACCCTGCTGTCACCTCCAGACACAGCACAGAAAGGGTTTAACTGGCTTCTTTCCACGAGCCTGGCACTTGCGCATCAGTTCCTGTGAGCAGTTCCCGGGAGGGTCTGCCCGTGCCCTCGTGTCTTGATGTGCGGCTGGCTCTGTAGCCCCTGAACCATGGTACAGGAGCCCAGAGTGCTCCCCATGCTGGGTGCTGACCGGACTTGGACAGCCTCGCCCCAGCGCTTGGCTGACAAAGACTAGGGAAGGGGCCTGAGTGCTTTTTGTTTCTTTTAAAGAAAGTAAAGTGTCCAGTGGTTTGGGATCTTTGTGGGCAGTGAAGGTGTCCTGAGCGTGCTGAGTAGCCACAGCCCTGAGTCCAGCTGCCTTTTCTCGGTACACGGCCTTGGCGGCACCTGGGTGTGGCTGTTGTAGCCACCAGCCCCCAAGGTGGCCGTGAGCAGTGTCTCCTTCCATGGTGAGCTGTGGCAGGAACCCGCAGCTGGCTCTTAGGCCCTCGTTTTCCATATGAGGAAATACAACGTGGGCTCTAACAGCAGGGAGGAGTCTCCAGAGAGAGCTGGTTTGGGGGTGTGTTCTCTCCAAAAGAAGCCTCTTGGCCTCTGCTCCTGGACACCCTGGGGGGCCTTCCTGAGAGGCATGTTGAGGGCTCCCCACCTCCAGGGCGGGCCCCCTCCTTTGTCACCATCTCACAGGAAGGCTTTGGCCGTGTGTCCTTCCTGCCAGACTCTGCCAGCACCAGCACACGTGGTGGCTGTGAGCAGCAGCTCCCGTTTTGAATCCCAAGGGGGAATACAGGAGGCTCAATTGCTCTGAGCGCCTCACCTGTTTGCTCGGGTGAGCTGGAGACACAGTCACCGTGGGCAGTGACTCATCCCCGGCCAGTCTTCCTCCTCGGGCCGTCGCTCTTCCCTGTTCTTTCTGCTCCTCTCAGGAGACCTTGCGCCCTGTGGAGATGGGAGGAGGCAGCAGGAAGGTCTCCCAGGGCTTGCTGGCCGTGGCTGGGTGTGGATGGGTGGAAGACCACGTGGCAGCCTGCCTGTAGGTCACAGAGGCCCCCATAGTTGTAGGGCCCCGCCCCAGCCCGGACTCCGCCTGGGTCTGTTCCCTCTTCGCCCCCTCTCTTTTCGGGCTGTTGGTGTTCGGCCAGGGCTCTTTGGCTACAGTAGCCTGGGCCCTAAAGGCCATCTAGTTGCTGAGTCTGTTTGGGGTTTTTACTTGGTGAGAAGAAGGCCTTGTCATTCCAACAGTCGATGACTCGCTTTGATCAACTCCTGCCCAGGACTAGGCCTGAGCCCTGTCGTCGTACCGGCGAGGATGTGCGTCTCCCCTGCCTTCAGGCTGTGCCCTGAGACCCAGTTGTGGGGCTGCCCAGCACCTGCCATCCTGCTGGGATCAGGTTTTCTTAGTGCTTGAGAAGACTCAGGAGGGCCTGTCCCATGCCATTGTTGGCCTTAAGAGCAAGTGATTCCAGAAGAGGAGTGGGCACCACTCTCATCCAGAGGCCCGTCCTGAGAGGCAAGTGAGGCTGTGCTCTGTGCCTGGGCTCCCCCAGGTGGCACCTGTCGGTCTGTGGACCTGGTTGAGGCAAGGATGCCCATCTGGACATGGAGCCGACACAGGTAGTCAGGGGGCCAGCGGGACGCTTACCAACAGCTGTCTTTTCCCCACCTCAGAATAGCATTCCTTTCGAACACCACGGCAAGTAGCTGCTCGTCTCCCATCGGAAGGCAGCACTGGGTGAGTGTGCGCGTGGCGGGCGCCAGGCAGCAGCGCCAGGTGGGTGGGAGCCACCATGCCCCACCCATGGGAGCTTGCAGGTGGGCTGGGCTTGCATGCCAGGTGCTGGAGGTAGAGTGAGGCTTCTTCTGCTCTGTTCTTCTTGTGGGGTGCAGAGCGGCGGCAGTCCGCTGCCCAGTCTTGGGGGGAGGCTGTCCACAGAGAGCTTTGGAACAGAGTGACCCCAGGAGACCATCCTGTTGGCCTGTGGCCTCCCCGTGACTGCGTTCCGTGTGCCGTTGCTCTCCTCCTGTCCTGGGTGCCCACCCGTGAGGCAGGAGTGGCAAGGCGGGTGCCCCGAGCACTTGAGTTGCCTTGTCTGCGGTCGGCCGTGCCTGGAGGGGCGTCTGTGTCCTGCTCAGCTGGGTGGCTCCACGCTTGGTGTTGGGGGCTCCTAAGCTCTTGCTGCGCCACACTCTGGGCAGTCTCTGCCATGCCAGCTTTTCTAGTCGCCTCTCTCTTCCTGTCTCATTTATCTCTGTCCTTGTTTTGTGTTTCTTTTCACACTTGGTCTCTGCCCAGCCGTCTTGTCCACGCAGCTTCGTCTGTATTAACTCCTCCAGCCGCAGCCCACTCACTCCCCGCCGTCGGTGCATGGCCGGCGTCCACGCTGTGCTCCCTCCTCGGCGGCCACGCGCGCTCGGCGGCTCCTTCCAGCAGGGGCTTGCGCTTCTGTCGGGTCTGTGCCGCTGGGAGACCCGCTGCAGTTTTCACACTGTGCACACTCTGGAAATGTGTTGACAGGAACTGCTTTTCATGTCTTCCCTGAGAGGGGTACCCATTTTCAAACACCAGGTTCCTTTCCAGGAAGGGAGGCAGGAGCACCCGTCTCCGCTCCACTCGGATCCTTCGACCCTGCCGAGCCCGGCTCCGCGGGCACCTTGCTTGCATGCCTCTTCCTCCTTCCCGTCTTCCTGTCACTCGTTCTGCTGAGCACGTGTCCCAGCCACAGAGGCCCCTGTGCGTGGCGGGGGACGCAGGCGTCTAGACTGGGGCTAGGCGGTGGCGGTGCGTCCCCTCCCTGCCCAGCACCGTCACTGTGGTATCTGCCTGGCCGGCTCCCCCAGCCCCATGCTGACCTTCTCCTGTGCTTTGGCTCCGACAGATTCCTGGTCGGGTGGCTTCCAGTGGTCTTCAGTCTGTCGTGCACCGATGAGAACTCTCCTTATTGCTGTGAAGGGCAGACAATGCATGGCTGATCTACTCTGTTACCAATGGCTTTACTAGTGACACGTCCCCCGGTCTAGGATCGAAATGTTAACACCGGGAGCTCTCCAGGCCACTCACCCAGCGACGCTCGTGGGGGAAACATACTAAACGGACAGACTCCAAGAGCTGCCACCGCTGGGGCTGCACTGCGGCCCCCCACGTGAACTCGGTTGTAACGGGGCTGGGAAGAAAAGCAGAGAGAGAATTGCAGAGAATCAGACTCCTTTTCCAGGGCCTCAGCTCCCTCCAGTGGTGGCCGCCCTGTACTCCCTGACGATTCCACTGTAACTACCAATCTTCTACTTGGTTAAGACAGTTTTGTATCATTTTGCTAAAAATTATTGGCTTAAATCTGTGTAAAGAAAATCTGTCTTTTTATTGTTTCTTGTCTGTTTTTGCAGTCTTACAAAAAAAATGTTGACTAAGGAATTCTGAGACAGGCTGGCTTGGAGTTAGTGTATGAGGTGGAGTCGGGCAGGGAGAAGGTGCAGGTGGATCTCAAGGGTGTGTGCTGTGTTTGTTTTGCAGTGTTTTATTGTCCGCTTTGGAGAGGAGATTTCTCATCAAAAGTCCGTGGTGTGTGTGTGTGCCCGTGTGTGGTGGGACCTCTTCAACCTGATTTTGGCGTCTCACCCTCCCTCCTCCCGTAATTGACATGCCTGCTGTCAGGAACTCTTGAGGCCCTCGGAGAGCAGTTAGGGACCGCAGGCTGCCGCGGGGCAGGGGTGCAGTGGGTGTTACCAGGCAAAGCACTGCGCGCTTCTTCCCCAGGAGGTGGGCAGGCAGCTGAGAGCTTGGAAGCAGAGGCTTTGAGACCCTAGCAGGACAATTGGGAGTCCCAGGATTCAAGGTGGAAGATGCGTTTCTGGTCCCTTGGGAGAGGACTGTGAACCGAGAGGTGGTTACTGTAGTGTTTGTTGCCTTGCTGCCTTTGCACTCAGTCCATTTTCTCAGCACTCAATGCTCCTGTGCGGATTGGCACTCCGTCTGTATGAATGCCTGTGCTTAAAACCAGGAGCGGGGCTGTCCTTGCCACGTGCCAAGACTAGCTCAGAAAAGCCGGCAGGCCAGAAGGACCCACCCTGAGGTGCCAAGGAGCAGGTGACTCTCCCAACCGGACCCAGAACCTTCACGGCCAGAAAGTAGAGTCTGCGCTGTGACCTTCTGTTGGGCGCGTGTCTGTTGGTCAGAAGTGAAGCAGCGTGCGTGGGGCCGAGTCCCACCAGAAGGCAGGTGGCCTCCGTGAGCTGGTGCTGCCCCAGGCTCCATGCTGCTGTGCCCTGAGGTTCCCAGGATGCCTTCTCGCCTCTCACTCCGCAGCACTTGGGCGGTAGCCAGTGGCCATGTGCTCCCAACCCCAATGCGCAGGGCAGTCTGTGTTCGTGGGCACTTCGGCTGGACCCCATCACGATGGACGATGTTCCCTTTGGACTCTAGGGCTTCGAAGGTGTGCACCTTGGTTCTCCCTTCTCCTCCCCAGAGTTCCCCGGATGCCATAACTGGCTGGCGTCCCAGAACACAGTTGTTCACCCCCCCACCAGCTGGCTGGCCGTCTGCCTGAGCCCATGGATGCTTTCTCAATCCTAGGCTGGTTACTGTGTAAGCGTTTTGGAGTACGGGGCCTTGAGCGGGTGGGAGCTGTGTGTTGAAGTACAGAGGGAGGTTGGGGTGGGTCAGAGCCGAGTTAAGAGATTTTCTTTGTTGCTGGACCCCTTCTTGAAGGTAGACGTCCCCCACCCGGAGAGACGTCGCGCTGTGGCCTGAAGTGGCGCAAGCTTGCTTTGTAAATATCTGTGGTCCCGATGTAGTGCCCAGAACGTTTGTGCGAGGCAGCTCTGCGCCCGGGTTCCAGCCCGAGCCTCGCCGGGTCGCGTCTTCGGAGTGCTTGTGACAGTCCTTGCCCAGTATCTAGTCCCCGTCGCCCCGTGCAGGAGACGTAGGTAGGACGTCGTGTCAGCTGTGCACTGACGGCCAGTCTCCGAGCTGTGCGTTTGTATCGCCACTGTATTTGTGTACTTTAACAATCGTGTAAATAATAAATTCATAATGACTTCTACCTTTCTTCCCTCCCCTTTCCATGTGGTCTTTATTTCATCAGCTTGAGAGTTTTCACTGTGTTGAGGTGAACTGTGTGAAAATACTTCTTTGAGATGGCTGTTTGTTCTTTCTCAGCCTGTGGGTGTCTGGGAGCTGGCAGAGCAGGAGAGCTGCCCCCTGGGCCTGCTGCCGGGCAGGGAGGGGTGGCGACTGCTCCTCGCCGTGCTGCCCCCTTGGGCTCTGTTGTGCACACAGAAGTCCACGCACTTTCTGTGTGACGGTTCTGGAGAGTCCCTGCCTTCTCGGGCGGCACCGGCAGCCGCACTCCAGCCGCCTGGGGTGAGCGCATGTCCCTTCCCCCTGCCATAGGGCCGTGGTGCTCAGGGATCCCCCTGTCGCTTGAGCTGTTGAAGCCCAGGAGCTGCCCGATGGCCCTGCACAGGCACAAGGAGATAGGGTTCCTCTTCCCCCCCCCCCCAGAGCACACAGCAGTGGCCCCTATCCAAGGCCTGCGGGGGCTGTCAGGCTGCCAGAGCAGGGAGGTCTGCACCAACTCCTAACCTGTGCTCGTGTGTGGGTGAGCTCAGCCAGGCTAGGCCGCCTCCCCTCCCAGCTCCCCTCCCACCCCCACCTCCACCCAGTACTCTCCACTCCAGGCCACTCCCTTGGCCCCTTGGCCAGGGTCACGCTGCCTAAGAGGAGGATATTTTTGTTTGTAGTGAAAAAGCACAGGGACTTCGGGTCACTTGCCTGGAGGTTGCTCTAAGAACGGTGTAGCTTTCTGAGCCCCACGTTCCGGGGCTGTCCCGCCAACTCTGCCTGTGATGCACTCCTTCCCCAACCGTGGGGATGCCCATGGCCTGGAGCTCTGCCAGCCCCTCCTGCCCAGACTTTGCCTCCTCCCAGGCCCTTCCTCTCAGCCATTCTGGCTGTGCCCTGGGCATCTGAGCTGGCTTCCGGGCCTTCCCTGTCTCCAGCCCGCCTCACGTGGTTCCCTCTTGCTGCCCCAGACTGAGACACCGTGTGGGGCCTCACTGTGGCCGTGGGTGAGGCTCAGCCCCTGCCCCGCTCACCGGCCCCAACCGGAAAACGGCAAGACCCAAGTTCCAGTTCCTGCCTGAGCTTCCCAGGCCTGCAGCTGCCCTCCTGGGGTTCCCTGCCCTGAGAGGGAGCAGGGGCTGCATGTCCTCAAGGCCTGTTCCATCTCATCTGCGGGGGCATGAGCGGACAGAGTTAGAGGGCTTGTTCTCTGAACCTGAGTCTGGCTGGGTCTGTGTCCTCAGGCATGGTTTAGACGCTGAAAAGAGCAGGCCCTCCAGGTACTGGGCAGCGCCTCCCGGGAGCTTCACCATAGACCCCTCGGAAGGCTGAGGGACGGCAGCGTCCGGGGCCACCAAGCCCTTTCTGGGTCCCCTGTGCCTCCCCCGCCACCTCCCCCGGCACAGGCCTTGCACACATCTGTTCCAGGGCTGTTCTCTGGGAAGGCCCAGGCCGGGCGGACACCTCCCTTCTCCCTCTGATCTGGGATCATGTGAAGAAGTCTGTGCGCCCTCTGCCCCCCACCCCCACCCCAAGTAGCAGTGGGTTCTGGACGGACGTGTCTCTGGTCAGGGGATCTTCACAACACGGTAGACCTGAACCACTTTTGGCACTAGAATCTGTCGCCGGGGTTGGGGGATAGCTCTGCAGCCCACGCACCAGACCTCTGCCCCCAGCTTCTTCCCAGTGGGCTCCGGGCTTCCCTTCCCTTCCCCTTCACTCCTGCCTGTCGGGTCAGAGCAGACCCACTGCCCCATGGCTTCCCTCCTTTAAAGGCACCAGCTGAGGGAGGAGGTAGTAGAACTCAGCGCCCACTCACGCCCACCCTGCGGCACAGGGACCCCAGCCCCCACACGTCCTGTGCCCCCAACCAAGCGTGGCTGCCTTCCCACATCTGGACCACTCCTGAATCACTGAGCACGGTCCCTCAGGCATGTCTGTCCGGGAGCAGCACTGCCTGGCTACTTTGTGTTGAGCCTCTGCTGTGTGCTGTGGGTGTGGGGACCAGAGTGGGGCAGACGAGGGGTGACAGTTGAGCTAGAGAGACTGCTTCCTGCCTAGGGGAGGGTGAGGGCCCGAGATACCTGGAAACAGGGTTCCAGGAGCGAGCACCCCTCACCCGGCCCATGACCTCCCTGCCAGTACCTCTGTAAGCCCAGGTCACTCCTGAGGTCAGCAGAACCAGGGACAGCCAGGTCCAGAGGCGGCAACCCCTGGGTGTGAGCAGTCCCCTGGTGGCCCTGATGTGGGGGTGCCAGCGGGGGAAGGCCATGTGTCCTCTGAGGCCCGGGCTGCCTGCTCCCCACCTCCTCGTCTGCTCCCTGCCTCCTCGTCTTTCTCCCTTCAGCTGCTGGGTGGGACTGGTGGACTCTGCCGAGACACATGGGCCTAGCTGTGCAGAGTCTGACCTTGATCCCTGCAACTGCTGGCACTGCCCGCCAGCCTGAGCCCTGCTAGAGGCCTCCACAGCCCTGAGGCTGCAGGCAGGAGCCTGGGCTGCAAGAGCTCAAGCCCAGCTGGCGCAAGGCCAGGGGCAGATGGGGACAGCTGGACCTGAGATGTGCACTTTTCGCTTGCTTTTCATTGCAGAGGAGCAGGGACATGGCATCTCTCCGGCTGCACGCGGCCCGCCAGGGCACCCGCTGCCGTCCCCAGCGCCCACGACGCACCTACTGAGGGCCCCGGCGGCCTCTGACCGGGCTCCCAGCCACGCAGGCCACTGCTGGCCACGAGGGCAGGTGGGTGTTAGGTGTCCAGGACAAGCCCAAGCGCTGGGCCGGGCTGGATGGAGGACAGGGTGCAAAGACCAGCCCTGGGCACTGACCACACCACGCACACTGCCAGCCAGGCAGAGGGGCGAAAAAGGGAAGGCAGGAGGGTCCTGTTTCTTAAACACAGCAGTGAATAAAGTGGCTTGTTCCACCTCAGCTCCCATCTAACCACCACGTAGGGGCTCCCTGGCACATTTCAGAGGCCACCCTGGCACAGCGGCCTCCAGGCACCTGCCCCGCAGCCCCCTCCATGCAGCGCCTGCCCCTGCTACGAATGCTATGCCGCTGCAGGGAAAGCTGGCGAGGACAGAGCCACGGTAGGAACAGCCAGGCCATCAGCAGACGTGCGAGTCAGGACACAGGCCACACAGCAAAACCACATACTCCTAGGAAACCGTTGGTCCTAACACTCCACCCACACGCAGGTTTATTTCCATCTTCCAGGGGTGGAAAGAGCTGTCCCCAAGACACTCAAGAGGGGTGGGCACAGGCCCCATGTGAGCCCAGGGTAGGACGGGCTGGAGAGGGCCCCACGCAGCACCTGCCCTGCCAGCCTGTCTGCGGCCCACCCACCCTCCCATTAAAGTCACGTTGTCTCGAAGCATGGGTTTCCAGGTCCTTGAGCATAGCAGTGGCCGCAGGCCACCTGGGAGCAGCAGGCGGGGCCCCTGGTGAGGATGCCTTGTAACCTTGCGGCTTGGCTTCACCGCAGATCCACTCTGGAATGACACGGTTCCCACCCCGCCACCTTCCCCCTCAAAACACTGATCGGGCGACGATCCGCTGGGCCGGCAGCTGGAGCCCAGCCGTGGCCCTGCCTGAGCCAGTCCAGTTTGTAAAATAAATAGCAAGCGTTGCCGGCTTCTGTACCTCCTCCCTGTGCCTGCCGGCCCCGCCCAGCCACTCAGACACTTGTTTCCGGGGTGTGAACCACCTCCCCGTTTTTCTCAGGCTCAGCCTTCAGGAAATGCTCCACCTCCCGCAAGTCCACCCCCGAGTCTGCAGGAGGCTTGTGGAGCTTCTCCTCCTCCGCGGCCGCCACCTCAGGCTGTGGCTCTTTGGGCTTCTTCCTAATGCAGAAGAAGTTGCCCAGCAGCAAAATCAGGGAGGAGGTGAGCACCTCGGCCCCCGCCAGGATGAACACGTACATGTAGACGTGGGTCGCATCCAGGAGTTTGCCTGCGGGAAGACCCCGTCAGTCCCAGCCGCTCATGCGGGCTGCCCCCAGGGCCCACGGCTCCACCCAAGCCTGTGTCTCGGTGTCTCAGCACGCAAGGGTCACCCTGTCTGCCTCTGAGCTTGTGGGGCTGGGAGGTGTTCTCTCCCCTCCATGTGTTTCAGCTGGGGGCATCCTCCCTCCTCCTCAGGGGAACCAAGACTTAAGAGGCTAAAAATAGCAATGGCTTTGTGGAGTTTGGGTTTCGGTTGGTGGCAGGAGTCACGCTGGTCCCCACGGAGTCCCCCTGAGGCTTCCAGTCGGCAGCCCCAGAAGCCCTACTGTGTTCAGTACCAGCCCTGTGCCCTGGCCACCGCGGACTCCAAGACATGAGCCCTCCCCAAGCCCAGGACCCCCTCGCCAGGCAGGCGGAGCCTGGGCAAGGCTGCTCCAGTCAGAACTTAATTTCCCTCACGTGTTAGCTCAGTCATCCTTCAAAAAGGAGAGGCCCCAAAATGCAAAAGCCGGCTGTTGGGTTGCCTGGAGCTGCCGCGTGGTGCCCAGGCAGAGCCTGGAGGAGCTGCCCCCCCCCGGGCCCAGCCCCTAGCCACCCTGCCTGTCTGGACACACTGTGCCGGACGGAGCACCCCACTCCTAATGGAGACCCGCTAGCCCCAGCAGAATCAGGGTTGGTCCAGCACAGTGCACCCCCTCCAGCTCTGAGTCCCACACTGCGGGTGGCTGCCGAGGGGTGCGCGTCCCCCCCCTCGCAAAGCGGGCGTCTGACGGGAAGGGCAGGTGTGGGGAACTGCCTGGGGGCGCAGCGCTCACCTCCCGAAGGGGGCCCGACGAGCACGGCCACCGCCTCCATCAGCAGCACCAGGCCAATGGCACTGGAGAACTTGTGGGTGCCCACGATGGCCATGAGCACCTCGAACTGCAGGGCCCCCACCATGCCGTAGGAGATGCCAAAGAAGATGCAGAAGACCACGAGGCCGCCGTAGTCGCCCGCCGTAGAACCCGCCAGGTCCGCGAGGCCGTTGAAGAACATGGAGAAGCTGAAGAGGTAGACGGAGTAGGGCCGCACCTTCCCAAGCCCCGCCACGAAGCCCGCGGCCGGCCGCGCGAAGATGTCAATGAAGCCCAGGATGGTGAGCAGGAAGGCGGCCTTGGTGTCGGGCACGCCCAGGTCCTTGGCGTAGCTCACCACGAACACGGGCGGGACGAAGAGCCCCAGCACCATGACCGAGGCGGCCACGGCGTAAAGCACAAAGCCGCGGTCCCGGAAGACGCTCAGGTCTAGCAGGCGCCGGGAGGGTCGCGGCGGCCCCGAGCCCGGCTGGGCCGTGACCACCAGGGGCCTCATGAGTGCGGCACACACGCAGCAGTTGAGCAGCAGGCCGCCCAGGATGAGGAAGCCGCCCCGCCAGCCGTAGCGGTCCTGCAGCAGCTGCCCCAGCGGGCTCAGGGCACACAGGAAGACAGGGCTACCTGCTGCCGCCAGCCCGTTGGCCATGGGGCGCCGCTTGCTGAAGTAGCGGTTCAGCATGATGAGCGAGGGCTGGAAGTTGAGTGCCAAACCCAACCCTGGAGGAAAGGGAATGTGGTGAGAGCCCCCCAAGGCTGCCCCAAAGCCCGAGACCCTCATCTCTGCCCCCAGGTTCCCACAGGCTCAGGCTCCCAGGGTGCAGAGCCCCTGCCACCCACCCACTCGAGAGGGGGACAACGAGGTGGGGCCGGGACACCCCGCAGCCACCCGCCCTGCTGTCCTCCAGAGGCCTGGACCCAGGAGCAGAAGTGCACGGCCCCTGCCCCTCCTGGCACGTGCGGCCCACCGGCCGGCCCCACTCACCCGTGATGACCCCAGTGGTGAGGTAGACCTGGATGATGCTCCGGCAAAAGGACGCAGCCACCATGCCCAGCGACGCAAAGAGACCCCCCACAAGCATGACGGGCCGGCAGCCAAAGCGGTTCACGCACACACTGCAGAGCGGACCTGGAGAGGGCAGCAGCTGAGAGGGGCCGGGCCTGCAGCCAGCTCTACCCCCGCCAGCCGACTGAGCTCACAGCCTGGAGCCGGCCTCCCCTTCCCACACCACCCCTCCCCCCGCGGGGCACCAGGGGCACCCCGTGGGCAGGCTCCCCGAGCGCAGGCCATGATGACACGTGAGCGCCGCCTGCTGGGCCCCTTGGGTCCCTGCAGCTCAGGAACAGCCACCTTTTCAGGAACGGCTCTCAGGAGCCTGTCCTCTGAGACGGTCTATAAATACAGCCGACCCGTTTGGACAGGGGCCAGGATGGACTTCGCGCCCTGCCTGGGTTGGCCCCGTGGAGAGCATGTTGCTGCCCAGCAGGATCCTGGCCCCAAGGGCTTCCCTCCAGGGTTCCCTGGGGAGCAGGCGGAAGGCCCTGTTGCTGAGCCCAGCTACACGCGCCCAGCAGGATCCGCCAGCAGAGCCCCGGACAGGGGGCCCGGTGTGAGGCCACCCTCACCTGTCCCGTAGAGCATGGCCAGCAGGATGGAGGAGATCCAGGCTGTGTCGCTGTAGCCGATCCCAAACTCCTGTATGAGCTCCTTGAAGAAGACACTGACGGCCTTGGGGAAGGCGTAGGAGAAGCCAGTGATGACGAAACAGCCGAAGAGCACGGCCCAGCCCCAGCCGCCGTCAGGGGCCTTGACGCCTGTGGGGCCCTCGTCCACCACGGCCCCTCCCATGGCCAGGAGGGTTGGTTCCGCCTCACCTGAGAGAGAAAGCAGGCTGACTCAGGCTGCCCGGGTGACCATCCCAGCTGCAGCCTGGCAGGGGAGGGACACGAGCTGGGTGGCCCGGCAGCTCAGCTGAGGGGCAGCTGCCCGGCACCCACACTTGTGGCCCCCTGACCTGGTGTCTGGTGGAGGCAGGAGGGTTTGGAGGGAGGCTAGCAGCTGTGGGTCCCACTCCCTCTGCACTGCCTCCTGCACCCTCACAGCTGGCTCTAAAGGGCAGTGGCTTTTTTGGGCTCGGCCAGGACTCAGATTACCTCCTGGGACAAGCAGCCCCCGACAGGAACATCGACCTGGCCGTCATTTCTGCCCTGGCTCGCTCTGGCTGACCCGTGCTGGGCAGGGACCACGCACACCATGATTCTGGCAGCAGACGGCACCTCCGGTCCCCAGCACTGAGCTCGCCCCAGGACCTCTGGGGTTGGCATCCTCCAGGTCTCTCCCGGTCTAAATCTAGGTGGAGCGTGCCTTGCTCTGGCTCTCCTGCCCCCAAGGGCCCACTTTGGCTTCAGTGGAGCCCACCAGGAGCTTGCCCAAGAGGAGGCGGGCAGTCTCTGGCGGTGAGGGGCTGGGCCCCAGGCTGGAGGGGGCAGTTGGAAGCACAGGGGCTGCAGTATTAGAGTGGGTGGGGTGGGGAAGTGGGGGCAGAGCTGGCCCCTTGTCCCTGGATGCCCCCTTGCCTCCCACCGGCCCTCTTGCTCAGTGACTCCTCCAGTGAGATCTTGACTCACCCCACCTGTGCCTGGAGTGACCCATAGGCTGCAGCCTGAAATCAGGAGGGGCTAGGGAGGCTCCCATCCAGCCCACGAGAGCAAACCATGCCAGCCCCCACGATGTCTGAAGCTGGTGTCCCTTTCTAAACTCCAGGAGCTCAGCTCGTTTGAGTCAAGTTGGAACCCGAGGTCAGACTTCCATCTTCATGCCCCACCCCACCCAGAAGTCACCTTGTCCTCTCCTCACCAGGGAGCTGCAACCTGAGACCTTGGGTGGTCTAGTCCAACCGGCTCAGCCTCTCCCTGCTGGGACCGTGCTGTGAACCAGCGCCCTGGGAGGCAGCAGCAGGCCTGCTGTGCAAGCTCCACGCCCACCCACGACGCAATCTGTGGGGCTCCACCCCCACCCCCTTTCCTTGGGTTCCTCCTGCAAGCGTGTCCGCAGACCCCTGACCCGGTGGGTCCCCCGTGACGGCTCGTCTTTGCCTCTAAGGCAGACATGTAACTAAAGGCATGCACAAGGGCCAGGACCTTTGCTGGGAGAGTCTGAGCAGTTCCGTGCGTGGCTCCTCACTCCTCCTCCCGGGCCCTCCCCGCATCCAGCCTGCCTGCCTGTCCCCACCACAGGTGCTGTGCCCCCTGGAGTCCCTGCCTCAGAGGTCCGAGGATGGTTTTTAAGGGCTTCCTAAGTGTTCCACGAAGTCACTGTTACTGGGAAATGCTGCTTGACGAGGGGACCCAGGAGCCAGCTGTGGCTGTCTGGATGATGACAAGGCAGACACGGCCCACTGGAGCAGAACAGACCCCCCCACAGAGCCAGAGGTCCACCCCCCAACCTGCACTGGCTCTCTGGGACCCAGGCCTCGGAACCATTTCTGGGAAACCCGGGAGCAGCTTTTGCCTCTGCACCTGGACACCGGATGCCCCCACCACAGTGCCTGGGACAGGACAGAGTGTCGCACGCCTCAGGACACACCACCTTAGGACACACTGCCTGGGGTCACTGAGCAGCAGGGTAGGTCCCGCTCATACTGGTATTGTTTAAAAGGTCCCTAAGATGACAGTATACAGCAGGGTAACTACAAGATATTAAAAATATATGCACTGAGGCCGGGCGCGGTGGCTCACGCCTGTAATCCCAGCACTTTGGGGGGCCAAGGCGGGCGGATCACGAGGTCAGGAGATCGAGACCATCCTGGCTAACACGGTGAAACCCCGTCTCTACTAAAAATAAAAAAAATTAGCTGGGCGCAGTGGCAGGCGCCTGTAGTCCCAGCTACTCGGGAGGCTGAGGCAGGAGAATGGCGTGAACCCAGGAGGCAGAGCTTGCAGTGAGCCGAGATCGCGCGACTGCGCTCCAACCTGGGCCACAGAGCGAGACTCTGTCTCAAAAAAAAAATAAAAAAATAAAAATATATGCACTTGAGGAATGAAACTGGGAACAGGACGCAGACTGCGGGTCACAGGGGAGACTGGAGGGGTTGACGGCCTCAGGGCCCCAGCTTGTTTGGGGTTGCAAGTTTGCACTTTTAAAAATAAACAGGCCATGCAAGGCCAAGGAAGGAAATGTGTATACAACAAACAGGAATAGACACATTTTGCATACCCCAGGTTCCCCCTGCAAAACACAAAGAGGTACCAAGGCCTCTGAGTCTCCCTGGCTGCACCAGCGGGGGTGGGAGACGCAGGCAGACCCAGGGTTTGAAGCCCGCCAGGGTCCTCAGGAGACAGACGAGGGCGTGTGGGGAGGCAGGGGACAGTGGCCACCCTCAGGAGACGCGGCGCCCCTGAATTAGTGTCAAGGAGGGCTGGCAGAGGGTTGGGGCAGTGCCAGGACTCACTGACCAGGAGAGCACAGCATGTTCTGAGACCTGAGGTGCTTGTGGCTTCCACGTGACGCTCATGTGGGGAGGGCCATCTTCTGTGTCAAGATGAGGCATTTGGACAAGCCCCCAGACCACAACCTGGCACCATCGTCTGTCCTCACCCAGCCTGTGGTGCCAGCCATGCTGAAATGGCTCCAGGAGTTCCCACTCCAGCCTGGTGTCCAGGGGCTGACTTGGAGCCAGCTGTCTGCCCACATGGCTTGGGGCAAGGGATTCCACAGGAGGTAGAGTACGGGGAAGGGGCACAAAATAATGGCCCACACTCCCCATCTTCCAGGATAACCCCGGCACCGTGATGGGCCAAGGTACAGACTGCCCGGTGTTCCAGGGACAACCCTGGGGCTGTCCTGCCTGGAGCACACGCCACAGCCACCAAGCATTGGCCTCTCCGTGGGCACACGCCACAGGCTGGCCTTCCCCTGACATTTACCAACCCCCCCCCCGCCGCCCCCCAGGAAGCATGCCAACCCACCCAGAAATAACCTGGCCTCTGGGATGAGAAAGCTGATCTCCCAGGTGGGGGCTGCCCGGAGAGCAGGTCCCCCAAAGGCTCTACGACCCCAGGCTGCTGGAAGCTGAGCGGGAGGCCTGGGGCAGGGGTGGGTGGGAAAGTCCCTTGCAGGAGACCCTGCGTCCCACAGCCATGCGCCCTCCCAAGCCAGGGGCTCCTGCAGGCAGTTCCCTCGAGGGTGCAGGGCGCAGGGCTCTGCAAGGACCCCTGGCTTTAGACCAGGATTCGACCATGAAGTCCTCAGGACCTGGGTGCCTGCCAGTTCGGACCCCTGCACTGCCCCGTCACAGGCCTGGAACGCCATGCCAGGTGGCTCGAAATGCCGTCCTGCAGAGTCAACCTGGACTCATGCACAGAGGGTCCTGAACCTGACCCCTGCTGCCCAAGCCCGCTCCTCCGGGACCTCTCCAGAAACCTCGCCCACCACCTTGGGGGGCACTGGGCACCCTGGCATGCTTCCCCTCAGGCGTCTGGACCTGCAGACCCCTCACCCGCCTAGGTCCTCAGGTTTGTGCGCAGCGCCGCCGCCTCGCTGAGGCCTCTGCTGGACTGTCAGCCCGTTCCCTGGGTCCGTGCAGTGGCCTGAGCCCGGGGCCCGTGGCCTGTTACCTAACTGACTCCAGCCCTTGAAGGATGGGCTTTGGCCCTGCCTTTGTGGCCCAGGCAGGAGGCGGGGCAGGAAAAGGGTAATTCGTTTCCTTCCTGGATCCCATGAGCTGCCTGAGGACCAAGGAAGCGGCCTCTGTGGCCAGCGCCTGGCTGCCGAGGGGTGCCGAGGGCGGGAGGGCGCTGCACCGGGGGAGGGGCCTCCCTCAGTTCCCTTCTTCCCCCGCAGCCCCTGTTGTGCAAACAAGGAAGGAGCAGTGAGCAACTCCCGGCAGCCCCGCCCCAGGCGCCTGCAAAGGTGTCGGGGCCGAGCTTGCAGGGGGTGGACGCTGCGCAAGGGGCTGCCCCAGGCCTGGGCCCTGCGCCCCACCTCTGACCCCCGCAGACCCCTCGCGCAGCCCGTGCCCTGCCGCTCTGTGTCCGCTTACATCACGACGGCAGGGGCCGGCGGGGCAGACACACAGGCCTCATTTGCGGATTGGCCACTCCCACCCAGGGCCAGGGCCAGGAGCCCCCACTGGTGCCCCAAGTGGGGCTGGGCGCAAGTCCCCTTTGGGAAAGGAAGGCTGCATGTGCCGCCGCAGGCTTCAATCCTGAGCTGGCACTGCGGGGTCTCAGAGCTTTGAAGACCCCTTCTCCGCAAGGCTGTCACCGCCCTGGGGCCGGGAGGTGGTGGGGGCCGGAGCTGGTCCAGAGCCGCCGTCCCCCACCTCCGAGGCCTCCTGGACCCCGCAAGGCCGCCCCTCCACCCTAAAGCCAGTGCCTGAAGGCCAAGGCTGGAAGGGGAGTCGGGTCAGGAGGCGCCCCCTACCCCACCGCCGCCCAGCGGGCGTCGTGGGGACCCGGGGGGGAAGGTGAAGACCGGGAGGAGGCAGGAAGGCGGGAGGTGCGGGGCGAAGGGGGGAACCCAAAACTCCACCCTCGCCAGGAGAGGCCCCTCCTCGGCGCAATCCCCGCCCGGGCCGGAGGGACGGCTGGAGGGCGCCTGCGGGTTCCGGCTTCCCGGCTCTGCGGGCGGGGGTCGGCGCGGGTGGTCGAGGCTGGGCGGGGCCCACCCGGGGGAGGGGGAGGGAAGGATGCTCCGCCCGGCCCCGCCCCGCCAGCCGCGGGACGTGGGGGACGTGACCGCGCCATGGGAGGAGCCCCCGTATTGCCCGCAGTAGGCGCCCTACTGGACGCTACCGTAATTGCCGGCGCGCGGGTCCACCGGGGTCAGCGGAGCCCGGGAGCCGCGCCAGGCGTCGGGGCCTCGAAGCCACAGGGCGGGGCCGACTCCACTTGCTGCAGAGGTGGGACCAGTGGGCGCGGCTCGGGACTCGGGGGCGTCGACTCGTGAACTGCGGGTCTCGGAGCAGGAGCCCGGCGGTTCGGTTCCGTTGCGTGCGGCTGCCCGGCGTGGCCCATTTCACAGATGGGCCTGACTCGGGCAGGTGACGCTAGGAGGACGCCCTGAGCTCTGTCTGCTCCCGCCCCGCCCCTGCCCCAGGGCCCGGGCACCTCCAATGGCTCTGCGCCACTGCCCGGAAGGCCCCCGCTGGGGCCCAGAGTGTGGCCCACATTTGGCACCTCACTGGAGGGAGCGGCACAGGCCCTTCTGTCCCACGTGGCCAGGTCACCCCAGGACCCACCGCTGAGCCAGCCGAGCCTGGCATAAGGGTCACTGCAGGCCAGTAGGGGGGACCCGTCCGGCCTGACGGCTGGGCTGGGATCCATAGAGCCCTCTGGTAGCTGCCCCTCCAAAGTAAAGTGCCCCGCTCCAGTCAGTGGGGTCTGGCCTGATCGTGCAGGCCACATGGCTTTCTGGGTGGCCTGGATGGCGGGCCCTGCCCAAGGTCACATGGGGTCGTTACCAAGCCTGCCTTGAGACCAGGCCTCCAGGTGCCCACCCCAGACTCTGTCCACACCATGGGGCCCTGGGGGACAGACGCTGCACGTGCCACGGCAGAGCCCCCATGCACTCAAAGCCTCTCTGGGGGCAGACACCCCCCCACGGCCTCCTAGCACCTCCTCAGTTCCTTCCCTCCATGAGGGAGTCGAGCCCAGCCGCCTCCACACCACGCTGGCGGAATAGACCCTCCTTCAGCAGGGTCAGGCCAGCACCCACCTGACTTCCAGGCCTGTGCAGTGAAGCTGGGACCTTGGACTCCCCGGCCCCAACAGACACAAGACCTCCCACCCTTGTGCTCAGCATGGACAAGCCCCTGGGCCTTGGGGTGGGCCAACTGCCATTTCCCGCCCAGCAGGCCTGACTCTGGCCATCACCAGGAGAGGGACCCTTTCAGCCCATGCCTCTGGGACAGAGAGGAGGACAGCCGCCCCTCGGCTCCCCCCATCGTCCCTCACCGACTCCAGCCACCCCTGGAGGCCCCGGCCAGAGCTAAGGGCTTCCCTTCCACTCTGCGGCTCCTGTCTCTTGACTGGCCCAACACCCAGGGAGGCTCCTGACCAACCCACTTTTCGTATAGGGAAACTGAGGCGTGGGTTAGGAAGTGGGAGGCTACCAAAGGCTGCGCCTGGTTTTCCCACGAGCTGGGGGCCAGGGGTGGAGGTAGGGCGAACCCAGGGAGCCCAGCCTGGCTCTGGAGAGGGTCCCCCACTTCCCTGCACGGTCTCGGGCTGTTAGTCATTGCCCAAGGGCGGGTGTGGGTCGGGGAGTGTTCAGGGTGTTGCGAACAGGGGAAAGCGCCACGGCCCGAGCGCAAGTGCTCCCCACTCCCTCGGGGAGGCCACCCATACAGGGAGGGCTGCAGCAGCCCCACCAAATATAGCCCGCGCCCCCCGCCACCGCGGACCGAGCTATTTATACCCGGACCGGGCTTGGCCGCCGGCGCAGCCATCTCCTGGCCCGAGCCCAGCCCCTGAGGGCAGCCCGACGGGTGGGCGCCGGGCCGGACCGGGGGAGACGAGACTGGGCAGCCAGGTATGCGAGGGCGCGGAGGGGCGCGGCTGGCTCTCGGGAGCCCTCGGTGGGGCCCGCTCGGGGTCGAGAAGGCTAGTCCATGCCCCGGGCGCCCCCGGACCTGATGGACAAAGTGGGCGGGGTGGGGGTGAGAGCGCGGACCCCGAGGTCGCCCCCTTGCCCGGCACGGGGGAGCTCCTGGGCCCCGGCCCGCGCGCGAGCATCGCGGCCGCGCCTACCTGCCGCCGCTGGGCCGCCTCAGCCCGCCTCTCGCCGCCTCTCGCCGCCTCTGCCCGCCTCTGCCGGTCCGCTCCGCGCCGGGGGCGACTTTAAGTGCTCGGGTCGCTGGCGCGGCACGTCCCCCGCGCACGTCACCGCCTGGCGCCGCCCCTGCGCGCCCCGCCCGGACCCCGCGCCGCCTCCGGACGGGCTCCCGGGCCGCAGCTCCCCGACGGCGCGTCCCGCAACCCCGCCGGGCCCAGGGACCCCCCCAACCGGAACCGGCCCCGTCGGCGCCCCCGGCCCGGAGCTGGCCCGCCCCCTCTGCTCCTCGGGACTGGGTCTTCCCGGCCTCGCCTCCCCCGGAGTCCAGGCTCGCTTCGCCCCTCCGCCCCGCCGTCCCTCCGTTTCCCCGCCTCGGAGCGCAGCGCGGCAGGTCCCAACGTCCTCCAGGGCAGCGACCCCTCGCCCCCCAACGCCGGGGCCCCTTTGGTGGGGAGGTGCGCGCGGGTCCCGTGGGGTTCCGGCCGCCTGGCTCAGCTCCGGGGCCCACATCCTCCCTCTCTGAGGCCACGTCCGACCTGTCCCCCTTCAGACCTCCGCTTCCTCTCCGGTCCCGGTGCGGACGGCGGCTCTTCCTGGCTAGGGGAGCGGCCCGCGGCCTGCGCTGCCTGGATGTGGGGCACGGCCTCGCCCTCCCTGAACTTCCGTTTCCCCAGGTGGCTCCGCGCCCTGCGGGGCCCTACAAAGCCACCGACTCCAGCCCTGCGCCCCTGCCCCGCCCCTCTCGCGGCCCAGAACCCGACGCGGAGGCCGGGGCGGCTCCCACCTTCGGGGAGGCGAGGGCTGCCCACCCGCTGGACCTCGTGAGGTGCTTCTCCCAGCCTGTTTTCTCTCATTTGCAACATGGAAATAACGGGCCGCTTTGGGTGCTGAGGTTTGAGGTGGCTCCAGGGAGTAAGGCCTTTGTTGGCCTGGACCAAGGAGTCTAGTTGTCAGGGCCACCCTGCCAGGGCCACAGGAATGCTTTAACTGGCCCCTCCCGGACCCGGGGGCTTCGGGGACCGAGGCACTGGTAAGCCCGTGCCTTCACACACAAAGGAGGCAGGGGGTATCAATGGAGGACCCCTCCAGAGGGCAAGGGGAGGCCACCCCTGACAGTGAGGCCGTGTGGGCCTTGGCTCTCCATCTGCAGCCCAGCCTTGCGGGACATCAGGTCCAGTAAGGCCGCCTGTTCTTTCTATGTAATGTTACAAGCCCACCCTCCCGCTGGCATTCACAGAGGCTGGGTCTGGCCCTCACCCCTACCTGGGGCCCAACCACCCCCATCCCCAAACATCAAGATGAGGGCACGTGCCTGTGAGCAGAACACAGGCCTGTGGCAAGTGGTGAGGGGGCCTCCAACTTCACAGATGAAGACTCTACTTAGTTGGCCCGTGCTGCTCCCGCCCAGGGCAGGTGGTGCTCCCGCCCAGGGCAGGTGGTGCTCCCGCCCAGGGCAGGTGGTGCTCCCGCCCAGGGCAGGTGGTGCTCCCGCCCAGGGCAGGTGGTGCTCCCATCTTCCTGCACCAGGCGATTCATCAGTTTCTGAGGAGGGAGAGCAGCAGAGGGGTGCGAGGCACCGTGGACAGCTGCGGGAATGGGTCCCCTATGGGGTATTGCCTGCCGGGGAGGCGAGGGTACCGTGCTCCCCATCCCAGATTGTTGAGTCACCAGGCCTGCCAGCTGGGCTTGGGGCCCCCACTGAAGCCACCGAGACACCTTCCACATCTGCCTACAGCTTGGCCCTGATCCCTGAACCCTGAACCCCCACCGTAGAGCAGCAACAGGGGGAGGGAGACAGAGCCAGAGAGCCTGGGACCTCACTGCCCCCTCCTGCCTCCTGAAGGACAAAGGGGCGCCCCTGCCAGGGCCAGGTTTTCTCCCAGCTGGGAAGACGCCCAGTCATCCCTCCAGGGGTCCCAGGGAGCACCTGTGGTTTGGTTCTGACCCCCAGGCCTGGCCCCCTCTTAGGCATGGCTTCCCCTGGGTGTGGGCCCCAGGACTGTCCACCCAGAGCTGGGGTGGAGCCTCCCTGCCCTCAGAGGGGAGGGGAGCAGGCAGGCCAGTCAGCACTGGCTCCCAGCAGAGAGGTCAAGTCTGTGGGCTTTGACTGGGGGGACTGGAAGACCACAGAGTGGTCACAGTGATGTGATGGCTGCTGGGGGCTGGGGCTGGGGGCCTGCCAGGTTGTTACCCAGAGGAAACAGGCAGCGCAGCTATCAAGCAGGCCACTTGGGACAGCTCACCCGGAGCCTGGACAGAACAGGACGCTGTGGGGTGGGGCCAGAGCCTCCGAGACCCTGGGCCCCTCTCCGAGGATTCTGGCACTCCGGTAGCATGAGGTACCCCTGACCTCCAAGTGCTCAGCTTTTAGAAAGGCCCAGCAGTTGGTGGCGGGGGGCATTCCAGGCCTGGCACCAGGGCCCAGGTGGCCAGGCTCCATCTGACACAGGGCTCCAGGGGCACCTGGGCACGGAATACCACTTTGGTTTCGGGTAAGATGCCTTCTGGGGGTCATGCCCCTCCCTCAACAACCCTGGATGTGTCAGAGACAGCGATGGTGCAGGGGAGAGGCACTTCTGGCCATGGTGCGATCCCCTGGCCCGCTGGGGGTCTGGAGCTGCGGGAAGGGGTGGGAAAGGCCACGTGTGTCCGCATCTCTGCACCCCACTCTGGGTGGTGTTGGGAGCACCCACCCCACACCTGGCTCCAACGCTTGCTCCCCCACAGTGGCCCTGGGTCAGACCCCAGGCCCAGGCCGCCCTTTTCTGCAGGAAAGGAGGTGGGGGTGTGGACAGGTGGCACCATCCCTGGCCAGTGAGCAGCTTCACAGGACGCCCCCCTCTGACCCCACAGCCCCCAGTCTTGACTTCTCCCCCAGACCCAGGTGCCTCCACCTGCCCCTGGCTGCCCCAACTTCCTTTTGTTCCCAGTTCCAGCTACAGGGCCCTCCAGGCCCTGGAATGTCCTCCTAGGGGCCTGGCCCCCAGGTCCTTCCCACCCTGCTCCCTGGCAGGCTTAAGCTCCCTGGGGTGCGCAGTCCCACCTTTTCCAAGAGCAACCTTTGTGGGAGGGGGGCGGGCAGGAAGGGGAGGCTGGGATCTGCTTCCTCCCCATGGGCTGCCCCGAGAGTCCCTACCTCTGTGTCCTGAAATGACTTAGGAAATGCGGAGAGGCTTTTCTCCAAGGGTCACCACAGCCGCTGCCCCAGGGAGGGTGGCAGAACAGGCCCCCGGACCTATCAGGGCCAGATCTCAGGTCCCAGGGAACCTTCCAGGGTCGGGGGAGCCACACAGCCCACATCCTGCGTCCTTGGGAACCCCGCACACCATTTTCCAGATCCCAGCAGGGCCACCCCGTCCTGACCCAGTCTTGGCCGTACCACCCAGCACCAGTTGCCGCCCCATGGACAGGACTGGGGCCAGGACTGGCCGGGTCAGGGGAAGAAAGCCGAGTCACGGGGAAGGACATTCCGGCCGAGCCACAGCCCCGCCTCCCTGGGGTCCTGGGCTGCCCAGCTCCTGACCCTGCCTGCCTTACAGCTCCCTGCCCAGAGGATCTGGTGACACAACTGTCACAGCCTGTCATTCCACACCTGTGGCCACACCGTCCCCAGACTCCAGACCCACGCGGGGCGTGTGGCGGGACGTGCCCAGGCTGGATGGGGGATGCAGCCAGGACGGTGCCAGGGGAGGCTGGTGCCCTCCACCACACAGAGCCTAGACCCAGGACCAGGACCATGGCCCAAATCTGCGCCCTCCCTTCACTCGCCCCAGAGAACCTGTCCAGGCTCACAGAAAAATACATATTATTATTATTTTTTTTTGACAGAGTCTCACTCTGTCACCGGGCTGGAGTGTAGTGGTGCATTCTTGGGTCACCACAACCTCTGCCTCCCAAGTTCAAGCGATTTTCCTGCCTCAGCCTCCTGAGTAGCTGGGGTTACCGGCACCTGCCACTACGCCCAGCTAATGTTTTGTATTTTTAGTAGAGACAGGGTTTCACCATTTTGGCCAGGCTAGTCTTGAACTCCTGACCTTGTGATTCACCTGCCTGGCCTCCCAAAGTCAGAAAAATACATATTAACCTGGCTGCTGGTCCTTCCCAGGGAGTGGCAGCCCAGGTAGGGGGCAGAGGTGAAAAGGGCAGGAGAAGCCGCACCGTGGCCCAGTGGGGCCTGACCCACCACACTGCTGCCTGTGGTGGGTGTTGGTCATGGGGTTTGGGTGTGATGCATGGTGTAGGGTTATGAGAGGGCCGGTTATGTGGGGTTGGGGGTGTACACGGGCGTGAGGGTGTGTCTGTGCACAGGTGTTGGGGTGCGTCTGTGCATGGATGTTGGGATGTGTCTGCACGGGTGTAGGGTTGTGTCTGCACAGGTGTCTGTGCACGGGTGTAGGGGTGTGTCTGCACAGGTGACTGCACGGGTGTAGGGGTGTGTCTGCACAGGTGACTGCACAGGTGTAGGGGTGTGTCTGCACGGGTGTAGGGGTGTGTCTGCACAGGTGACTGCAAGGTGTAGGGGTGTGTCTGCATGGGTGTAGGGGTGTGTCTGCACAGGTGACTGCACGGGTGTAGGGGTGTGTCTGCACAGGTGACTGCACAGGTGTAGGGGTGTGTCTGCACGGGTGTAGGGGTGTGTCTGCACAGGTGACTGCAAGGTGTAGGGGTGTGTCTGCACGGGTGTAGGGGTGTGTCTGCACAGGTGACTGCACGGGTGTAGGGGTGTGTCTGCACAGGTGACTGCACAGGTGTAGGGGTGTGTCTGCACAGGTGACTGCACAGGTGTAGGGGTGTGTCTGCACGGGTGTAGGGGTGTGTCTGCACAGGTGACTGCACAGGTGTAGGGGTGTGTCTGCACGGGTGTAGGGGTGTGTCTGCACAGGTGTCTGTGCACGGGTGTAGGGGTGTGTCTGCACGGGTGTAGGGGTGTGTCTGCACAGGTGTCTGTGCACGGGTGTAGGGGTGTGTCTGCACGGGTGTAGGGGTGTGTCTGCACAGGTGTCTGTGCACGGGTGTGGGGGTGTGTCTGCACGGGTGTAGGGTTGTGTCTGCACAGGTGTCTCTGTGCACGGGTGTAGGGGTGCGTCTGCACAGGTGTAGGGGTGTCTGTGCACAGGTGTTGGGGTGTAGGTGTGCATGGTCTGATGAGAGCAGCTGTCGTGTGCTGGCCAGGTCTTCTTGATGTCCTCAGTGACCTCTCGCTCTGTCACTGGGAGACAGAACTGAGACAGGGTCAATGCTGCTGGAACATTCAGAACTAATGCTCATTGGATCCTGAGCGGTCATTCCAAGAATGTGGTCAAGTGGGGAAAGAAAGAAGTGTGGGGACCTCTCTGGACCTCAGTCTCTTGCTCTGTAAAGTGGGTGCAGCAAACCGAATTTCTACCAAAAAATACAAACAATTAGCCACACGTGGTGGCATGCACCCATAATCCCAACTACTCGGGAGGCTGAGGCAGGAGGGCAGGAGAATCACTTGAACCCAGGAGGTGGAGGCTGCAGTGAGCCTAGATCATACCACTGCACTCCAGCCTGGGTGACAGACCAAGACTCTGTCTCAAAAAGAAAAAATAAATAAGTAAATAAATAAATAGTCCAGGCGCAGTGGCTCACGCCTATAATCCCAGCACTTTGAGAGGCCAGTGTGGGCAGATCACCTGAGGTCAGGAATTCAAGACCAGCCTGGCCAATAGGGTGACCAGCCTGGCCAATCTCTACCAAAAATACAAAAATTAGCCAGGCGTCATGGCACATGCCGGTAATCCCAACTACTTGGGAGACTGAGGCAGGAAAATTGCTTGAACCTGGGAGGCGGAGGTTGCAGTGAGCCGAGATCGCGACACTATACTCCAGCCTGGGTAACAAAGAGCGAAACTCCGTCTCAGAAATAATAATAATAATAATTAATTAATTAAGGTAGAGCTCTTGTAGCACACGGTTACGGTAGAGGGCAGCTCAGCAGCACTGGACGTGCTCACGTTGTTGTCCACCACCAGCTGTCTAGTTTCAAAACTCTTTCATCACCCCTTAAAAACACCGTGCACTCATTAAGTAATTGCTCCCCATCCTCCTTCCCACAGCACCCCCCCTTCCCCGGTATCCACCCATCTGCTGTCTGTGTCTGTGGACTGGCCTGTCCTGGATGTTTCATGTGAATGGAGCCCTGCAGGGTGTGGCCTTTGTGACCAGCGTGTTTACTGAGCATCATGTCTTCCTTCCATGTTCGTCCATGGGAGAGGGTCTATCAGTGCTTCATTCCTTTTTTTTTTTTTTTTTTTGAGACGGAGTCTCGCTCTTGTCCCCCAGGCTGGAGTGCGGTAGCTTGATCTCGGCTCATTGCAACCTCCGCCTCCCTGGTTCGAGTGATTCTCCTGCCTCAGCCTCCCGAGTAGCTGGATTACAGGCGTGCACCATCACGCCCAGCTAATTTTTGTATTTTTAGTAGCGACAGGGTTTCACCATGTTGGTCACGCTGGTCTCGAACTCCTGACCTCAGGTGAGGCGCCTGCCTCGACCTCCCAAAGTGCTGGGATGACAGGCATGAGCCACCACACCCGGCCTCTTCATACCTTTTTACGGCTGAATGATGTTTCCTCATGTGGATGGACCACGTTTCGTTTCTTCACTCATCTGTTGATGGACATTTGGGTCATCTCCACCTTTTGGCTGTTGTGAACAGTGGTGCCACGGACATTCCTGGGCCAGTATTTGTGTGAACAGATGTCTTCGTTTCTCTTTGGTGTGAATGTAGGAGCGGAGTTGCTGGGTCCCAGGGCGACACTCGTCTCCACGAACGTGGGAGCGGAGTTGGGGGTCCCAGGGCGACGCTCCTCTCCACGAACGTGGGAGCGGAGTTGGGGGTCCCAGGGCGACGCTCGTCTCCACGAACGTGGGAGCGGAGTTGGGGGTCCCAGGGCGACGCTCCTCTCCACGAACGTGGGAGCGGAGTTGGGGGTCCCAGGGCGACGCTCCTCTCCACGAACGTGGGAGCGGAGTTGGGGGTCCCAGGGCGAGGCTCCTGTCCACGAACGTGGGAGCGGAGTTGGGGGTCCCAGGGCGACGCTCCTGTCCATGAAGAGCCACCACACTGCTTTCCACGGAGGCTTTGGCCATCTCCATTCTCAGCAGGGTGTTCAAGGGTTCCAGTTTCTCCACATCCGCACCAGCGCCTGTTATTTTATGTGGAGGTTTTCTGGGAGGTGTTTGTTTTTCAGAGACCAGGGTCTTCTTATGTTGCCCAGGCAGGAACTCCTGGGCTCAAGTGATCCTCCTGCCTCCGCCTCCTGCCTGGCTGAGACTCCAGGCCCGTGCTGCCACACCAGCCCTGTTTGTTTTTCATTAAAGCCGTGCTCGTGGGTGTGAAGTAGTATCTCATGATGGATTGGATTTGCGTTTCTCTAATGACTAATGATGTTGAGTATCTTTTCATGTGCCTGTTGGCCATTCTGTATCTTCTTTGGTATTGGGTTGTCTTTTTTGTTGTTGTTGTTTAGTTTCATTCTCTTTTATGTTTGGAACAGGGTCTTACTCTGTTGCCCAGGCTGGAGTGCAGTGGTGCGTTCTCAGCTCACTGCAGCCTTCACCTCCCGGGTTCACACGAGTCTTCCCCGCCTCAGCCTCCCAAGTAGCTGGGACGATAGGCAAGCACCACCACCACACCCAGCTAATGTTTTTGTATGTTTTTGTACAGACAGGGTTTCACCATGTTGCCCAGGCTGGTCTTTGAACTCCTGAGCTGAAGTGACTCGCCTGCCTCAGCCTCCCAAAATGCTGGGATTACAGGTGTGAGCTGCCGTGCCCGGCCCTTTGTTGAGTTTTACATGTTCTGGGTATTAAACTCTTAACAGATATATGGTCTGTATTTTCCCCCATTCTGTGGGCTGCCTTCACTCTCCTTTGATGCACAAAATTGTATCTTTGTTTCTTATGTTGCTTGTGTTTTTGGTATCATATCAAAAATCTGGGCCAGGCACAGTGGCTCACACCTGTAATCCCAGCACTTTGGGAGGTTGAGGTGGGCAGATCACTTGAGGCCAGGAGTTTGAGACCAGCCTGGCCAGTAGAAACCTGTCTCTACTAAAAATACAAAAATTAGCCCGGTGTGGTGGTGCATGCTTGTAATCCCAGCTACTCGGGAAGCTGAGGCACGAGAATTGCTTGAACCCAGGAGGCAAAGGGTGCCGTGAGCTGGGATTGCGCCACTGCATGCCAGCCTGGGTGGGTGACAGAGTGAGACTCTGTCTAAAACTAAATAAATAAATTAAATTAATTAATTAATTATGCTTTCTTCTGAGAGTTTTGTGATATTAGCTCTTATGTTTTGTTTGTTGATCTATTTTGCATTGATACTTATAAACGGTGTGAGATAGGGATCCAGCATTATTCTTTGCATGTGGATATCCAGTTGCCCCAGCACTTTTGTGGAAGAGATCTTTACTTTCTTTTTTTATTTACTTAAAAAAAATTTTTTTTAGATAGAGACAGGATCTCACTGTATTGGCCAGGCTGGTCTTGAACTCCTGAGCTCAGGTGATTCTCCCACCTCCACCTCCCAAAGTGCTGGGATTGCAGGCATAAGCCACCATGCCTGGCCGGAATCTATTACTTTCCTAAGGACAAAAATCAGTGTGATCAGCCTGCTTCCATGTTTAAGCTGGAGTGGGTGTGCCAGGCAGGGGCTGCCTGTGAGGCCAGAGGTTGCCCTGGGTCTCCCCTTCCCACTCCTGGGGTGGAGTGGAGCCCTACCCCAGCCCCTTGGCCCCAACATTCAAGCCTCAGCAGGCCAGGAGGTCATCAGCTGGAGGCCTCAGTGGTAGACATGGAGCAGGAGGCAGCTCTCCTGGGCACTGGGGGAGGAACAGCCTTCCTTGGCAAGAAGGTTTTGGGGTGGCCGTGGAGCCCAGCCTAGGGTGTCCAGGCCACACTGGGCCAACAGAGACAACTCTGTCCCAGGATCGGGGTGGCAGGTGGCTGGATGGGTGGGGACACTGCCCTCTCCTCTTGGCTCAGCCCTTTGGAGGCTGGGCAAAGTGTGGCCCTGAGAGCCCCCCCAACCTGCTGTGAAAGGGCCCCCCCGGCCCTGAGCGTCCAGCATCCTGGAGTGCGTTTTTTCGCCTTTCTCTGCTCCACCTGCCCTGTGTCCCACCCCTGCCTCCTCTTGAGCTGGGGGCTGGGGGGTCAGGGTTTCCTCTGCCCTCCTTGGAGCCCACGTCGGCCCTGGGTCTGCCATGGAGGCAGGACTGGAGTGTGGAAGGAGAGGAGTCAAGACTGGAACTCAAGGCTGGGTGGGAACAGCGCAGCCCATGCTCGCCTGTAGCCACCCTTCTCAGCGCAGACCCCCCGCCTTTCAGTGCAGCCCCCCAGCCCCCTCTTTGCACCCTTTGGCCTGGCTGCTCCTCCCCAAGTCCGAGACTGAGAGGCGGGGCCAAGCAGTGGGGGAGCAGTCCAGGCAGGGGCCCCAGAACCCCCTGCTCAGGGGCGGCCACCGGCACCTGGGAGGCGGTGGGGAAGGGCCCCATTGGTCCCCCTGCCAGCTGGGGCCTCCAGAGACACAGCAGGCCCAGGGAGCGAGGCCTCTGGCCTGCGAGACCCTACGGGCGGCCACTGGCTCCTGGGGAGCCCCCACGGCCTGCAAGTGCCTGGGGGTGACCGGACCTTCCCTGCTGTCTAGGGGAGGGTGACTGGGACAGTGTCACCCTCACCGCACAGACTAGCTCCTCCCCCGCCCCTTGGAGATGGGTGGGCACCTTCCCAGGTGGCACCAGCAAAGTGTGCTGCTGCCCCACACCCCCTCCCTAGGCCTCCAGGCCAACCCCCAAGTGCCTCAGACCTGCAGGCCCAGCAGGGCTCCATCGCTGCCCCGGCCTCCAGGCCCTGCCTGGTCCCGGGTGTCCTCCTCTTCTGCAGCTTGGGGGCTTCCCTGCATCTCCTGAGCCCAATGTATGGGCCCCATCCCTGCTCCTCTCCTCCCTGCCCACACCTGCCTGGGGTGGCCCCATCCACTCTCACGGTCCTTAGGAGCTTCCTCTCACGGTAACCCCGAAACGTCCTAGAGCCCAGACCCTCCGAGACCCTCAGTCCTGCTGGGCTCACACGGGGCTGCCTCAGCCTTTCTCTCCCTTATCCTCAACCCCCATGTCCAGTGGCAAGTCCCGTGGTCCCCAAGCCCTAGCGGTGCCCCCGGCGGCTCAGTGAGCCATTGGCATCCTGGTGTCCTGCCCACCCCAGCGCCTGGATGGAACAGATGCAGGTGAGTGACGGGCTTCGGGAACAGCCAGTGCCACCAGCCTGGCCCCAGGCCCTCGTCCCTGCTGCCCGTTCTCCACGCACAGCCGGAGGGTACCTTCTGCCCTTCTGCCGTGGTCAGCACCAGCCTGGTTTATGCTCTAGCCCTGGCCGGGCCTCTGTCCTCTCTTCCTTGGCCTAGAACATCATTCAGGTATCACCTGCTTTGGTGGTCCTGGTGCGGCCTCCCTGACCAAGCTCCACCTGCACACACCCTCGGCACCTTACACATGGCTCCTTCAGGGCTCTGTGCACCCCTGCGCTATTGACAGCTGCCTTCTTCCTGCATTTCTCCTCCTCCAGTGACCTCCTGGGCTCGCCTTGGCCGTCCACCCCGCAGTGACCGAGGCTGGGCTCCCCTTGGCCGTCCACCCCGCAGTGACCGAGGCTGGGCTCCCCTTGGCCGTCCACCCCCCCAGTGACCGAGGCTGGGCTCCCCTTGGCCGTCCACCCCCCCAGTGACCGAGGCTGGGCTCCCCTTGGCCGTCCACCCCGCAGTGACCGAGGCTGGGCTCCCCTTGGCCGTCCACCCCCCCAGTGACCGAGGCTGGGCTCCCCTTGGCCGTCCACCCCCCAGTGACTGAGGCTGGGCTCGCCTTGGCCGTCCACTCACCAGGGTTACCCAGAGCTTGTCATTGCTGGGACTGCAGCTACCCTACGTCTCAACCTGGAGCATCCCAGGTCGAGGAGCAGAGGTCACCACCTGCCAGCCCCTGCTGTGGCCTCGTGCCCAGCCCCAACCTGGCACATGGAGGCACAGGGAGGTTCTGAAGTGCCCTTGGCCTTCACCAGGCCAGAGCCAAGGACATGAGGACAGCAGCCAGGCTGTGGCTAGAGGCCTATGGGGCCGGGGGCCTGGGGAGTGGGGCCGGGCTGTGTGGCAGGATCTGTGCCTCTCGCCTGAGGGGGAGGGCAAGGCCTTGCCCAACCTTCCTGTCCGGCCAGGACCGCAGGCCCCGCAGCCAGTGACTCAGCACTGAGAACTCAGTGGAACTTCCTGGGGGGTTGGGGAGGGGCATGGGGCTTCTGACAGTGCCTGTCCCTTGCCCCTTGCCGCAACACTGGCTCAGGAACCGCTGTTTTCACACTGTCGGCGGCCGGGGTCCAGCCCCGTCCCTTCCAGAGGCCACGTGAGCCCCTTAGCTTCCCCAGCCTCAGTTTCCTCACTTTTACCCCAAGACAGGAGGACTTTGTGGTCTCTACGTGACGTGGTTACAGTGTGGAAATGCCGTGTGTCCCCCAGGGTCCCCCCAGCTCCCTCAAAGCACCTCCTGCTCACAGGCTGCTGTCCCTGCAGTGGACAAGGCAGCCGAGGAAGGTGGATGCCGGGGCACCTTGGCTCCTCTCCTTCTGGACGAAGCCGGCCTTGGGAGGACAGCCTGGCTTGGAGCCCCCTTGGGTGCCCACCCACTGGGCAGCACGGCCTGTTCCACACCAGCCTCGAGGGAGCATCCCCTGGTCCTGCCCGTGTCCACACCAGGATCCCTGGCAGCACTGGCCCTGCCTCCAGGTCTTGACCTCCAGGAAGTGGCTGTGGTCACGGCCGCTGTGGGGCATGTCTGACGCCGCTGTCCGGCTCCTGGTCCCATCTGGACAGTGCCAGTCTTGCTGGTCTGTTCCTGGAGGGTCTTCCTGTCCAGAGGAGCCTCCCTGCCTCCAGCCCTCAGGCAGGAGTCAGTGCCCACCCCCCTCCTCCTGGAGCAGCCAGACACTGAGGCCCACTCACACCCACCAGGCCCTTTCATTTCTTGGCTCCTCTCTGGCCTCAGGACCTGGGAGCCAGGCAAATGGTGCCCATGGTCACCCTTTCAGCTGAGCCACACGCCCGGGTGCCCCAGGGACAGAGCAGGGCGTGCCACAGGCACTGGCCAGATCCAGATCGGAGCAGGGCCCGCCCACACCCACCGGGCCCTTTCATTTCTTGGCTCCTCTCCTGCCACAGGGCCTGTGAGCCAGACAGATGGAGAAGTTGCCTCTGCAAGTCTGACGTGGGCATTCCCCAAACCTGAGAGGAAGTGGCTTGCTCTGGCCCATGCAGGCTGGTGCCCAGGCGGGGGCCCCCGCACCTCTTGTCCTGGATCCCTGTGCTTTTAGGGCCCTGCAAGAGGCCTGGAGGCCTCAAGCAAGCAGCTTTTGGGGGCTCCCATGGTGAGGTCTGCCACCAAGGTCAGTCTGTGTTCTGGGAAGCAAGAGCCTCAGCCCACACTTACGCCCTCAGCCATGGCCTTCTGACCTTCCTCTCACCCTCCCTTGTTTACCCCACTCAGTGACATGCGGCTGCCTGACACCCAGATGTGTGTCTGGGTGGGTGGGGCATAGGTGCCAGGAACGCAGCTGGGAGCAGGACAGCCAGTTCCCCACCCACCTTGCTCTGCCACAGAGGCATGGGAGGGTCAGGTCCTGGCCGTGTCACTCACCGGGGCACCAGGAAGGGCCCTCGGCCTCCACTGTCGTGGCATGATGAGGGTGGTTGCAGGACGGCCTGGGGGAGCCAGCACTGGGGGCTGTCAGCCCCACACAGGTCCAGGGCTGAATGGTGGTCCCCAAAGAAATAGGATCCAGTCGTAGCCGCTGGTCCATTAGAATGCGGCTTGGGAATAGGGTCATCGCCGACGTAATTGGCTGGGTGGTCCTGCTCCAACGTGATGGCGTCCTAAGAAGGGCAGCACATGGAGACAGACACACAGGAGAAGCCGCATGATGGTGGATATAGGGGCGGGAGGGGGCGATGTGGCTGCAGCCAAGGGTGCCGAGGCTGGAAGGGTTAGGTGCCTGTGGTCCCAGCTACCTGAGGCCAAGGTGGGAAGGATTCTCCCATAGGGCTTTTGGAGGGGCCATGGCCCGGCCGACATCCTCAGCTTTCCTGAACTGGGAAAGAAGAAAGGACCAGTTTGGGGTTCTTTGTTTTGGCGGCCCAGGCCCTGGCTCACACCCTGTCTGCCTTCCACCTGTGAGTCCTGCTGGGTGCTGGAGGCCAGGAGTGAAGGGAATGTGGTCTCCCTCAGCCAACTCCCGGCCACCCGCACTGAGGGTGCCCAGGTGGAGCCCAGCTGGGGAGCTGGGCAGGGAAGGAGGGGGAGGGGTTCTGCAGTGTGGGGGGGGCAGGGAAGGAGGGGGAGGGGTGCTGCAGTGTGGGGGGCAGGGAAGGAAGGGGAGGGGTGCTGCAGTGCTGGGGGGATTCAGTAGGTGTAGCCTCGGGCCTGAGCTGACGGCGGGCGCTCTGGGACCGTGGAGCTCAACCCAACGGAACGGCCCTCGAATCAGAGCACAGGCTGTGAGGGCCAGACCGGCCTGCCCCACAGCTTCAGGAACCAGGCAGTGCCCGTGGCACACCCTGCTCTGTCCCTGGGGCACCCGGGCATGTGGCTCAGCTGAAGGGGTGACCATGGGTGCCATGCTGCTGACTTGGGCCAGCACACGATTCCAGGTCCAGATACCCATGACGTGACAAATGACCTGCTAGGGCCGCATAACTCAACACCACAGCCTGGGCGGCTTAAACGACATTTATTTTCTCACTTCCGGAGTCTGGATGTCAGGGATCAGGCTGCCGGCAGGGTGGGTTCCTCCTGAGGCCTCTCCATGGCTTGCAGACGGCACCCTCTCCCTGCGTCCTCATGTGGCCTCTCCTCTGTGTGCTCACTCCTGGTGTCTCTTCCTCTTCTTTTAAGGACAACAGTTCAGGGTCCCACCCTTAGGACTCACGTAACTTTAATTACCTTCTTAGAGGCCCTATCCATAACACATAGGTTTAGAGGGTTTTTTTTGGAGACAGGGTCTTGCTCTGTCACCCAGGCTGGAGTGCAGTGGCGCGATCATAGTTCACTGTGGCCTCGAAGTGCTGTGTTCAAGTGATCTTCCCACCTTGGCCTCAGGTAGCTGGGACCACAGGCATGTGCCATCACACCCGGTTAATTTAAAAAAATTTTTTTTGGCCAGGCATGATGACTCACACCTGTAATCACAGCACTTTGGGAGGCCGAGGCAGGCAGATCACTTGAGGTCAGGAGTTTGAGACCAGCCTGGCCAACATGGCAAAACCCCATCTCTACTAAAAATACAAAATTAGCTGGGCATGGTGGCAAGTGCCTGTAATCCCAGTTACTCAGGAAGCTGAGGCAGGAGAATCGCTTGAACCTGGGAGGCGGAGGCTGCAGTGAGCTGAGATCACGCCGCTGAACTACAGCCTGGGCAACAGAGCGAGACCCTGTCTCCCGAGCTCAAAGGATCCTCCCTTTGGCCTCCCAAGGTGCTGGGTTCACAGGTGTGAGCACTGTGCCCGGCCCACACATGGGTTCCCATAGATCCCACTTTACAGGCAGGGACACTGAGGCATGCAGAGCCGGGATACAGACCAAGCAAGTCCTGGCTCCTCTTCTGGGTGTCCCAGCCCGTCTCGGACACCCACGCTTACCCAGGCCTGGTGGCTGCATCGTGGACATGGGGGCAAGGCAGCTCTCTGGGTGGGCAGAGGCAGGAGCTGAGGCAAGGATGTGGGCATCCTTTTGGGTACATCTAGTCCTAGAGCTGATCCAGGGGCCAGTCAAATGTGCAGCCAAAGTCGGGTCAACCCCAGCACTGTCCTGTGGGTGGGGGTAGCAGGGAGCCAACAGTCCAGGCCCTACATCCTGTTCTAATAGAGTGACAAGTCTGATGAGGCTGGGGGTGCACAAGCACTGAGAAGGCAGCAGGACAGGGAGCCAAACACATGGGGTGGTGGGGGAAACCAGGGAGCTGGACACAGGGTGGGGGGGTCCTGGGAGTTGGACACATGGGCCAGGTTGGGGGTCCAGGGAGCTAGACACAGGGGGTGGGGAGGGGAGTCCAGGGGACTAGACACAGAGTGGGGGGTGGGTCCAGGGGGCTAGACACACAGTGTGGGGGGTGGGTCCAGGGAGCCGGACATACACATGGGGTGGGGAGGGGGCATCCAGGGAACCAAGTCTAGGCAGAGGCAACTGGCGCAAAGGACCTGAGGCAGAAGAGGGTTTGGTGTGTGAGGCGGGACTGAGGACTGTGGGCGAGGGAGACAGCTCTACCAGGACGCATGGTTCGGGGAGGACAGGCTGCAGGGTGCCTGGGCTGCAGGCACGGCACGGAGAGGAGTGATCCAGTGTTAACAATGTGGGTGGAGGATGACACCAGACCCCTGGCTTATTGCCCCACCAGGGGAATTCCCAGACACCAAACACCCCCTCCACTCCCACGCAGAATTGCGGGCTGAGGGTTCGGGTGAGCCAGGCTGCTCTGTCCCGGGGCCGGGCTCTGTTCATCCATCCGCAGATGGATACGGACACGTGCCTTTTTCTGAGGATGTGAATGGTTGGGAATGGCTGTGCCTGAGGATGTTGTTCCCACAGGATGGTGGGGGCGACTTCGGGCCTCGGTGGGTCCCGACCCCCCTCCTTCCCCCAGTTCCCTAATCAGGGTCTGAGCGACCGCGCGCACGGCCCCTGGGCCCCGCCGGTCTCCGAGCCCGTGGGCAGCGCCGGGAACTCGTGCCCCGGTGGCCGCAGCCGACCCTTAGGCAGGACTTCGTGGCGCCCCCGGCCCGAACAGACCCCCACGGGCAGCCTCGGCCGCCCCGTGCTCCCTTCATCTCAGGGCAAAAGCTCAAGTCAACCCTTCGGGACCGCGAGCCGGGCGGCCTCAGGAAGCGGGCGCCTGGGGACCCTCGGCCGGGCCGGGGGCGGCGAAGGTGGGGGCGCCTCGCGCGGCGGAACCCGCCGTCCCCATAGCCCGGAGCCCCGTCCGGAGTCGCCCCGCTGACCGGTGAGGAGGCCGGGCTCCCTCCTTCGATCTGCGGCGGTGGTCGGGTCGGCCGGGGCGCCCCTCGGACCCGGGCGCAGCGCGGAACCCGGCGGGGCGGGAGGGGCCGGAACCTAGCGCCAGGGACCCCGTTTCCTGTCGGCGGGACCCGAGCGCTGCACCGAGCGCAGCCGGACGCGGCCGACTGACCCGGTCGCTGTGGCAACGCGGCGGGACCTGGCCAGCGCTGCTGGCGGGCGTTAGGGTGAGGTGCGGGCGGGCGGCGTGGGAGGCGTGGGAGGCGTGGGGGGCGCCGCTCCGACCACTCTTCCTGTAGAAAACCCCAGCAGCTGCCGTCCTGTCGGACGCAGCGCTTTGGTGGGGACCTGGAGCGCGAGGTCGACCCTCAGAGCTCGGCCAGGCCCGGACCGGGGATCCCCTCGCGGAGGCTGCGGCGGGGCGGGGCGGGGGTTGCGGCCGCGTGGAGCGGGAGCGTTCCCTCGGTCTCCCGTGGGTGACCTGGGGCGGTGGGCGCTGCCGACCAGGGCCCCGCAGCCCCGGGAGAATTCCCCGGGTTCCGCCGCCGGCAAGGACGGCTCCGCGCCCAGGCAGCCTTACAGTGTCTGTGAGTTTAAAAAAAAAAAAAAAAAAAGAGAGGAAAAAAAAAGGCCGGAGGCGGTGGTTCGCGCCTGTAATCCAGCACTTTGGGAGGCAGAGGCGGGCAGATTGCTTGAGGCCCGGAGTTCGAGACCAGCCTGGCCAACATGGTGAAACCCCCTCTCTACTAAAAATACAAAAATTATTGGGCGTGGTGGTGCACGCCTGTAATCCCAGCTACTCCGGAGGCTGAAGCAGGAGAATCGCTTGAACCCGATGTTGTAACTGAGGGAGTTATAGAGAGAACGCCACACTCTGAGACTACTCAGGAGTCCTGTATTGCCAGCGACTGACAGACTGCTAGAGCTGCAAATTCCCTCGGCCCCGAAGAAGGGGCTAGATTTCTTTTGATACCTTGGTCTAAATAGAGGAGGGGAGGCTAGCTGAAGCGATTTTTTTACAGAAGCAGAATAGGCAAAAAGTTAAAAGATAAATGGTTACAGAAACAGTTACAGGAAAATAAACAGTTCCAGGTACAGGGGCTTAAATTATCACAAAGTGATAAACGCAGGGGCTTTGGGTACCATCAACCGAGCGCGTTCCCAGGAGCTGCTGGTACAGCTTGCTCCAGTTTCTTATCAGTATTTTATCAGTAAGCGCATTCCTGGATGTGCTTGGAGTCAGCTTGCCCCAGTTATGTCCTTAAGGGACGGGGACAAGGGGCTGCAAGCGAAGAAACCAAAATGGTGTCTGTCCGGCCCTCTCAGCTAAGAGAGAGTCAGTCAGGTTAAAACAAAGTAGGGTACCACACCGAGAGGCGCAGGTTGCGGAGAGCCAAGATCGCGCCATTGCACTCCAGTCTGGGAGACAAGAGCGAAACTCGGTCTCAAAAAAAAAAAAAATTATCTGTAACTTAGAAAAAGGATACAAAAGGAGCACAGATTTCCCGTGTGCCTTTTGCCCAGAGCCCCTAGAATGCTGACCTCTTAGAGAACCACAGTTCATTCAGCAACATGTAGACGCTGGCGTTCATGTTGGTATCATCCCATGATCTGGTCTCCAGTATTTATTCTTGCTTAGCAGCTACCTCATGGATGACTTTACCGTGGTCCAGGATCCAATGATGAGTCCACTATTTTATAAAATGCCCCCCAGTTCGGGGGCATTTCTCTGATGTTTTGTCATAATTGATTTCATATTACTGATTTTTGGCAAGAAAACCTCAACAGGGAAATTGTGCCCTTCCCAGCGTCTTACGAGACACAGGATGCCCCTGGCTGTTGGTGCTAGTCACGTCCTGGGGGCTGAGGTGGTGTCTGCCAAGTGTGTCCATAAAGTTAGGGTCCTTCCCTTTGTAAATAATAAATATTTTGTGGGGAAATATCTTGCCACTATGTAAAAGATGATGTTTCTTTCTTTCTCTCTTTTTCTTTTTTTTTTTTCTTTTTTTTTTTTTTTTAAGACGGAGTCTCTCTTTGCCGCCCAGGCTGGAGTTCAGTGGCGCGATCTCGGCCCACTGCAACCTCTGCCTCCTGGGTTGAAGTGATTCTCCTGCCTCAGCCTCTCAAGTAGCTGGGATTACAGCCGCCCACCACCACCCCCAGCTAATCTGTGTATTTTTAGTAGAGACGAGGTTTCGTCATGTTGGCCAGGCTGGTCTCAAACTTCTGACCTCAGGTGATCCACCACCTTGGCCTCCCAAAGTGCTAGGATTACAGGTGTGAGCCACCGTGCCCGGCCTTTTTTTTTTTTTAATTAATTTTATTTTTTTGAGACTGAGTCTCTCTCTCTCTCGCCCAAGCTGGAGTGCAGTGGCTTGATCTCGGCTCACTGCAACCTCTGCCTCCCGGGTTCAAGTGATTGTCCTGCCTCAGCCTCCTGAGCAGCTGGGATTACCAGCGCCTGCCACCATGCCCGGCTATTTTTTTTTTTTTTGTATTTTTAGTAGAGACGGGGTTTCACCATGTTGGTCAGGCTGGTCTCGAACTGCTGACCCCAAGTGATCCGCCCGCCTTGGCCTCCGAAAGTGCTGGGATTACAGGCCTGAGCCACAACGCCCAGCAAGATCTTGTTTCTAACCATACTTCTGTCACTAATTTTAGCACCCATGAGTGTTTCCCCAAAATAACTGTTAATGTGCTATTTGTTAAATGATTTTTCTGTTTCCATTACTCCTACATTTATTAGTTGGGATTTTCCTATAAGAAAGAACCATCTCTTCCCAGGCTGGCTTGCAGGGGCGCGGTCTCGGTGTTAGTGCATCTTTTTATTCCATGGATTCTAACCCATCGCTATCACGTACTTTGTTGCTCACATTATCCAGATTGAGGTGTTAGGAGCCCCTTCAAGTTGGCCTCTCTGTCCTTATAGCACGTCCCAACCTTCTGGGAGCATTTTCTTTCTTTCTGGCATCACAGAATTCAGGCTTATCTTATGCTTGCCTTGACATATCCCAGAATCAGTCATTTCTCCAAGGAGCCCTGGTTCCTTTTAGTTTAGAAGGTAGTGTTTAGAAACCAAGATCCCAGTACCAGATAGACATATTGCTACTGGGATGCCATTTCTTCTTGGCTTTCTTAATGGATAGAGTAGGAAACGTGTTTCTATACACTATACACATGCAAATCTATTTCAGTATATCTGTGTCTCTGTATATATTAAAAACTGGCTGGGTACAGTGGCTCACGCCTGTAGTCCCACCACTTTGGGAAGCTGAGGGGGGAAAATCGCTTGAGGTGAGGAGTTGGAAACCAGCCTGGCCAACAAAGTGAGACACCCATCTCTATAAAAAATTACAAAATAAATTAGCCAGCCATGGTGGCGTGTGTCTGAGTCCCAGCTACTCTGGAGGCTGAGGTAGGAGGACCATCTGAGCTCAGGAGTTTGAGGCTGCAGTGAGCTATAATCATGCCACTGCACTGCAGCTCGGGTGACAGAGTGAGATCCCATCTCAACAAACAACAAACACCAAAAAAACCTGTGAGTTTATTACAAGTTACGCACTTGTAATCAAGTTAGGTTCACCTGTTTCTACTTCATTTTGAGTCCTTACTGATTTTAAGTTTTTTTGTTTTTTGTTGTGCTTTGTTTTTGGCACATGAAACATGTATACGTGGTTCTAAAAGTCCGCAAAGTCTAAACTCAACTACAAGACTTCGACTTCAACTTCTATTTCTCACTTACTCACTTTTTTTTGGCAAATGCACGTTCAAAGAAAACAGCCCTTCATGTTCCTTCGTGGTAGTGGTGCCCCTCTTCTCCAGCAAGTGCCACTGACAGAATTCAGACCTACTGCCCATCTCTCTTATTTCAGTTTTAGAAATGGCTGTGGCTACTCTTCGGCAGTCAGTGGAGGAAGTGAAAAAAAACACGGGGTCACAGGTACATAATTTTTGTCCCCTGGACCTATTTAAAGAGTAGATGAGAGGCTGGGTGCAGTGGTTCACACCTATAAGTACGTGGGAAGATCGCTTGAGCTGTAGCTTTTAGATGGGCATTCGAGGCTGCAGTGAGCTGTGATTGTGCCACTGCACTCCATCCTGGGTGACAGACTGAGACTCTGTTTCAAAACAAAAGAGTAGATTACTGAATTTGGCCTCCCAGAGGGCTTAGCAGCACTCTCTGGAATCCAAGAGGGGCCACAAGAGCTAAATTCAGTACATTTAAAGGTGAGAGGATCATTTGAGGCCAGGAGTTCAAGACCAGGCTGGACAATATAGTGGAACCCCATCTCTACAAGAAATTTAAAAAAAAAATTAACTGGGCATGGTGGTGCCTGCCTGTAGTCCCAGCTACTCAGGATGCTGAGATTGAGTCCTCTGTCCTGAGTACAAAGTGAATGAGCCACCCCAGACCTGCCTTCCAGTCCCAGGAAGTGTCTTATAAGTTAAGGGTATTAGGCCAGGCACGGTGGCTCACGCCTGTAATCCCAGCACTTCGGGAGGCCGAGGCGGGTGAATCACGAGGTCAGGAGTTCAAGACCAGCCTGGCCAAGATGGTGAAACCCCATCTCTACTAAAAGTACAAAAATTAGCCGGGCATGGTGGCGGGCGCCTGTAATCCCAGCTACTTGGGAGGCTGAGGCAGGAAAATAGCTTGAACCCAGGAGGTAGAGGTTGCAGTGAGCCAAGATCGCGCCACTGCATTCCAGCCTGGGCAAGAAAACAAGACTGTCTAAAATAATAATAATAAGTTAAGGGTATTAAATATATTTATACATGGAGGTCATAAAAATATATATATTTGGGCTGGGCGCAGTGGCTCACACCTGCGCCCGGCCCTTTGGGAGGCCGAGGCAGGTGGATCACCTGAGTTTGGGAGTTCCAGACCAGCCTGACCAACATGGAGAAACCCCTTCTCTGTGTATTTTTAGTAGATTTTATTTTATGTGTATTTTATTCACAGGTATTTCTGGAAAACTCAAACTGTTTTTCCTCTACTCTGATACCACAAGAATCATCAGCACAGAGGAAGACTTCTGTGATCAAATGTGGTGGGAGAGGGAGGTTTTCACCAGCACATGAGCAGTCAGTTCTGCCGCAGACTCGGCGGGTGTCCTTCGGTTCAGTTCCAACACCGCCTGCCTGGAGAGAGGTCAGACCACAGGGTGAGGGCTCAGTCCCCAAGACATAAACACCCAAGACATAAACACCCAACAGGTCCACCCCGCCTGCTGCCCAGGCAGAGCCGATTCACCAAGACGGGAATTAGGATAGAGAAAGAGTAAGTCACACAGAGCCGGCTGTGCGGGAGAACGGAGTTCTATTATGACTCAAATCAGTCTCCCCAAGCATTCGGGGATCAGAGTTTTTAAGGATAACTTAGTGTGTAGGGGGCCAGTGAGTTGGAGATGAAAGCGTAGGGAGTCGAAGGTGTCCTTTTGCGCCGAGTCAGTTCCTGGGTGGGGGCCACAAGATCGGATGAGCCAGTTTATCAATCCGGGGGTGCCAGCTGATCCATGGAGTGCAGGGTCTGCAAAATATCTCAAGCACTGATTGATCTTAGGTTTTACAATAGTGATGTTACCCCAGGAACAATTTGGGGAAGGTCAGAATCTTGTAGCCTGTAGCTGCATGACTCCTAAACCATAATTTCTTTTTTGTTTTTTTTTTTTTATTTTTGAGACAGGGTCTCACTCTGTCACCTAGGCTGGAGTGCAGTGGTGCAATCACAGCTCACTGCAGCCTCAACGTCGTAAGCTCAAGCGATCCTCCCACCTCAGCCTGCCTGGTAGCTGAGACTACAAGCGACGCCCCAGTTAATTTTTGTATTTTTGGTAGAGGCAGCGTTTTGCCGTGTGGCCCTGGCTGGTCTCGAACTCCTGGGCTCAAGTGATCCAGCCTCAGCCTCCCAAAGTGCTGGGACAACCGGGGCCAGTCACTGCACCTGGCCCTAAACCATAATTTCTAATCTTTTGGCTAATTTGTTAGTCCTACAAAGGCAGTCTAGTCCCCAGGCAAAAAGGGGGTTTGTTTCGGGAAAGGGCTGTTACTGTCTTTGTTTCAAACTATAAACTAAGTTCCTCCTAAACTTAGTTCGGCCTACACCCAGGAATGAACAAGGAGAGCTTGGAGGTTAGAAGCACGATGGAATTGGTTAGGTCAGATCTCTTTCACTGTCTGAGTTATAATTTTGCAATGGTGGTTCAAAGACTGCCCGCTTCTGACACCAGTCGCGAGTCCTGGCCTCCGGAACTTCTGACTGACCACTGGCTTCAAGTTGGGGTTCCCACAGCCCCCTCTTTGGGTTCGATTGATTTGCTGGGGTGACTCACAGAACCCAGGGAAACACATACGTGTAACAGTTTATTATAAAGGGTATTACAGAGGATACAGATGAGGAGATGCGTAAGGGGAGATATGGGGGAAGAGGCTTCCTGGAGGACCCCCCCACACCCCACCCACCACTCCCCAGGAACCTCTCCACACCCTGTCCTCTTGGGTGTTTAGGGAGGCTTCCTGAAGTCAGCATTCCTTCCCCCAGGGTAGAGGGTGGGAGCTCTGGGGAGGATCTTATGACCTACAATGGAAAGTCAGGTGAGAGTGGAGACCTGGAAGGATTCTGTTTCCTGAGGCCTGACACGCCCAACATTGCAACAAAAGACTGTGACGTGTGAGAGTTATGAGCCAGGAACTGTGCAAGAAAACCATGATGTGTCATTGTACCACAACAGGTAAACCTACAACATCACCGTTAGCTCAGCTCAGTATTTTTAAAATGAGAAAATCAAAGTGATGGGATGCCCACCCATGCTGTTCCAGCCCCTGCTGGGAGCTGGCTGGTTCAGGGAGCCCCACTGGTTCTCCTGAAAGAGGGTGAACGCACAGCGAGGCCTTCCCTCCCCGGCGGCTTCTCCTGCCGCTCCCCAACCCGGAAGCTTCATGGTCCTTCTTGAAACCAGGTGCTTGCTGGGGACGCCTGCTGGCCGACAGGCAGATTGCGTCCAGATGCTGAGTCCGTGCTTTTGAAAGCCAATTAATCTCAGCCTTGGGGCTTTGGGGATCATCCCGAGATGGGATTTGTACAGAAACAGAGCAGGCCGTTCTATGATGAGGTCAGAAGGAAAGGCGAGCCGAGCCCGGCTGACTTACAGGCCCTTGGTGTGTGGGGCTTCTTATGGGTCCTGAGTGTGATGGATAAAGCGCTGGAGATGCTGGGCTCTCACCGGGTGCTGCACCGAGTCACTTGCTGTATGGATTTTTCAGGCTGCTCTTCTGTGCAGAGCACAGAGGCCTGGGAGCACCCATCTCACATAGAGGGGGTGGTACGTGCCATCTGCCTGTCCTGGCTGCCTGAAGCTTTTGAAAACAGGGTGACCCGCTGAGTCCTGAGACCTGGTGGGAAGGAACCTCACCCAGTGGGGAGATGGGGGCATGGGGACCTGGAGTAGCACGTGCACAGGAACTGGCAGATAAAGGCTGCTCTGGGCCTGCAGGGAGCAGCTGGAGCCACGCAGGCTGGGCCGTGTCCTCGGTCTGTCTTCATACGCTGTGCCAAGGAGATCGGACTTTATTTTGAAAATGGTCAGGAGTCGCGGGCACATTTGAGGCCAGATAAGATTGCATGATCAGATTCTCAGAACGGCAACCCCCATGGGTGGCTGCGACCAATGAGTTAAGGAGGCAAGCCCAGTGGCAGGGCAGCTGGTACAGGACGGGGGCCACAGCAGTCCCTCAGAGAAGAGGCCCGTAGACCTCGCAGACCTCAGGCTCTGCAGAGAACCGTTGTCATGACTCACGGGCACTGTGTGAAGGGTTCTGAGTCATCAGAGATCACAGTGGTGTTCCATCATTTAATGTGTATTTGCTGATAGTCCAATTCTTTCCCTGTGTGTGCACAGGTGTGTGCACAGGTGTGTGCATGTCCTCTGTGTACAAAATGTTTCAGTCGCCAAGACTGTGCCAGACAGTGGGACTCACTACACCCGACACTGGGGTGATGGCGTTGTGCCAACGTGAGATGGAAGTTAGGAAAGCTTCCCTGCAGTGATGTTCAGGTTGAGGTCCCACTGGCAGGAGGAGCCTGCCCTGCGGTTAGGAGGAACCTTGCAGACAGAGCGGCACCTGCCACACATCCCAGGCTCTGAGGGCACGTGGCAGCGACAGGCAGGAGCCTGGGGTCCAGATGTCCTCAGTGGAATGGGAAGCCTGGTTAAGCCTTTTTTTTTTCTTGAGATGGAGTCTCTCTTTGTTGCCCAGGCCGGACTGCAGTGGTGCGATCTCAGCTCACTGCAAGCTTCGCCTCCGGGGTTCACGCCATTCTCCTGCCTCAGCCTCCCAAGTAGCTGGGACTACAGGCGCCCACCACCACGCCCAGCTAATTTTTTGTATTTTTAGTAGAGACGGGGTTTCACCGTGTTAGCCAGGATGGTCTCAATCTCCTGACCTTATGATCCGCCCGCCTCGGCCTCCCAAAGTCCTGGGATTACAGGCATGAGCCACTGCGCCCGGCCCTGGTAAAGCATTTTTGAAAAGATTCCTTTGGCAGCCAAAAAAGTGGGAGTGCACAGCAGAGGCCAGTTGAGGTCTCTTGTGGTAAGACACTGTGGTGGCCGAGGTGTGGGCACAAGGTGGGAGACAGCAAGAGGTCAAGGATCATTACACGGGGTGGACGGTGGGGCCGTTGTAGGAGCTGAGGGAGACGAGGAACAGGAGCGTGGGAGAGTGCTGAGATGGTCGGTAGGGACCCTGTTAGCTCCGGCAATGGGTGGGCACGCAGCAGCTTGGAGGAGCCAGGCTGAGGTGGTCCAGGTGGCGTGATGGTCCTAGGGTGCTGGGCGCGGGGGTTGCATCGCAGGAAGCATGTGGGATGGAGGAGACCGTCTTTGCTCCAGAGCCTCGTCAGAGAAGCGCCGTCTCAGGACCCCCAGGGAGCCCTCGTGCCCCCAGCGGGTGTGCCCTGCTGACCAGCCCTTTCTGGAGGGGCCCACGGGTCTTGCAGCCCCTTACCCACCTCCTCCTTGTGCTTCGTCACAGCCGGTGCTCAGCCTGGCTGTGCCCTTGTACCCGCTCCCTCTGGGAGTTGGGACTTTGTACAACCATTGCTGTGCCCCGAGATGCAGAGGTGCCCGGAGATACAGAGGTACCCTAAGACAGGCTGGGGCTTTTTCCTGCTCTGGCAGCAGCACCCCGGCCATGTCCCACCAGGCCGGAAGTTTGTGCTTGTCCCCCAACTGGGTGTGGCCCTTTTAGGCCATGCAGTTCCCCTGTGTGGACACCAGAGAAGAGTTGTGGGGGATTTCTGTGTCCAAATCGAGCTCATACTTGGACCTCTAAAGGGTTGGGGGCAGCTAGGACCAGCCAGAAGAAACTTTATCTTTTAATAGACCACTCACTGCAGCGTGGAACTCCTGAGTTTGAATGACCCACCCACCTCAGCCTCAGAAAATGTTGGGATTGCAGGCGAGAGCTACTGTGCCCAGCTTATTGGTTTTTGTGATTTTTGTTTTTAAATTTTATTTTTTGTAGCACTTTATTTTTATGGTTTTACCAAAATATCAGTCCATGATGAACAAATAAAAGAACAAAAGAATGTACTCTCGGATGGTATATTAGACCATTCTCACATTGCTGGAAAGAAATACCTGACGCTGGGTAATTTATAAAGAAAGATTAATTGGCTCACGGTTCTCCTGGCTGTACAGGAAGCACAGTGTTGGCACCCGCTTCTGGGGAGGCCTCAGGAAACTTTTACTCATGGCGGAAGGTGAAAGAGGAGCAGGCACGAAGCAAGAGGGGAGTGTGAGTGGTGGAGAGATGCCACATCTCACTAGAACTCATTGTCACCACACACTTTGAAATGACCAAATCTCCCCAGAACTCACTGTCACAAAGACGGCACCAAGCCACGAGGGGTCCGCCCACATGATCCAAACACCTCCCACCAGGCCCCAGCTCCCCCGTTGGGGATTACAATTCCACAAAGGTTTGGGCAGGGATAAATATCGAAACCATATCAGGTGGTGAATCTTCCAGGAGCAGGGTGTTGGGTGGGAAGGGGCATTGGTTCTGAGGGACTGACCTGCTGTCAGTCCTCACGTAGCCACTTAGCAGCCTTAGTTTTCTCAGCTGTGAAATGGACAGAGTGCTGCGTTGAAGCTATTTTATAGAACCTAGCTCTTATAGCTGGACAAACCATGTTTCCCATCTTCCCTTCCTCTACTTCCCCTGGATTTCTTTTTTTTAATTTATTTTTTTAATTTTTTGGAGAAAAGAGTCTTAGTGTCGCCCAGGCTGGAGTGCAATGGTGCGATCTCTGCTCACTGCAACCTCCACTTCCTGGGTTCAAGTGATCCTCCTGCCTCAGCCTCCCGAGTAGCTGAGATCACAGGCATGCGCCACCATGCATGGCTAATTTTTATATTTTTAGTAGAGACGGGGTTTCACCATGTTGGCCAGGCCGGTCTCAAACTCCTGACCTCAGGTGACCCACCCACTTTGGCCTCCCAAAGGGCTGGGATTACAGGAGTGAGCCACCATGCCTGGCCTTTTTTTTTTGTTTATTTTGTTTTGAGAGAGAGTCTTGCTCTGTCACCCAGGCTGGTGTGCAACCTCTACCTCCTGGGTTCAAGCGATTCTCCTGCCTCAGCCTCCCGAGTAGCTGGGACTACAGGCACGTGCCACCACAGCAGGCTAATTTTTTGTATTTTTAGTAGAGACGGGGTTTCACCATGTTAGCCAGGCTGGTCTCGATCTCCTGACCTCAAGTGATCCATCCACCTGGGCCTCCCAAAGTGCTGGGATTACAGGCGTGAGCCACTGCACCCGGCCTAATTTTTGTATTTTTAGTAGAGACAGGTTTTTGCCATGTTGGCCAGGCTGGTCTTGAACTCCTGACCTCAGGTGATCCGCCTGCCTCGGCCTCCCAAAGGGCTGGGATTACAGGTGTGAGCCACCGTGCCCGGCCGTGGTAACTGTTGATAGGGAATGTGAGGTAGGTACTGTGGTAGGAAAATTAGGGCCCCTCACGGTGCACCCTGAACCTGATTTCTCTTTACTGCAGCGGCCACCATGCTGCCACTGGGCTCAGAGCCCGCCCTGAATGAGCTGCTGCTTCGCAAGGAGGAGGAGTGGAGGGCGCTGCAGGCACACCGCACCCAGCTGCAGGAGGCGGCTCTGCAGGACACACGGAGCCAGCTGGAGGAGGCGCAGGGGAAACTGCGGTGCCTGCAGGAGGACTTTGTCTACAACCTTCAGGTGCTGGAGGAGCGGGACCTCGAGCTGGAGCGCTATGACGCCGCCTTCGCCCAGGCCAGGGAGTGGGAAGAGGCCAGGCGGGCAGAGGTGAGCGAGCTCAAGATAGAGGCAGCTAAGCTGAGGCAGGCGCTAGCCAGAGAGGCCAGGAAGGTGGAGGAGCTGCAGCAGCAGCAGCAGCTGGCATTCCAGGAGCATCGCCTGGAGCTGGAGCGCGTCCACAGGTGAGCCACCGACCGACGCGCCCTCCTGTGCAGTGCCTGGCAGAGGCCCCCACATGCCTCCTGCTCCGCTGTGCTGCCCGAGCACTGCCCACTCTCACTGCCCCTCCTCCCGCTGCTGATTCCAGGCCACGGGAGCTGGTCTGTCTGAGTGGCCGAGTGCCTCGTGGCCTCTGAACATGTGTTTGTTGAGTTAATGTGGATGGATCCAGGAATGCCCTGACTGTCTTTTTCTGGGTTCTGATATAACTCTGAAATTAATGGAGATTGGTTTTAATATTTGGAATTTATTTCATTAATTATAAATCTATATTAATACATATTTGAATTTATAATGATTTTAATGGAAGTCTGTAGTAATTTCAAAACTAAATGAGCTGACTTAAGGCAAGTCGACATAAAAACCTAAAGCCTTTGTTGTGGGGCCTGTGGTGGGGCCCCTGGAACTCAACCACATGCCTGGTATCCCCTCAGCTCCACTCACCCAGCCATGCTGTGGAGAGTTTGAGGAGACAGGAAGGAAGGAGGACAGGCTTCTCTGATAAGCTCTTCCATCCCCCACTTCAGAAGTACCGCAGGTTCATCATAGCACATTAACAGAGGCCCTTCCTGTGTGATGCGTGTGTACAGACGTTAGGAGAGCCGGCTGCATGCTCTGTTTACACTTAACAGGATCCTGGGTACTTTTTTTATGTTTTATGTATTCTTCTAACATAAGCAGCATTTTTTTTCTTTTCTTTTTTTTTGAGACAGAGTTTTTAGCTGTGTTGTCCAGGCTGGATCGCAGTAGCGTGATCTCGGCTCGCTGCAACCTCCATCTCCCGGGTTCAAGTGATTCTCCTGCCTCAGCCTCCCACGTAGCTGGGACTATAGGTGCCCACCACCACGCCCGGCTAATTTTTTTTTCTTTTGTATTTTTAGTAGAGACGGGGTTTTGCCATGTTGCCCAGGCTGGTCTTGAACTCCTGACCTCAGGTGATCCACTGGCCTTGGCTTCCTGAAGTGCTGGGATTATAGACGTGAGCTACCGCGCCTGGCCATAAGCAGCTTTTTAAAGCACTTTTTAAAGCCGCAGGAGTAAACTATTCTTATCATAGAAAGTCATTTCTCAGAGAAGATACTGTGGTGGAATGGCGAAGTGAAAGCCGCCACGGGCAATCTGTTGTGTCATCTCCAGGCCCCATATAGAGCCACCTGCGCACACTGCTCCGAAATGTGCGTCCAGCACTTCCTGATCGATTTGTGGTGTCTGTCCTTCGTGTCAGTGCGCTGGGTTCTGCCACGCCCTTTTAACTGACCAGCTACCCTCTGTTGTGTGTGTTGGGCCGGTTTGCTCAGAAGGGTCTCAGATGGGTGTGAACGGGCCAACAGGACCACACCAGGTGCTCCGGTCCAGCAGAGAGACCTTCTGCGGCAGGTCAGGTGCAAGGAGAGGAGACCCACATTGGTGGGTGTGGTGCCCCTCTAGCTCAGAAGCCCCAACCAGTATTGTGCAGCCAGTATCTCCTGTAGCAGCCCGCAGGGATCGCGTCTGCAGTCCCTGCAGCAGATGTACCCTGAGCGCCACCGTCTTCTGGGAAGCCCACAGTGTTGATGGTCCCTCTCTCTATCGCATCTCGCGGCGTGGATAAAAAGTGCCAGTCAGCAGTCATTTGACCCACGCAGTGCTGCTTGCTAATGTGGTAGACACCCGTGTGCCACCTGCCCAGTGTCCAGGGAAAGAGAGAGTTGAGCTGGAGGTCAGCTTCTCCCTGAGTGGAGGGAGGGTGTCTGGAAGCTCCCGTCCCCAGCATGAAGGCTGGTGCTCAGCCTGCACCTCGTCTGGGCGCCGAGTCCGTGCAGGTGCGTGCAGTGCTTGGACAGCTGAGGCCCACTTGCCCGCCGTGCGGGTGCTGACTTTCTCATAGCTGCTTTCCAGAGTGTTTACAGCATCCTTTTAAAAGTGCTTTACGTTATGTTGTGAAGTGTCTCTTCAAGTCTTTTGCTCATTCTTCTCTCCAAACCTGGGATGTTTTCAGCCATGTTCAGGTACTTTTTCAGTCTCACACTCTTTTTTTTTTTTTGAGACAGAGTCTTGCTCTGTCGCCCAGGCTGGAGTGCAGTGGCGCGATCTCGGATCACTGCAACCTCTGCCTCCGGGGTTCAAGGGGTTCTCCTGCCTCAGCCTCCCGAGGAGCTGTCACTACAGGTGTGTGCCACCATGCCCGGCTAATTTTTGTATTTTTAGTGGAGATGGGGTTTCACCATGTTGGCCAGGCTGGTCTTGGACTCCTGACCCCGGGTGATCCACCTGCCTTGGCCTCCCAAAGCGCTGGAATTACAGGCGTGAGCCACCACACCCAGCCTGCTATAGCTTTTTCTTTGCTGAGATTTGTTTTTCCATTTGCTTTACTAGATTACTTGAAGCGCTTTTATAATGACTGCTGTAGCTTCCTTGTTGAAGAATTCCAGCGTCTGTGTCATCTTGGTGTTGGCATCTACCTATTATCTTTTCTCCTTCAAGCTCAGATCTTTCTTTTTTTTCCTTTTTCTTTTTTTTTTTTTTTTTGAGATGGAGTCTCGCTCTGTCGCCCAGGCTGGAGTGCAGTGGCACGATCTCAGCTCACTGCAAGCTCCACCTCCCGGGTTCACGCCATTCTCCTGCCTCAGCCTCCCGAGTAGCTGGGACTACAGGCGCCCGCCACCACGCCCGGCTAATTTTTTTTGTATTTTTTTGTAGAGACGGGGTTTCACCGTGTTAGCCAGGATGCTCTCGATCTCCTGACCTTGTGATCCGCCCACCTCGGCCTCCCAAAGTGCTGGGATTACAGGCGTGAGCCACTGGGCCTGGTCAGATCTTTCCGGTTTTTGGTTGTCAGGTTTTTTTTTTAATTGTATCCTGGACATTTTGGGTTTTATGTTGTGAGACTCTGGGCCCTATTTAATTTCCTCTTTTATAGATGGGTGTAGCATGCTGGTCCAGGTGGGGCTGGAAGTTCTGCTACCCCGTGGGTCCTGCTGAAGCCACCCCTTCATAAAAGCAAAGCACCAACTTTCACATGTCAAGTGCACCTTGAAAATGTATTACCTTTGCTGAATATTTGGTATGGCTTTTCTTAATGCTGTTTTATTACCATAGTGACAAGAATGGTGAGATTGACCACCACCGGGAACAGTATGAAAATCTAAAATGGACACTGGAGAGAAAACTTGAGGAGCTCGACGGTGAGCTTGCTCTGCAGAGACAGGTAGAGCCTCTGGGTCGGCCCCTTCCTGGGTGCTTTCCCTGCCTGCCCACTGTGAAACTGAAATCATATAGGGCTGAGGAAAAGACAACCATTTGGTTCATTGCCTGCATTCTCCTTGGGAGTAAAATGGGGTCTTTGGGGCAGATGCCACTCTGGGATGGTCTGCAGGGAAACAGGATGGGATGTCTACATGCAGCCACCTCCACAGTGTTTCCTTGTTTTCTTTCCTCATGGATTAGTCAGGGTTCTCCAGGGAAACAGGCAATAGGAGACGTGTAGATATATAGGAGATAAATTGTAGGAATTCACTCGTGCAGTTACGGAGGCCATGAAGTCCCACAGTTTGTCATCTGCAAGCTGGAAAACCTGGGAAGCTGGTGGTGTAATTCAGCCCAGGGGCAAAGGCCTGAGCACCAGGGAGCCACTGATGTGAGTCCTGGTCCAGCTCTGAAGGCCCAAGATGCAGGAGCCCAATGTCCAAGGGCAGGAGAAGGCGAGTGTCTCAGCTCAAGCAGAGAGAGCGAGTTCACCCTTCCTTGCATTTCGTTCTATTCAGGCCCTCAGTGGATTGAATGACGCCCATCCACAGGAGGAGGGCTAGTCTCTTCTGGAAACACCCTTGCAGACACTCCCAGAAATAATTTTTTACCAGCTATCCGGGCAGCCCGTAGCCCAGTCATTTGACACATGGAATTAACCAGCACACCTCAGAAATGATGAAACTTTTAAATTTATTTTTAGAAAGGTATAATTTTAAAAACATGAATTATTTACTATGGAAAAGAATTTGGAATTCAATTATGATAAGTTTAAAAACAGATGCTTCAACTGAAAAGTGGCAGTCACCGAATTTCTCCTCAATGTTCTGGAAACTCAGCCTACACCTCCAAGAGACTCAGCTGTGCTGGGGTTTTGTTGAAAGACATCCTATAGATTTATATCTAGAGACCACAGTCAGAGATGCTGCCACTGTGTGCATATGTGACAAGGGGCTGCATCTCTGCAGGTTTACGTGTGATGAGGGGCTGTGCCTGTGCAGGTGCAGGTGTCATGAGGGGCTGCGTCTCTGCAGGTGCAGGTGTCACGAGGGGCTGCGTCTCTGCAGGTGTCATGAGGGGCTGCGTCTCTGCAGGAGTCACGAGGGGCTGCGTCTGCAGGAGTCACGAGGGGCTGTGTCTCTGCAGGTGCAGGAGTCATGAGGGGCTGTGTGTCTGCAGGTGCAGGAGTCACGAGGGGCTGCGTCTCTGCAGGAGTCACGAGGGGCTGCATCTCTGCAGGAGTCATGAGGGGCTGCGTCTGCAGGAGTCACGAGGGGCTGAGTCTCTGCAGGAGTCACGAGGGGCTGCGTCTCTGCAGGTGCAGGAGTCACGAGGGGCTGCGTCTCTGCAGGTGCAGGAGTCACGAGGGGCTGCGTCTCTGCAGGTGCAGGAGTCATGAGGGGCTGCGTCTCTGCAGGAGTCACGAGGGGCTGCGTCTCTGCAGGTGCAGGAGTCATGAGGGGCTGCGTCTCTGCAGGTGTCCTGAGGGGCTTCTTCTGTGAAGGTGCAGGTGTGATGAGGGGCTGCGTCTCTGCAGGTGCAGGTGTAATAAATGGCTCTGTCTATGCAGGTAGGTGTAAGTGTTACTAGAAGCTGTGTCTATGGGGGTGTCATAAGGGGCTGCGTCTGTGCAGGTGCAGCAGTGATGAAGGGCTTTGTGCAGGTGTGACAGGGTCCCCTCTCTGGTCCTGTCGGATGTTGGGAGCTTGGTCATAGTAGGATAGGCCAGTGTGTCACTAATTTGCCACAGTCAGGTCAGCAGAGAAGGAGGCCACGCTCACGTCATGATGGGCCCTCCTGTGGACTGTCCAGTTGTCCCCGGAAGTGCTGAGCTCACTCCCGTTGTTCACAGGTCCCTGAGGCTGCTTCTGAAATGGCCTGCAGAGGACTTTCTCTTGGAATTCTCAGAAACCAAAGAGCTTTGTCGATTATGGATGAGTTTGAGAACAGCCGGAGTTCTTTAGGCATGAAGCCAGCGTCTAAAATCCGTGGTCAGTAAGAGACCAGTGGTGACTTTTCTAAGTAGTGAGGCTTCCTCAAGTGGCTCCAAAGTCACTTCCAAAGAAGGAGTTTGAGGAGGATCCAGCTGTGGGTGGTCCTGCCCAGCAGGTGGGGGGCTCTTGGCAGCATCTGGGGACAGTGGCGATTTGAGGCTGGTTGTAGTTGGCAGGGCGCAGCCATTCTTGTCAGAGTTTCTGGCTGGGCCGTGACTATGGCTGACTTCCCAGGCTGTCCACGCCGAATTTCTCAGACTCAGCAGGGCTCGTTCAGGGAGAGCCATCTCAGACGTTGGGAACATGGATTTTTTATCATGTTCAGATAGTATCCTTGTCTCTGGAAAGAAGGAAACGTGACGTTTTAACGTGGCAGCTTTGGTTACTAGGGGAAACTTGGGCAGCACACATCCGGTGTGGTTCTGGGTAGTCCGATCCTGTGTGGGCTCTGGGATGCTGGCACTGGCTGTCGGGAAGCTCTGTTCTACTGCCGGCATCTCAGCCTTTTAGTTACTAAGCTAGGGTCTTACGTGCTTGTCAGTTTCATGGTTTCCTTTGCTCTGATTTCTTGTCTTGTTTTGGAAGATCTTGGTGTTTGTTATTGTCAGAGGTAGAATTGACTCAATGGAGATAAGGATTTTTCTTTTTCTTTTCTTTTTTTTTTCTGTAGCGACAGGGCCTCACTGTGTTGCCCAGGCTGGTCTTGAATTCCTGGGCTCAAGCGATCCTCCCGCCTCGGCCTCCCAGAGTGCTGTTACCAGTGTCGCTGACCCCAGCTTCTCTCCTGGACAGTGTGTGTGGTCCTTCTCTGTTAAACACTGTGTCCTGCTCACCTCTGGATCCCACCTCCCAGGACGTGGGTGGGGGTCTTTGCTGGGTTCCCACTGTTCTTTCATCATGAAACCTGTTTGTTCCAGGAACTGCTGCTGGAGTTTGAATCGAAAATGCGGAAGAGGGAGCACGAATTCCGTCTGCAGGCTGACAACATGAGCAACACAGCCTTGTCCCGGGAGCTTAAGGTAACTGGGGGCACCCTTGGGTCGTGAAGGTTTTTCGGTTTTTCCTTGGTCAGGTGTGGTGGCTCACACCTGTCATCTCAGCACTTTGGGAGACCAAGGCAAGAGGATCCCTTGGGCCCAGGAGTTCAAGCCCAGCGAGCAGGTGGGCCATGTGGATGCCCTGTGCCCCATGGCAGGGTGGGCACTCCCGTCAAAGGTGGGCACCGGGTGCCAGTTCACCTCCGCCTGCATCTGCTGTGTGATTTGGTCACAGCCCTGGACACCTGCCCGTGGTGGGCATCACGGTGCACAGATCAGTAGGAAAAGCAAGAGCTGAGTCTCGACGCCTGCCCATGCCGGGCGCAGCCCGGTCCTCATGTCAGCAGGCTTGGGTGCAGCAGCCATCGTCACCACCCGTGGCTTACAGGCTGGGAAACAGGCCCAGGAAGGTACCGAAGAGCTCAGTGTGCAGCTGGGACGCGAGTGGCTTGCTCAGCACTGAGCCCCTTCCTAGACCCCTGGCTTTGTGTTTAATTTCCTTATTTAAATAACTTTCAAATTATGTGCTAAGAAATGAAGTGCAGTTAAATTGGTCTGTTGGGCTTGGACATGTATGGGGCACCCTAATAGACTGATTTTGGTGGGGTACTGAGTGCTGTCAGGGGGTCAATGAAGGCCGGGCACGGTGGCTCACACCTGTAATCCCAGCACATTGGGAGGCTGAGGCGGGTGGATCACCTGAGGTCAGGAGTTTGAGACCAGCCTGGCCAACATGGGAAACCCTGTCTCTACTAAAAATACAAAAATTAGCTGGGTGTGGTGGTGGGTGCCTGTAATCCCAGCTACTCGTGAGGCTAAGGCAGGAGAATTGCTTGAACCCAGGAGGGGGAGGTTGCAGTGAGCCGAGATCACGCCATTGCACTCCAGCCTGGGCAACAGAGCAAGACTCTGTCTCCAAAAAGAAAAAAAAAAAAGTCATTGAGTCTCGTTTGAGTTGTGTTAGGACATTCTCACTGTTTTACTGCTTCTTGAATTTTCATTTTTCTTCTCCCTCCCAATCCTGATAAAACAGCAGTATGTACCCCTAATGCCTCAGTGTCTTCTAATTATCACCTCATTTTGAACTCATTTTTATCATTCAAAGGTTAAACTACTGCACAAAGAGCTGGAGGCTCTGAAGGAAGCCGGGGCAAAGGCTGCAGAGAGTCTGCAGAGGGCAGAGGCCACCAACGCCGAGCTGGAGAGGAAGCTCCAGAGCCGAGCCGGGGAGCTCCAGGACCTGGAGGCCATGAGCCGCGCCCGGTGCGCGAGTCCTTCATCTCCCGAGGCGTGCTCTGTGGCAGCCTCGCAGGCCAGGACTGGAGTCTGGGGGATTCTACCTTTTCTGCTCATTCCAGGCTGGTCTTTGCTTTCATCTCACTTGCTCCTTCCATAAATATTTGTTTCTTTTCAGGGTAAAGGATTTAGAGGATAAACTTCACTCTGTGCAGCTAACCAGGAAGAAGGAAGAGGAAACATTTAAGAGGAAGTGAGTGTTTCGGCTCCCAACATCATGCAGCATGTCAGTGGCCCCAGGAGAGGAGGGAAGTGGAACCATTGTGCTGATGGCCCAGGGAGCAGAGGGTCCCACTCCAGGGATCGGACCTGGGAGCCCGCTGTTTTGGATTTCTTTCTCCTTCTTTTTCTTCCTTTCTTTCTTGCTTGCTTGCTTTCTTGCTTTCTTGCTTGCTTTTTTTTTTTTGACAGGGTCTTGCTCTGTGCCCAGGCTGGATTGCCGTGGTGTGATCTTGGCTCACTGCATCCTCCCCTCCCGGGTTCAAACAATTCTCGTGTCTCAGCCTCCCAAATAGCTGGTGCTATAGGCGTGCACAACCATGCCTGGCTAATTTTTGTATTTTTAGTAGAGACAGGGTCTCACCATGTTGGCCAGGCTGGTCTTGAACTCTTAGCCTCAAATGACCCGCCCACCTCCTTGGCCTCCCAAAGTGCTGCGATTATAGGCATGAGCCGCCACACCCAGCCTTGCTTTGGATTTCTGTTTATGCTCTGGACTTTCTCGGTGATGTTTAGACTTCTTAGTGCTGTAAAACGTAGAACTTGGACTAGGTGCAGTAGGAAGATCATGTGAGCCTGGGAGATTGAGGCTGCAGTGAGCCATGATTGTGCCACTGTACTCCAGCCTGGGCCATAGAATGAGACCCTGTCTCAAAAACAAAACAAAACAAAACACAAAATTTTTAACACCTGGCTGGGCGCGGTGGCTCAGGCCTGTAATCCCAGAATGTTGGGAGGCCGAGGTGGGTGGATCACTTGAGGTCAGGAATTCGAGACCACCCTGACCAACAGTGAAACCCCATCTCTACTAAAAATACAAAAAGACACTGTGTAATACAACGGCGATGGACAGTGACTCAGGCGATTTTTCTTGCATTTTTTATTGACATGATATTTGTGCAGTTGTATAAATCCAGAAGAACTTCAAGGACACTGTCTGTGCTGTTTCTAATCAGATCTGCAGTGGGAAGCTGCTTTCCAGCCTGCTCTGCAGACCCTACTGGTGGCAGCGAGAGAGGGTTGTGCCCTCAGCTGGCTCGCATTGTGAGGGCACCCATCCGGGTTCTCTACCTAGATGAGGAAACCGAGGCAGTCGAGCCCAAACAGACACAGTGCAGATGGCAGTGGTGCAGGACTGCTTGCTTAGCTGCACCGTGTGGCCATGATGAAGCTGGACAAACACTGTTTCTCTTCGTGTGTTTTTAAGTCTACACCTGGCATTTTTCAAAATCATAAATTGAAATACAGTTGATGCTTAAACAGTGAGGGGGTTAGGGGCATCTAGCCCCATGAGGTCAAAAATTCACATATAACTTTTCACTCCCCAAAAACTTAACTACTTAGAACCTACTGTTGACCAGAAGCCTTACTGATAACACAGTTCATTAACACACATTGGGCATGTTGTGTGTATCCTATGCTGATTCTTAAAGTAATGCTAGCTAGAGGAAAGAAAATGTCATTAAAATAATCACACAGCACTTTGGGAGGCTGAGTCAGGGGGATCACTTGAGGTCAGGAGTTTGAGACCAGCCTGACCAACATGGTGAAACCCCGTCTCTACGAAAAATACAAAATTAGCCGGGCGTGGTGGTGCACGCCTGTAATCCCAGCTACTTGGCAGGCTGAGGCAGGGGAATCACTTGAACTTGGGAGGTGGAGGTTTCACTGAGCCGAGACCGCGCCACTGCACTCCAGCCTGGGTGACAGAGTGAGACTCTGTTTCAAAAAAAAAAAAAAAAGTCATAAAAAAGTAGAATTAGGTTGGGCATGGTGGCCTACACCTATAATCCTAGTACTTTGGGAGGCCGAGGCAGGTGGATTGCTTCAGCTCTGGAGTTCAAGACCAGCCTAGGCAACATAGCAAAACCCCTTCTCTACAAAAAATACAAAAAATTAGCCAGGTGTGACAGCTCACGCCTGTAGTCCCAGCTACTTGGAGTGTAGAGGCAGGAGGATCACTTGAATCTGGGATGTGGAGCCTGTAGTGAGCCGAGGTGGTGCCACAGCACTCTACCCTGGGTGACAAAGTGAGACCCTGTCTTAAAAAAAAATCTTAGAAAATATGTTTACCGTTTGTTAAGTGGAAGCAGATCATCTTATAGCTCTTCATCCTCATCATCTTCACATTGAGGAGGTTGAGGAGGAGGCAGAGGATGGGCTGTCTCTGGAGTGGCAGAGGTGGAGGAGGTGGAAGGGAGGGCAGGAGAGGCAGGTACCCTTGGTGTAACTTGACAGAAATACATTGTAATTCCATTTGACTTTTTTACTTTTTCCTTCCTCTAAAAATGTTTCTATATGGTGCCAATCCCGCTTTAACACTTGAGTCTCAGTGCCCACGTCATAGACAGTTCCACGTGGTAAAAAGTCAAGGCAGGCGTGAGTGATGGGAGCCCTTCTGCAGGAGTGTCTGTCTGATGCCAGTTTCTTTTCTGGCACTGCTTCTTCTACATCTGTTTCCTCATCATCTGGCGCCGGTTCGGAAGCACTCATCCCCATTGAGTTGTCTCCCGTTCATTCCTCTGCTGTGGGGTCAGCTCTGGGGTTTCTCCAAGATCCATGCTGTGAAATCCTTCACCCCGCACCCTGACCTTTTTTTTTATTTTTTATTTTTTATTTTTATTTTTTTGCCGTATTACAACTCATGATTTACTTGATTGGCACCATTGGACATCCTGTGAAGTCAGGCACGACATCTAGACACAGCTTTCTTCATCAGGAATTTATTATTTGGGCTGGATGGCTTCCGTGGCTTTTTCTATAGCAACAATGGCTTCAGTGGTGGAAGCCTGCCAGGCTTTCAGGATGTTCTTCTTTCTGGGGGGTTTTCGGCCACAGCATTGACATCCTTTCCAAAGAGCGCCATGTGTAGTGAGCCTTAAGGTCCATATGGCCTCTCATAAAGGTTGAATTAGAGGCATTATGTCTGGGAGCAAGCAGACGACGTCAACACCTTGCTGTTGAACTCATGGGTTCTGGGTGGCAAGAGGCATTGTCCATTATCAAAAGATTTTTTTTTTTTTTTTTTTTTTTTGAGACAGAGTCTCGCTCTGTTGCCCAGGCAGATGGTGCAGTGGTGCAATCTCAGCTCGCTGCAACCTCTGCCTCTTGAGTTCAAGCTATTCTCATGCCTCAGCCTCCCAAGTAGCTGGGAGTACAGGCATGCACCACTACACCTGGCTAATTTTTGTATTTTTAGCAGAGATGGAGTTTGCCATGCTGGCCAGGCTGGTCTCAAACTCTTGTCCTCAAGTGGTCCGCGCACCTCGGCCTCCCAAAGTGCTGCGATTACAGGGGTGAGCACCACACCCAGACTGGATTAATGTGTTTTAGAATGGCCAGCAGCTGCAGACCTGTCTTGCAAATGCATGACTTTCCTCTGCTCACTTCCAGCATCACTGGTGGACCTTTGCATAGGTCCCATGGTGTTATTGAAGGTTTACAGTATTACACTAAACACAATGAGAAATAGGGAAGAACCTTGAGAAGTCACTCTATGCTGGGATATGAAGAACCTTGAGAAGTCACTCTATGCTGGGATATGAAGAACCTTGAGAAGTCACTCTATGCTGGGATATGAAGAACCTTGAGAAGTCACTCTATGCTGGGATATGAAGAACCTTGAGAGGTCACTCTATACTGGGATATGCAATTTACTGGAGAGACAAACTGCTCACACGGAGATGACTAGTGTCTCATCATTTTTTTTTTTTTAATTTGAGACAGAGTTTCACTCTTATCACCCAGGCTGGAGTGCAGTGGCGCAATCTCGGCTCACTGCAACCTCCGCCTCCTGGGTTCAAGTGATTCTCCTGCCTCGGCCTCCCCAGTAGCTGGGATTACAGGCGCATGCCACCATGCCCGGCTAATTTTTGTATTTTTAGTAGAGACAGTTTCTCCATGTTGATCAGGCTGGTGGTGCGATCTCGGGTCACTGCAACCTCTGCCTCCCGGGTTCGAGCAATTCTCCTGCCTCAGCCTCCCGAGTAGCTGGGATCACAGGGATGTGCTACCATGCCCGGCTAATTTTTGTATTTTTTTTAGTGGAGACTGGGTTTCGCCATGTTGGCCAGGCTGGTCTCGAACTCCTGACCTCAAGCGATCCACCCTCCTTGGCCTCCTAAAGTGCTGGGATTACAGGGATGAGCCACTGCGCCCAGCCAGGAATAATTTTAAATCATCCATCAGCTCATAATTGAATGAGCTTCTCCAACTTGGTGGAAGCAGACAGCTGGGGTTGGCCTTGCCAAGGGGTCTGAAACCCAGTCAGCAGAGCTGTTCACTCTCTCAGTCCCAGTAGGGTTAGATCAAAGACTTCACCGAGATGGCTTACATAACATTACATATACCTGATAGCACTCTGCTTAGTAGAACCTAATATGCTCAGAGGGTAGGAAATCAACACGTAAATCTTTTTAAATTTTTTATTTATTTAATACTGTTGCTAATGTGGTTTGTTTTTGAGACAGGGTCTCACTGTGTCACTCAGGCTGGAGTGCAGTGGCACCATCACGGCTCACTGCAGCCTCGACCTCCCACGCTCCGGTGGTCCTCCCACCTCAGCCTCCCGAGTAAATGGGACTATGGGCACCCGCCACCGTAAAGGCTAATTTTTGTATTTTTTTGTAGAGGGTGTTTTGCCATATTGCCCAGGCTGGTGGTCTTCAACTCCTGGGCTCAAGCTATCCACCTGCCTCGGCCTCCTAAAGTGCTTCGGTTACAGGCATGATCCACTGTGCCTGGCTGCTAACATAATATTTTTAAAGTAAAATCTTTTTGCCAGGCAAAGTGGTGTGGCCTATAAGCCCAATTACTTGGGAAGCTGAGGTGAGAGGATTGCTTGAGTTCAAGGCCAGGCTGGGCAACACAGCAAGACTTTGCCTCTAATTGGAAAATCAATAGGTGGGGTGCGGTGTGGCTCCGTAGACCTGGCTGGCTGCCAGGATACAAGGCAGTGTGCATCTACCTTTTTTTGCTTTCGCAGGTTGATCGGATCAAACCGTGCTCTATGCACCTCCTTTCGCAGGTTGATCGGATCAAACTGTGCTCTATGCACCTCCTTTTGGTGTCCTTCTCCAGGGGGCTGTGGGCTCTGGAGGGCAGGCCAGGGGCCTGGCATCGAAAAGTGGCTTGGTCCATGTTTACCTGCGAGGAATGAGGAACAGGTGGCCAGGTGGCTGCTGCGAAGCCTTGAGGCAGACATACAGCAGCACCTGTGCACGAGACAGGGCAATGAACGCCTCCAAAGAGGGTCTGGGGCCTGGGTGTTGGGGGCTGGGTGAGCGCCATGGGACACTCACTGTGTTTCAGGCATGAGGAGCTCGACCGTCTGGCCAGGGAGAAGGATGCAGTGCTGGTGGCGGTGAAGGGAGCCCACGTGGAGCAGCTGCAGGAGCTGCAGACCAGGGTTCTGGAGCTGCAGGCCCACTGCGAGACCCTCGAGGCGCAGCTCCGCAGGGCAGAGTGGAGACAGGCTGACACCGCCAAGGAGAAGGACGCTGCCATTGACCAGTGAGCGTGTGCTTGGCTCCACCCAGAGGGTGAGGGCAGGGACGGCCGTGGCTGTGCTGACCTGGGCCCACTGGTGCCAGACCACAGGAAAGGGGGCCAGGCAGCAGACAGAGTGGCTTCTGTAGCTCTCAGTCACTTTTCTTAACCACTCTTTTTTTTTTTTTTTTGCCTTTTCTTTATTTTTGAAATTGTGTAGTTTCTATGTGTGTGTGCATTCATCTATTTATAGTAAGATATGCATAACATAAAATTAGCCATTTTAGCCATTTCTTAGTGTACAGATCAGTGGCAGTGGCATTAGGCACATTCACGTTGTTGTAAAACCATCACCACTGTCATCTCCAGAACTTTCCATCTTCCCATTACACACCAACGCCTCCCCCACCCCCGCCAGCTCCCCAGCCAACCCCTGCCAGCTCCCCCCAGCCCCGCCAACTCCCTGCCCCACTCCTGCCAGCTCCCCCCGCAACCCCCGCCAGTTCCCCCAACGCCGAGCCCCGCCGGCTCCCCCCGACCCCCGCCAGCACCCCCCGCAACCCCTGCCAGCTTCCCCCGCGCCGAGCCCTGCCAGTGACCCCCGACCCCTGTCAGCACTCTCGACCCCTGCCAGCTCCCCCCCGAGCCCCACCAGTGCCCCCCGACCCCCGCCAGTGCCCCCCCGACCCCTGCCAGCTCCCCCCGAGCCCCACCAGCCCCGGCCACCTCCATTCTACTTGCTGATTCTATGGATGCGACCGGGCTGGGGACCTCCTGTAAGTTGGAATCATGCAGTATTTGTCCATTTGGGACTCTCTTATTTCACTTGGCATAATGTCCTCAAAGTTTGTCCACATTTTAACATGTGTCAGAATTTTTTCCTTTTCTCTGAATTTTTAAATTGTGGTAAAATACACATAACATAAAATTTACTATTGTAACCATTTTCCTCCTTTATTTCTTCTTTTTCTTTTCTTTCATCTTGACTTTTTTTTTTTTTTTTTTTGAGATGGAGTCTGGCTCTGTTACCGAGGCTGGAGTGCAGTGGTGCAATCTTAGCTCACCGCAACCTCCACTTCCCGGGTTCAAGCGATTCTCCTGCCTCAGCCTCCCAAGTAGCTGGCATTACGGGCATATACCACTATGCCCGGCTAATTTTTTGTATTTTAGTAGAGACGGGGTTTCACCACATTGGCCAAGATGGTCTCCATCTCCTGACTTTGTGATCCCCCTGCCTCGGCCTCCCAAAGTGCTGGGATTACAGGTGTGAGCCACCGCCCCCGGCCTCTTTTTCTTTTTTTGAGACAGGGTCTTACTCTGTTGTCTAGGCTGGAGTGCAGTGGTGCGATCACGGCTTGCTGTAGCCTTGACCTCATGGGCTCAAGTGATCCTCCCGCCTCAGCCTCCGCAGTAGCTGGAACCACAGGTGTGCACCACCATGCTCAGCTAATTTTTGTATTTTTTGTAGAAACGAGGTTTCTCCATGTTGCCTAAACTGGTTTCCAACTCCTGGACCCAAGTGATCCTCCCACACTGACCTCCCAAAGTGCTGGGATTATAGGCATGAGCCACCACCGATAGAGAATTCTCTGACAAATTGTATTTCTGTTTAAGGGGGAAATGGCTCTTAGAACTACACAGTACCAGGAAGTTAAGGGCTTATTCAGGATAGTTTCTCTAGATTCAGCATGCTGTGTTGTTGTTTGATCAGTCAGATTCAAGCAGAGTGGTTGAAGACGCCATGCATGGGAGGCACCTAAAGCCTCTGCGGTCGGTGTGCGGGGCGACCTCTGTGGTCGGTATACGGGGTGAGAGGGGCCGCAGGTGCTTCCATTTTCCATGTAGTGCGGCCGAGGTGACTGGGCGTCACCACTCCTGTGCGCCTAACCTTGGCCCCCCGTTGCAGTCTTAAGCTAAATGTTGTTCTTGAATGTCTTTTCGTTTTCTGTCCGTAAATACTCTTTGCTCATTGAGAATTATTACTACACATATGCAGTATTATTTTGGTAGTAAGAAACAGACTTCTACATTCTAAAGCTTGTATCTTTCCTCTTTTACTTCTGGGGAGTTCAGCTATCATTCGGATCCCATGATCCCAAGTATGAGCTGGCATTAAATGATGACCTCGGCTAGGCACAGTGGCTCACACCTCTAATCCCAGCACTTTGGGAGGCTGAGGCAGGAGGATCACTTGAGCCTGGGCAACGAAACAAGACCCTATGTCTACCCAAAGAAAAGTTAGACAGGTACGGTGGTGCTCACCTATAGTCCTAGCTACTCAGGAGGCAGAGCAAGACTCTGTCTCTAAAAAAATAATTTTTTAACTAAAAAAATAGAAATAAGTGACAGCCATATTTATTTCAGTTCCTTTTTTTCTTTCTTAAAATGAAGTAGAGATGGGGTCTCCCCATGTTGCCCAGGATGGTCTCAAACTCCTGGACTTAAGTGATCCTCCCATCTCAGCCTCCCAAAGTGCTGGGATTATAGGCATGAGCCACCGTGCCTGGCCAGCTTTGTAGTTCTTAATAGGTTTTTCAGCAGTTTTGTGCTGGTTTGGAGTTTGGAACTACAGAGAAAACCTGTAGGATTAACAGGAAAGCATTTTTTTCTTCCTTTTTTTTTTTGTGACAAGGTCTCACTCTGTCACCCAGGCTGGAGTGCAGTGGCGTGATCTCGGTTCACTGCAGCCTACACCTCCTGGGCTCAGGTGATCCACCCCCCTCAGCCTCCCAGGTAGCTGGGACTACAGGTGCGTGCCACCACACCCGGCTAATTTTTGTATTTTGAGTAGAGACAGGGTTTAGTCATGTTGCCCAGGCTGGTTTCGAGCTCTGGGACCTCAAGCAGTCTGCCTGCCTCGGCCTCCCAAAGTGCTGGCATTACAGGCATGAGCCACCATGCCCAGCCTTCTTTTTTATTTTAACCATCCCATTACGCAGAAGAAAGAGAAGACTGGAAAGCAGCAGTGCGATCATGGCTCACTGGAGCCTCGACCTCCTGGGCTCAGGTGATCCTTCCACCTTGGCTTCTCACAAAAAGCATTTACGCTCTTGTGGTGAGCAGTGCACTCCCGCTCGTGGCCGTGGTGTCCTCTGTCCCTGCAGTGAGGGCTCAGCAGCCGTGCCCATTGATCTACACCTGAGACTGTGCATCAGGGGAGACTGTCCAGGAGGCCCCAGGCAGAGTCACATCACCATCCTGATGCTGGGAGTGGGGCTGGCCCTCATAATTAGGTGGCTCATGGTCCAGGGATAAAGCTGCTTCCCAGAGCACCAGAGGCCGTTGGTGAGTCTGTTTCTTCAGTACCCACGCAAAGCGTGGAAGGAGTCCAAACACACATTCTGTGTCAGCCCACATTGCCAGAGATGGCTGGAAACGTTGATGCCTTTGATGGTGTCTCTTTTCAGCTGTCCTAAAATATGTGTCCAAAACTGTTGGCAGGGTGGCTTTTTTTCCATTCTATATAATACCAGGCTTGAGTGCACCACTCATGCTAGGTTTAACCCCTCGTGACAAGGGGTGGCCTCTGTGGGGGCAGCCAGCTCACCCTCTGCTTCTCACTGTCAGTTGGAAGTTCATCAGCACAGGAGCATCTGAAGGTCTGTCGTGTGTGATGCTACAGTTGCTCTTGTGGGCCGTCTTCCCATCTCTTAGGGAAACAGGGCTACGCCCATGCAAGTGGGCAGGTATCATCTTGCCTAGGTTAGTACTGTGGCTACCTGAGTTAACAGCTCTAGATATTGTCCCGAACATTTTCTTGGGAAATTTATTCCATTTTGGGTAATTCTCCCAGAGGCATCCTGCTGTTAAGGTTATTTAGTGGGTTCTGTAGAACCTTATTTTACCATGCAACTTGAAAATGTGCTGAATGTCTCTGCACGTGGGGTGCTGTGCTAGGCATGGCGAGGACATGAGGGTGACTTGGTCAGAGGTGTTGCTACCTCATGACTGTGGGCTCTGTGGGCATGGGAGGCATGTCATGCCTCACCTTCCGCCCACCAAGAACCTGGCACATGGCCTGGTGTGCTGCAGGAGCTTAGCTGGAATCTGGGTTGGTGGGATGCATGCATGCATGGAGGTAGTTGGGTGGACGGATGCTTAATTCTTCCTGTGCGGAACCATCTTCATCATCTAGGCCAGGAAGTTTCAGCTCGAGAGCTGTGTGTGTGTGTGTGTGTGTGTGTGTGTGTGTGTGTGTGTGTGTGTGTGTGCGCGCGCGCGCGCGCATGTGTATTTGCTGGGGGGTGCTGTGTAAGAGACAACTTTAGTGAGTGAGAACCACATCTACATAGTTTCCCTTCTATGTTTAGACTTCGTGAAGATGCATCAACTGTAAAATCTGCCTGGGATGCTCAAATTGCTCAACTATCTAAGGAGATGGTCTCCAGAGACCTTCAGATTCAGACGCTGCAGGAAGAAGAGGTGAAGCTCAAGGCACAGGTGGCCCGATCCCAGCAGGACATTGAAAGGTAACTGTCCCCAGGCAGATGTTTCCATTGAGGGTCTCCTATGGGCAGGTGCTGTTGTAGGTACTAAGGATTCAAAACTGAACAGATTGAGTCCCTGGCCTCACATTTTCTTGGGGGAGAAAGACAGTGAACAAGACAGATAGAATGTCTGGTCACGCAGGGGTGGTGTGGGAAGACATGCAGAAGGGGCCGCCTGCTGGAGGGAGCATGGCCAGAGGATGGTGTTTCTCAGTCTGTAATAAGAGCCATAAAGGTGCTCCTGCTTGATTCTGCACTAAGAATCTCCTCTTGCCAAGCGTGGTGGCTCACACCTATAATCCCAGCACTTAGGGAGGCAGAAGCAGGAGGATTGCTGGAACCCAGGAGTTGGAGACCAGCCTGGTTAACATAGTGAGACCCCATCTCTGCAAAAAGGAAAACAAAAACAAAGAATCTCCTCGTCTGTCTTGTCTGATTGTTCATGTCCTCATGTGTTTCTTATCCGTTGGGGCGAACACTTCCTTGAACAAAGATAGCATTCTATTTCCCATACACATTCAAGTCAACTTTATTACAGAATACATATGCTAAACTCATCCATTTTAACTCTACACTTGATGAATTTTGATGAATGTGTATGCTGTATGATATCATTTGGCTCTATGTCCCCCCCCAAATCTAATCTCAAATTGTAATCCCCATGTGTCAAGGGAGGACCCTGATGGGAGGTGATTGGCTCATGGGGGCGGTTTCCCCGATGCTGTGCTTATGATAGTAAGTGAGTTCTGATGGTTTAAAAGTGTTTGGTGGGCCGGGTGTGATGGCTCACGCCTGTCATCCCAGCACTTTGGGAGGCCAAGGCTGTCAGATCACTTGAGGTCAGGAGTTCGAGACCAGCCTGGCCAACATGGTAAAACCCCGTCTCTACTAAAAATACAAAAATTAGCCAGGCATGGTGGCTCACGCCTGTAGTCCCAGATACTCCAGAGGCTGAGGTGGGAGAATCACTTGAACCCAGGAGGCGGAGGTTTTGGTGAGCCCAGATCGTGCCACTGCATTCCAGCCTGGGCAGCAGAGTGAGATTCTGTCTCAAAAAAATGAATAAACAAATAAAAAATAAAATATAAATAAATGTTTGGTGGGCCGGGCGCGGTGGCTCACATCTATAATCCCAGCACTTTGGGAGGCCAAGGCTGGCAGATCACCTGAGGTCAGGAGTTTGAGACCAGCCTGGACAACATGGTAAAACCCCATCTCTACTAAAAATACAAAAATTATCCCGGTGTGGTGTCACACGCCTGTAATCCCAGCTACTCGGGGGGCTGAGGCAGGAGAATCACTTGAACCCAGGAGGCGGAGGCTGCAGTGAGCCGAGATGGTGCTACTGCACTTCAGCCTGGGCAACAGAGCGAGACTGGGTCTCAAAAAAAAAAAAAGGAAAAGTACCAATGCTGAAAGAAACATGTTGTAATAACGTTCTTAGCTCTTCCTTCCAGCATTCTTTTTTTTTTTTGTTAAATACTTCCATTGACTGAAATAAAACATCATGTATCTTCAAGAAAGCACATTTAGATTTACCTATTACTTGTGTATGTAGAAAACCCTCATAATATGAACTAATGCAGAAGAAAAAAAACATGCTGTGATAATGTTCTCAACTTTTTTTCTTTTTTTTTTGAGATGGAGTCTCACTCTGTCACCCAGGCTGGAGTGCAGTGGCGCAATCTCAGCTCACTACAACCTCCACCTCCTGGGTACAAGCAGTTCTCCTGTGTCAGCCTCTAGAGTAGCTGGGATTACAGGCATGCGCCACCACGCCTGGCTAATTTTTGTATTTTTAGTAGAGACAGGGTTTCACCATGTTGGCCAGGCTGGTCTTGAACTCCTGACTTCAGGTGATCCACCTGCCTTGGCCTCCCAAAGTGCTGGGATGACAGGCGTGAGCCACCCCGCCTGGCTTATGTTCTCAACTCTTGATTCCAATGTTCCTTCTTCGTTAAACTCTTCCATTCACTGAAAGAAAACAGCACATATTACAATATTTAGACTTTTTTATACATTTAATTTCTCTCCTCATTATGTGCACGGTTGCCTTTAAATCTCTGAACTTATTTGTAATAGCTGCTTAAATGTATTTATCTGCTAATTCCATCATATCTTTATTTCTGAGTCTGTTTCTATGGGCTGATTTTTCTACTGGAGAGAGCTACATTTTTTTCTACTTCCTTGCCCATCTGGTAAGTTTTCACTGGATGTCAGACATGGTGAATATGATGTTGGCGAGCATCTGGTTTTGGCTGTGCTGTTTTTTGTTTGGCTGCAGTTAAGTATTTACATGGCAGCTTGACCCATTTGAGACTTGTTTAAAATCAGTGCGAGGGCAGGTGGGGCAGGTCTAGAGAAGCCTTTTCACCAGGGCTGACTCAGCACTATGACTCCCAGACCCCACTGCGTGCCCTGGAGCGAGAGCTCCAAGGATGCTCCGCCGGCCGCCCTGACGAGCTCTGGGAATCAGCGCACGTGGAGCCCCGTGCTGGCTGCTTCGTTCCCACGAGTTGCTCTTGGCCCAGCCGGTGTTGGCTTCTCCTGTGTATTTGCATGTGGCTGTCAGCCACAGCTTCTAGGGGATCCCTGCACAGATCCCAGGTTCCCCTCCTCTCTGCCCCTCTGCCTCATAAAGCCCATTTCAGCCACTTCAGCTTCTCCAAACTCCAACCTTCATCTCCTCGTCACAGCAAGACCACCGTGCTCTGCGTGGTTTGCCGTCCCTGCGGGGATCCGGAATGGCCTGTGGAGAGAAGCCGGGCGGCGAGTGGGCCCATCTCGCGAGGACCTTCTCTGAGGGGCCTCAGCCCCGCACCGCTCGTGTGTTCATCGTTCGCTCTGTGAAAGCCGTGCCCCATTTACTGCCCAGTGTCCCAGTTGTTTAAAGTGGGAAGATAGGCATGGTGACAGCTGCTGTGTTGTGTTAAAGATTTATTTATTTTTGCAGTTACAGGGATTTAAAAATGTATCTGTGGGGCTGGGCCCAGTGGCTCACGCCTGTAATCCCAGCACTTTGGGAGGCCGAGGCGGGCGGATCACGAGGTCAGGAGATCGAGACGATCCTGGCTAACACGGTGAAACCCCGTCTCTACTAAAAATACAAAAAATTAGCTAGGCGTGGTGGTATGCACCTGTAGTCCCAGCTACTCAAGAGGCTGAGGCAGGAGGACCACTTGAGCCCAGGAGGTGGAGGCTGTACTAAGCCAACATCACGCCACTGCACTCCAGCCTGGGTGACAGAGCAAGACTCTGTATCCAAAAAAAACCTAAAAATAATTAAACAAAACAAGAACACATTGTGTATAAATTACCACAAACTTAGCAGCTTAGCTGCTTTAAACACCCATTTATTATCTCAGGTTCTGGGGCCAGGGCCTGGGCAGGGCTCAGCCATTCCCGGCTCAGGGTCTCTCCAGGCTGGAATCAATGATGGCCAGGCCTGCCTCTCCTTGGAGGCCCAGGGTCCCTTCCAGACTCACCCAGCTGTTGGCAGAATTCAGTCCCTCCAGCTGTGGGGCCAAGGCCTCCATTCCCTCACTGTCTGACAGCCAGGGTCACTCTGCACCCTAGCGGCGTCCTCAGTCCTGGCCACGCAGCCCCTCCAGGGACCCTCTCACAACACGGTGGCTCAATTGCTATCATTCGAACTCCCTGAAGTTTACCGGTGCAATGAGGCCAGCAGGAGAGTCTCCCTCCAGTCTCACGCAGAGCCATGCCACCATCTCTGTGTCGCTGCCTGGGACAGGAGGGACCTCTCCCCCGTCACAGGATCACCCACAGCCTGGAATTCTGCCCCCAGTGTGTGGCCCCATGGCCTTCTGTCCCAGAGTTGCTGGTGTAAAGCCTAGTCCTAGTCCAATTCTTGTTCTTTTTTCCTTGTAGACTCTTCTTTCGTCCTTCATACTATAACGTTTCCCCTTACTGTGTGCGTGTGGGATCTCTAGAGCTCTCTGAAGGCTGGCGTTTGCTCTGTCCTGGTGGACCTGCCCCTTTACATCCTTGGTGGTTTCCTCCTTCCATTCTCATCTGTGCGCTGGTTTTCTGGAGGAAGCCCCCGGGTTCCTGCGTTCCCACCCCTCTGTCCCTTTGCACTCGCTCGGGGGGCTCTCCCATCCCCGCCCGCCCCGTGGCTGGGTCCACCCTGCTCTGCACTTGCTCTGGGGGCTCTCCCAGCCCTGCCCACCCCGTGGCTGGGTCCACCCTGGTCTGCTTGTTTGCTTTCATAGCTCCGTTCCTTTGTGCATAACCGCGTTTATGATCTTTTAAGGTTGTTGCTTTCCTCCCTCTCCCTGCATGCTGGCTCTTCTGGTTTTGTGGGCATCACCCTCATCCATGGTGTTGGGTTTTCTCCGGCATCTGGGCATCCTTGGCGCCTGCTCGTCTTTGTATTGGGCGTCCCAGTGTGCCCATCCACAGGAGCTCGGGAGCATGTCAGCCCAGCGCAGGCCATGCGAGAGCAGGAGGGACAGCGGCAGCCCTGCCTTTCCCATCGTGCCTCTGCTTTTCCTGTGGAAGGGACCTCAGGAAGCATTAATGCTGAGCGGTTGGACGTGTCCTTAGGTACAAGCAACAGCTGTCCCTGGCAGTGGAAAGGGAGCGGAGCCTGGAGCGTGATCAGGTGCAGCTGGGCCTGGACTGGCAGCGCCGCTGTGATGACATTGAAAGGGACCAGATCCAAAAGTCAGAGGCCCTGATTCAGGGTCTGAGCATGGCAAAAAGTCAGGTGTGTGCGGCCACCAGGGCCTGGGGCCTTCTCGGCGTCTCTGCAGAGGTGGGGCTGGGCAGGACGGGTCTGGTTCTTACCAAATGGTTCTTTAAATTTGAAAACACTAAACCTCACTGAGTAATTAGAGTAATAAATTAGAGTAATAAAAATGCACCCCGCCTGTCCACCCGCCTTGACTTTCTTGCATAAGCTGTTTCTGTAGTTGACCAGCCGCGTGGTTTGAGTAGCGCTGCATGATCCCCGCTGGCCTGCAAGGGCAGCCTGGGGTATGCATGGGCAGGAAGGGTTTGGCGGCCTGGCCACAGTGGGGAGCCTGGTGCTCTGAGCATCTCCCACCTATGTGTGCCATTGGAGCCTCAGCAGGCATGGGAGCTGCCCGGTCATCCACACAGGGACTGAGTCCCAGCGTTTTTCCCAGGTTGCTGCCAAGCTGCAGGAGACAGAGCAGGCGCTACAGGAGCAGGAGGTGGTGCTGAAGGCCGTGACCCTGGAACGAGACCAGGCCGTGCAGGCCCTGAGGATGCATGGGCTCCCCAGACCAGGGGCACAGGTGAGAGTACCCAGTCGGCTCTTTGAAACTTTGCTCAACAGCAGCGGTGGGAAAATAGGACCAGATCCCCAAATCCTACCAAGACTGGAGCTAAGTCTTTCAGTTGTGTTCTTTTTAAATGACCTGTTGCACAAACAAGGGTGAGTCAGAAGCTTTAGAGAGTTAAGGTGAACTCAGGCTTCTTTGTATCTTTCATATTCGAAAGTTTTAAAAGTCCCAAATCCACATATAACTAGATATCAGACGTTCATGTGAGTTTGTTCTTATGATATTGCCTCAGGACTGTCACAGCAGGTCATTTTATGCTAGGAATCTGTCATCACCGCTCCTGATTTTGTTGAGCAGTGACGTTAGTGGCCGATAGTTAAGTACTCATCCAATGCCAGGGTTTGCCCTTAGGCCTTGAAATCCCTCCACTCATTTCATCTTGGAGGTTGGCACCATGTCCGCTGAGACATGGGGACACTGAGGAGCTTGTCTGAGCTGTCACAGCTCATCAGAGCAGAGCTGGGTCCACAGGCAGAGGGAAGCGGGGTGCAGGGCTGTAGGAGGCTGGGGGAGAGCACAGAGGGCCCAGCACGGGAGGACTGCCCTAGGCCTGCAGTTGGCTTTTTTCTGTGGGCTATTGTACACACAGTAGAACGCGCAGGCCTGGAGTGCACAGGTCAGTGCAGCCGACATGTAAGTGTGCCCAAGCACCCCCACCCCAACAAGACCACCCAAGAGTCCCTGCCCCTGCTGGTCCCACCTCCCCGCACTAAGCGGCCAGCCACTGGTGCGCATTCTCTCCCATTCAATTTGCTTCTCTGCCTTGAGGCTTGGCTTAAGGCAGCCGAGTGTACTTAGGACTCAGATCCTAAGTGGTATGAAGAATGTTCCTAGCTCGTCCTTCATTCATGTAGTTTTTACTTATTTATTTTGAGACACGGTCTCGGTCTCGCTTTGTTGCCCAGGCTGAAGTGCAATGGTGCAATCTCAGCTCACTGCAATCTCCTCCTACCCCTAGGCTGAAGCAATCCTCCCGTCTCAGCTGCTCCAGTAGCTGGGACCACAGGTGCGCATCACCACGCCTGGCTAATTTTTGGAGTTGTTTTTTTTAGACAGAGTTTTGCTCGTGTCACCCAGGCTGGAGTGCAGTGGTGTGATCTCTGCTCACCGCACCCTCCGCCTCCCAGGTTCAAGTGATTCTCCTGCCTCAGCCTCCTGAGTAGCTGGGATTACAGGCATGTGCCACCATGCCTGGCTAATTTTTTGTATTTTTAGTAGAGACAGGGTTTCTGCATGTTAGGCTGATCTCGAACTCCTGACCCAGGTGATTCGCCTGCCTAAGCCTCCCAAAGCGCTCAGATTACAGGCATGAGCCACCACGCCCGGCTAATTTTGTATTTTTAGTAGAGATGGGGTTTCTCCATGTTGGTCAGGCTGGTCTTGAACTCCCGACCTCAGGTGATCTGCCCACCTCGGCCTCCCAAAGTGCTGGGATTACAGGCGTGAGCCACCATGCCCGGCCTGGTTGCTAATCTTAACTTTAGCCAAGGCAAATGCCAATTCAGTTACTTACCTAGGGATAGGTCTCAGGCTAAAGACTGCTCTCTACCATCCTAGAAGCAGGAAAAAAAAAAAAAACCCTCATCTTCCCTGTTGGAAGTGAGTGCAAACTCCATAAAGGAGTTACCTGCCTTCCATCATCATGAAGCAGGAGAAACTTGCCTTCCTTGTTGGAAGCAAGTAAAACTCCAAAAAAAGGGAGTTGTACCGTTGGGGTGATCAGACCCAACACCAGGTCATGGGGGCTACGAAGTCCAGCAGAGTCAAAGGAATGAGACAAGAGTACATAGGGTGGGTCCAGGGGGCCCACGCTGGTGTATGGAGGCTGCAAAGGCCCCCAGCTCTGGGAGCCCACACTGTTTATTGGTAATCAAGTAAAGAAGCAGGTAGTGAGGACGTGTGGCTGTGGGGGTAGACAGGTGAGGGCGTGAGGACGTAGGGGTAGAAAGGTAGCGGTGCATCAAGCGTAGCTGTGACGGTTTCGCATATGCTCCGCTACTTGAGGTAAGGGAGAACAGGTTCTTCTAATTCAAGATAAAATCAATTTATGATCTTGGGAGAGCAAGGAGCAAGGGGCCAGCAAGTCTGGACACAATTCCAGAGGCTAGAAGGGGTTTTATGCCCTGAGCCCTGGGTTCTTTCCAAGCCACGAGGGGTTTTATGCCCTGAGCCCTGGGTTCTCTCCAAGCCACCAGGGGTTTTATGCCCTGGGCCCTGGGTTCTCTCCAAGCCACGAGGGGTTTTATGCCCTGGGCTTAGACTGTAGTGCGGCAGGGCAGCCTTCCACCCATTGGCACAGAGCTTGGTGTTCCAAAGGTCATGAGGGGTTTTAGACTCTGGACCCAGGACATGTTCCAAGACTCTTTTACATTATGTCAGACAAGCAAGCCCCGCCTCAGCTCTTCTGCCAACATTGTACAGCAAAATAAACTTTAGATCTTGACCAAATTTGGGGAGATCAGGGATTCTCTGGAGGGGATGCTCCCAGACCTCGGCAAATTGTCCTGTTGGTTTGAGCCATAAAGTTAGCTCATTCCAGTACCAAGTACCGATAGGAGTTTTGTCAAAGGTCAGAGGCATCTCCACTCAGAATCTCCCTGTGGTTACCAAAATGTGAACCCAGAAAATCTCAGACAGGTCTCAGTTAATTTAGAAGGTTTATTTTGCCAAGGTTGAGGATGCGCACCGGTGACACAGCCTCAGGAGGTCCTGACGACGTGTTCCGAGGTGGTCAGAGCACACCTCGGTTTTACACATTGTAGGGAGACAGGAGACATCAATCAACATATGTAAGATGAACAGTGGTTCCATCTGCAGAGGCGGGACAACTCCAAGTGGGGAGGAGGCTTCCGGGTCATAGGTAGGTAAGAGACAGATGGTTGCATTCTTTTGAATTTCTGATGAGCCTCTCCAAAGGAGGCAGTGAGATACGCATTCATCTCAGTGAGCAAAGGGTGACTTTGAATAGAATGGGAGGCAGGTTTGCCCTGAGCAGTTCCCAGCTTGACTTCTCCCTTTAGCTTAGTGATATTTTCCTTTCACACTGCCGAGCCCTCTGAGCCTTGCTTGCCGCTGTGGTGGGCCTGCTCAGCCAGTGAGGCCAGGCAGCCAGCACCCTCAGCGCGTCCTGGGACATAGCCTGGTAAGCCTCTGGGCACTCGGTATCCCGCTCTGTAACTGGCCAGGTGGAGCACGGCCTTCCAGGGTCTACCCCTCATGCGACTGTTTCTCCAGGAGAATTCTTTCTTCCTTTTGGTTCTACCATAAATATTTTCCCACGCCATTACAATTCTTCACGAACAGAATCTAAATGGCTGCATGTTTTATCAAGCGGCCACACCATAACGCACCTAGCGATTTTCTTACCAATGGTCCTTCATGTTGTTCGCCATTGTGATCACGGCACTGCGGTGGGCAGTTTCCTGTTGTTGTACCCAGGCGAGTTAGAGAAGACGCCACACTCTGAAACGAATTGAGTCCTTTATTTAAGCCGGCAGCCAAAGAGACGGCTAACGCTCAAAATTCTCTCGGCCCTGAGGAAGGGGCTTGATTAACTTGTATACCTTGGTTTAGGAAGGGGAGGGGAACTCAAAGGCAATAATTCTACAGAAGTAAAAACATGCAAGAATCAAAAGAAGCAAATGGTTACAGAGCGATAAACAATTTAAAAGACAAATGGTTACAAAAAGCAACGGTACCAGGTGCAGGGCTCTAAATCCTTCATTATAGTTAGACATAGATGCTATGCCGGACACGAACTCAAGGCTTTATGTTGTTATCTCTTTGAGAAGAATCCTGGGAACTTCAGACGTTGTTGGTGCCAGTACCTTATCAGTTAATTGGGCTCCTTTGAAATGCTGAGGATCTGCTTACACAGGTCAACTCCTTGCGGAAGGGGGTTGGGTAAGGAGCCCTTAGTGTCTTGTAAATTAAGGGGTCAGTTGGAGTTTGTCCGGCTTTCCCAGCTAGAGAGAGTCTTATTTACATGAGAAACAAGGCTAGGTGATTAAAGAGACAAACAGGGCAAAATTTAAAGTAGCGAGTTAGAGTAAAAACAGGGTTAGGCATCGCACTGTCTCCGTTTCTAAACTGCCAGTTGAGGTGCAGGTTCTGTTCGCATCCTCTCCACCCCTGAGCGCAGCGTGTGAAGCTCTCCTCCTGGGAGCCCAGGCCAGCTGGCCTTGCCAGGGAGCACGGAGGAGCCAGCGGGCAGTCAGAGCGTCCTGGGAAGGGCCCAGATCTTGCTTCAGGTTTGTGTTCATGGAGTGCAGAGTAGGGAGCAGGCTCTGCGTCCCTCAGGGTGGCTCCACAGGAGAGGAAGCTGTGCCTTTTGCACACATCTTGGCTGGACTCAAGGTTGAGTTGGGCCAGACCCTGGGACTTTGTTTCCCTCTCCCGTATCTGGGGTCTATGCTGGCGTCTGGAAGCAGGTGTTTCCTCTAATGTGTCTGGTGTTCTAGTTGTTCACAGCCGCAGGGAAAGACTCATGGCAGTGAGTCCCTCCTGGTCAGAGGCAGAAGCGCCCCTCACCTTTGGTTAGAGAAGGACACTCCCTCTCCCTAGGAACTGGGTGGGCGGGGCCTGTCTCTCCTCCTGCACCGGAGCCACCTCACCTCGTTGTCCTCCCGCCTTGGTGGCTCCTTGCGGGGTCTGTCATCCCTATGCCTGCCCTTTGACCCTAGGGTAACATGTCTCTTTTCTCGGGTTGCTTTTAGAGTTTCCATTTTGTTGCTGATTTTTCAGCAGCTTGATTATGTGCTGTTTGGTATGATTTTCTTTCTGTTTATCCTGCTTAGGGTTCACTGAGCTTCGTCATCTGTGATGTCGGCTTTCAGCTCATTTGCTTCGTCATCTGTGATGTGTGGCTTTCAGCACATTTGTAACATGTCTGGCCTTGTTGTAGACGCGTCTCCTGTCTTTGCGTTCATCTGGGCTCCTGGTTCCTTGTGCACCTTGTTCATGGTCTCCAGAGCTCTGCTCATTTTTTCTTCTTTGGCACCTTTCCTTCTGAGCTTCAGTTTGGGTATTTTCTGTTGCCAGGTGTTTATATTCACTGCCTTTTCTTCTGCGCGCTCTGAACCTGCTCTTCATCCTATTTAGTGGATGTTTGATTGTACTAAAGTATACATAACGCAAAACTGGCTGCTTTAACTATTTTTTGGTGCACACAGTTCAGCAGCATGAAGCGCATTCACACGGAGGTGCAGCCATCACACCACCCTCTCCAGAACATTCTCATCTTTCCATACTGAAGCTCTGTCCCCAAGAAACACTGGCTCCCCCTCCCCGCCCACAGCCCCAGCACCCCCATTCCACTTTCTGCCTCTGTGGATTGGACACTCTAGGGATCTCAAAAGTATGAAAGGCTCCAGGAATTTGAGTGTCATATTTGCACTTCTGTCAGAAAGGAGGGGCATCACAGCCTGGGGATGGGGAGGGACCACAGCCCAAGCTGAAGCGGGGGACCGGCCCGAGAGGGGCGCGGGGAGAGCGGAGGCACAGCCTGTCAGGACAAGCTGGGGAACCATTCATCTTTTTGTAGCCATTTTTCCTTGTATTTGACAGATGCTTCTCAGGCAGCATGAAGAAGAAATAAGTAAAGACTTTCCATCCAGTGAGATCCAGCGGCTCCGAGAGCAGAACACGAGCTTGCGAAACGCGATTGCCCAGATGAGGAAAGAAATGGAGGCTCTAAGCCATCAGATTCCTCCTCCCATCCAGACAGCGGCAGAGAGCACAGATGCAAACCAGCCTGACCCAGAGGCTGGGGGAGATGCCGCCACTCCTGGTGAGTAAGTGGGAGAAACGGACAGAGCGGGAGAGGAAGGGGGAGAGGGAGGGAGGAGGACAGACGGGAGCATGGGTCTTGACTGGCTTCAAGGAGGCTTCATTTCAGAGTCCTATAAGTTAACATCCCCTGTAATAAACTCAAAGTATGAAAACTGCTTTTTCTCCAAGAGAAGGGATCTTAAGTTTTATACCAAAAAGCTTTTATATTTGTAAAGTGGAAGGAAAAAATGAGGGTACCTGCTTGACACACTTAAAAACCTGTTTTAGACCTGGACCAGGGCTGGCTTGCTGTCGCGCTGTCCCAGAATGGGTTGGTAGCAGGGGCTGGTGGACCTCAGTCCTTTCCTCCAGAGGAGCGTCTGTGGCAGAGCTGATGAGGGCCTCCCGACCCCCAGGGACCCCATGAGTGGCTGTGGGTGGGCAGATGCCGGGATGGAGGCAGAGCTTCCGTTCTCGAGATGGGACTTGGCCCCTCTGCACAGAGGCACGTGGGCTGGCGGCAGGTGGAGCATTTGCTCCTGATCACTGAGCCCTTCCTGGAGAGCATGGAGACTGTGCTGGTCTCTGGCTGGCACACTCTGGCCAGTGAGGGGAGGGAAGGTCTTTCAGTCTGACACACACAGAGAGTGTGGAAACTACGGTGAAGCTGTAGTGTGAGGAGGACAGGGACAGTGAAGCTGGCGGGCATGAGCTGGCATCGGCTCCCTGAGCTGGTGCTCACAGGAGGGAGGTGCGAAAGGATGCTGTGTATGTGTTATATTCACTGGAGGTTTTTTTGGCAGATTATGTTCTGGCCCTTGAAGCAGAAATACGAACTCTAAAGCATAAGTTTAAAACTCTGGAAAAGCATCTAGAAGATGTGTTGGATCCTTTAAAGATGTCCTCACCTCATGCTGAGTCTCAGCCCAGCGTCCGCACCTCGACAGAGACGACTGGTAAGTCCGCGTCTCAGTGGGGTACTTGCTGTCCCCTTATAAACTGAAATCTGACCCCTGCAAAAGTCCGCTCATAGCAAATATACAGCTCAAGGCTACTGCAGACGTTGGGGCGGCGTCATCCAGCCCAGCAGCCCCTTGTGCTCCCTCCAGAGCCCACGTGCCCTGGCTCCTCACTGCAGTCAGCGTTCCCTGTTTTGGTGTGAATGGAATTCCTTGTGCTCCCTCCGGAGCCCACGTGCCCTGGCTCCTCACTGCAGTCAGCGTTCCCTGTTTTGGTGTGAATGGAATTCCTTGTGCTCCCTCCAGAGCCCACGTGCCCTGGCTCCTCACTGCAGTCAGCCCTCCCTGTTTTGGTGTGAATGGAATTCCTGGAGCTACCTCCAGAGCCCACGTGCCCTGGCTCCTCACTGCAGTCAGCGCTCCCTGTTTTGGTGTGAATGGAATTCCTCGCGCTCCCTCCGGAGCCCACGTGCCCTGGCTCCTCACTGCAGTCAGCGCTCCCTGTTTTGGTGTGAATGGAATTCCTTGTGCTCCCTCCGGAGCCCACGTGCCCTGGCTCCTCACTGCAGTCAGCGCTCCCTGTTTTGGTGTGAATGGAATTCCTTGTGCTCCCTCCGGAGCCCACGTGCCCTGGCTGCTCACTGCAGTCAGCGCTCCCTGTTTTGGTGTGAATGGAATTCTGTGGCACCTGTGCTTCTGTCTGGCGTCTTCAGACCTACACTGTGTTTCACTTGATAATGCCAGATTCTTCTCCAAAGCATCCATCCACATCGTGCGAGGTAGCCGTGGTGCTGCATGCGCGCCAACACTTACGTGGTCAGCGGCTCCTTCTGTTCCCTCTAGTGGACACGTAGCACATCCTATTTTGGTTTAATTTGCAAATTCATGAGATTCGTGGGATTGAACATCTCTTCCTGTGTGCATTGGCGTATGATTGGCTAGGGCTGCCGTAACTCAACACCACAGCCTGAGTGGCTTAAACAACGGTTTTATTTTCTCACTTCTGGAGTCTGGATGTCAGAGATCAGGTTGCCGGCAGGGTGGGTTCCTCCTGAGGCCTCTCTGTGGCTTGCAGACGGCACCCTCTCCCCTGCGTGCTCATGTGGACTCTCCCCCTGCGTGCTCACGTGACTCCTCCCCCGCTGCATGCTCACTCCTGGTGTCTCTTCCTCTTTTTTTTTTTTTTTTTTGGGACAGAGTCTTGCTCTGTTGCCCAGGGTGGAGTGCAGTGGCATGATTTTGGCTCATTGCAGCCTCTGCCTCCCAAGTTCAAGCGATTCTCCTGCCTCAGCCTCCTGAGTAGCTGGGATTACAGGTGCATGCCACCACGCCCGGCTAATTTTTGTATTTTTAGTAGAGATGAGGTTTCACCACGTTGGTCAGGCTGGTCCCGAACTCCTGACCTCGTGATCTGCCTACCTGAGCCTCCCAAAGTGCTGGGATGACAGGCGTGAGACACCGCGCCCGACTCTTCCTCTTCTTGTAAGGACAACAGTCCAGGGCCCCAGCCTTAGGACCTCATGTAACCTTAGCTGCCTCCTCAGAGGCGCTGTCTCCAAATACAGTCATGTTCGGGGTGAGAGCTTCAACCCGTAAATTTTGGGGGGCAGAGCTCAGTCCATAGAATTGGCCTTTCGACAGCCCCTCTTTTGGAGCTCCAGGCCATGTCTTTTGCCCATTGTTTATTGGATCATCTGCCCTTTGTCATAGATTTTTTTAGGGTATTTTATGCTGAATATGAGCCTAGCGTTGGTTATATGTGTTGCAAATATCTTCTCCCAGTCTATGGCTTGCCTTTTATTCCTTCACTGGTGTCTTTGGTGAATGGAAGGTCTTAATTTCAAGACAAACTCATAGGCTAATCTATTCCATTGTGGTTAGTCCAACATCAAAAGGTTCATTCTAGCATTCTAGCTTTCTTTTTCATTATTCTAACTTCCTTTCCCAATAATGAGAAACCTGGCTCGCCCATTATCACTAACACAGTTACTTTGATCGAGTCCTCTTGGTGTAACCAATCCCCCATTGCTGCTGTGGCCCCTTCCCCTATTTGCAGGCCCCTCTCCTGCCTGGATGCCTCCCCAGCATCACCGAGCTTGACAGCCCAGCCTGGCTGCCTTCCACACAGATGCCTTCACCCTGCTGGAGCCACAGCCCCCCTTAGTGTAGGGGAGGCAGGCCCCATCTGCAGGCCTAAGGCAGGAAAAGAAAGGGAGGGGCCAGACAGGACACTCCACTGGCACAGATTGTCTCAAATAGGGGAGGTTTTTGCCGGGCGCAGTGGCTCACGCCTGTAATCCCAGCACTTTGGGAGGCCGAGGTGGGTGGATCACCTGAGGTCGGGAGTTTGAGACCAGCCTGGCCAACATGGTGAAACCCCGTCTCTACTAAAAATACAAAAAAATTAGCTGGGCGTGGTGGCAGGCACCTGTAATCCCAGCCACTTGGGAGGCTGAGGCAGGAGAATCACTTGAACCCAGGAGGCGGAGGTTGCAGTGAGCCGAGATTGCACCACTACACTCCAGCCTAGGTAACAGAGCGAGACTCCATCTCAAAAAAAATAAAGTAAAATAAAATAAGGGAGGTTTTATTTTTCTTTTCCAATGCTGATATTGTTTACTTCTTCTTGCATTATCGCCCCTAGCTAAACTCTCCGGTATGATGTTGATAATAGCTGTCTTTCTCCCTAATCCCAGAGGAAGAACTTTCAGCATTTCACTTTTTTAGGTTGAGTTTTTGCTGAAGGTTTTTTGTGGTGGGGGTAGTGGAGGGAGGTTAAGGAAGTTTCTTTCTATTCCTGTTTTAATATAGATCTTTATTTTTTAAATCACGATTCTTTGTTTTTGTTTCATATATTTTGTATCTTTGTTGTTAGATGTGTATACATTTAGGGTTTTTTTTTTTTAGGATAATTGACCCTTATATTGTTACGTAATCTTCCTCTTTGTCTGGCAACATTCTTTGTTCTGAAGTCTACCTTGTCTGATATTAATTAATCCACTCGGGCTTTCTTTTGATTAGCATTCGCGTGGTATAACTTTTTCATCCCTTTTTCTTTTTACCTACCTCTCTCTTTTATATTTGAAATGAATTTCTTGTTTTTTGAGACGGAGTCTCTGTTGCCCAGGCTGGAGTGCAGTGGCACAATCTCGGCTCACTGCAACCTCTGCCTCCTGGGTTCGAGCGATTCTCATGCCTCAGCCTCCAAAGTAGCTAGGGTTACAGGCATGTGCCACCATGCCCAGCTGGTGGCGTTTGTATTGTTAGTAGAGACAGGGTTTCACCATGTTGGCCAGGCTGGTCTCGAACTTCTGGCCTCAGGTGATCCACTTGCGCTGGCCTCCCAAAGTGCTGGAATTACAGGCGTGAGCCACTGCGCCCGGCCTAAAGACAAAAACTGTTGAAAGCACACAGAGAGAGCGATGCACAGCCCACAGGGGACAGTGACTGGAGCGGTAGTGGGTTCTCAGCAGCAGCTGTCATCAGATTTCTCCTCAGAAGGAAGTGGCATAATATTTTTCAAGTACTGAAAGCAAAAAACTGTCAACCCATAATTATACATTCAGTAAAAATATTCTTCAGGAATGAGAGTGAATAAAGACATTCTCAGATGAAGGAAAAGTTTGTCACCAGCAGACTGGATCTAAAAGAACTGATAAAGGAGGTACTTTAGACACAACAGAAGGAAGGAAACTAGGAATGTCAGGAGTGAAGGAAAACTAATGGCAAGGATGAATATGATAGACATTCTTTCACACTTAACTCTTAAAATTACGTTGACAGGCCGGGCGCCGTGGCTCATGCCTGTCATCCCAGCACTTTGGGAGGCCAAGGCAGGTGGATCACCTGAGGTCAGTAGTTGAAGGCCAGCCTGGCCAACATGGCGAAACCCCGTATCTACTAAAAATACAAAAATTAGCTGGGCACGGTGGCGCACACCTGTAATCCCAGCACTTTGGGAGGCCGAGGTGGGTGGATCACTTGAGGTCAGGAGTTCAAGACTAGCCTGACCAACATGGTGAAACCCCTATTAAAAATGCAAAAATTGGCCGGGTGTGGTTGCGGGTGCCTGCAATCCCAGCACTTTGGGAAGCTGAGGCGGGTGGATCACTTGAGGCCAGGAGTTCAAGACCAGCCTGGCCAAAGTGGAGAAACCCCATTTCTACTAAAAATACAAAAATTAGCTGGGCATGGTGGTGGACACCTGTGATCCCAGCTATTTGGGAGGCTGAGGCAGGAGAATCGCTTGAACCCGGGAGGTGGAGGTTGCAGTGAGCCGACATCGCGCCACTGCACTCCAGCCTGGGCTACAAGAGCAAAAATCCATCTCAAAAAAAAAAAAAAGAATTTTTGTCTTTAGTTTTCAGAAATTTCATTATGTTGTATCTGGGCATAGATTTCTTTGGTTTATTCTTTTTGATATTGATCTGAAGGTTTATGTCTTTCACCAAATTTCAGAAGTTTTCATTCATTATTTTTCAAGTAATTTTTTCGGCTCCACACTCTTTCCTTCTGGGGCTCTGAGGACACAAACGTTTGGTCTTTTGTTATTGTCCTGCTGGTCCCTGAGGCTGTGTTTTGTTTCTTTTCAATTTGTTTTCTCTCTTGTTCAAATTGGACAGTTTCTTTTCCTCTGTTCTTCAGGTTTATCAGTGCTTGCTTTTGTCATTTCCATTTTGCTGTGGAGCCCATTCAGTGAGATTTTTGTTTCTGTTTCTAAAATTTCCATTTTGGGTTTCTTTTTCCTTTTTTTTTGTTGTTGTTGTTGTGGTTGTTGTTTTTGAGACAGGGCCTTGCTCTGTTGTCCAGTCTGGAGTGTGGTAGTATGGTCATAGCTCACTGCAGCCTTGACCCCCTGGGCTCAAGGGACCCTCCCACCTTAGCTTGCCAAGTAACTGGGACTACAGGCTACAGGTGTGCACCACCACACCCAGCTAATTTCTTTTTATATTTGTAGAGATGGAGTATCACTATGTTGCCCAGGCTGGTCTTGAACTCCTGGCCTCAATTGATCCTCCTGCCTCAGCCTCCCAAAGTGTTTGGATTACAGGCATGAGCCATCACAGTTGGCCTTAGTTTTCTTTATATCTTACTTTACTGGAACTTTCATTTTGCCATAAGTTTTAGAGTGTATTAAATTGCTTGCTGGAGTTTTTTGTTTGTGTATTTGTTTGTTTTTTTTAGAGACAGGGTCTCGATCTGTCACCCACGCTGGAGTGCAACGGCATTATCATGGCTCACTGCAGCCTGGGCCTCCTGGGCTCAAGTGACCCTCCTGCCTCAGACTGCTGAAGAGCTGGGGTTATAGGTACATACCACCTCCATGCCTAGCTAATTTTTTTTTTTTTTTTGTAGAGATGGGGTTTCACTATGTTGCCCAGGCTGATCTTAAACTATTGGCTTCAAGCAATTCTCTCACCTCTACCCTCCCCAGTAACTTGCTGGAGTTTTGTTATGACTGCTGCTTTAAAATCTTCATCCCATAATTCCAATGTCTGTGTCATCTTGGTGTTGTCTATTTCATTCACATTGAGATTTTCTTGGTTGTTAATATGACGAGTAATTTTTTTTTTAATCAGAGATGGAGTCTCACTATATTGCCAAGGCTGTTCTCAAAACTCCTTGGCTCAAGTGATCCTCCTGCCTTGGCCTCCCAAAGTACTGGAATTACAAGCAGCCTCCTGTAATTTGTTACTGTATCATGGACATTTTGAGTGTCACATTATGAAATTCCAGTTCTTATTAAATCTATGTTAATTCTGTCTTTTCTTTTGTCAGGTAGTCAGCCTTTCTGGGTTCACACTGCGCATCCTGGCCCGCTCTGGTGGGCTGAGGTTTGAATGTCCATTACTTTCCAGAGCCTTGATGATGCTATTTTCCTCTGCCCATACATGAGCTACCAAGTGGCCAGTTAAATCCTGGGCAGTGTCCCCCGCCAGGCCCGGTTGTCAGAGGTTTTGCTGTGCTGGTTCTGTGGATTCTGGCTGGTTTTACACGGCAGCTCCTCAGGGGTCTTCACGCAGACCTCCTTCCTCCTGTGACCCTCCCCACATGCTCTCCCAGAAGCCCAGCTGGCCTTTGTCCACAGCAGGCTGCAGGACCATGGGCTGGCAGGAGGGCAGGTGTGGTCCCAAGGGCTCCACCTGCACGTCCCCGTCTTCTTGCTCCGTTGGTCCCAGGAGCAGCTTCTCTTCGGCCTTTTTTTTTTTTGGTCTGAGCTCTGGGTTGTGGCTGCCTAGCACCAGGCCAGTGTGTGCAGGAAGGAGACGAGGGACTCCTTGCCAGCCACCCCTGGGATCCGAGGCCCCTAGACACTCAGCCTTCATTTCTCACTGTTCAGAATTTTCCCCTAGTGAGGCTTTTTGTGTTCTGGCTGGGCCTTTAGCTGAGATTAGCAGGCAAAATGCGGGTGGACTGTAGGGGCTCCGTCGGGTTAAACCGCCCGTGCAGTTCTGGGATGAATTCAACATGTAGTGATAGATTCTTCTTTTTATAGTTTGACAGATTTGGTTTGCTGATACTTCTTTTGTTTTTTGTTTAAATGAGACACAGTCTCGCTCTTTGACCAGGCTATTCTTGAACTCTTGGGCTCAAGCCATCTTCTTGCCTTGGCCTCCTGTGTAGCTGGGATTACAGGTGTGAGCCACCACACCCAGCTTGGTTTGCCAGTGTTTTATTGAGAATTATCACATTTATGTTCATGAGTAAGACTGGCCCATAATTTTCAATTCTCATAATGTTCATGGGAGGTTTTGGAATCAGAGTTACGCTGGCCTCATAAATATGTTGGAAAGTATTCTCTATTTTTCCGTTTTCTAAAAAAGTTTGTATCAGACTTATATTAATTTTTCTTAAATAATTGGTAGAATTCAACTTTGAAACCAGCTGGGCCTGGAGTTTTCCTTGTGGGAAGGTTTAAAATTGTGTATTCAGTTTTTTTCATAGTTGTAGGACATTTGGATTTTCTTTTTTGTACATTTTTGATGTTATATTTTACTAAGAAATTGTCCATTTCATCTAAATTTTCAAATTTTTGACATAAAGTTGCTTATAGTATCCTATGAGTTTTTAAATGTCTGTGGGATCTGAAGTGTTGACTCCTTTTTGCCATTAATTATATTGGTCATTTGCTTCTATTTTTTCCTTGCTTAGTATTATTGGGTGTTTATTTTAGCCTTCTCAAAGAATCAACTGTTGATTTTGTTGATTCTCTATTATACATTTATTTTCTGTTTCCTCAGTATCTAATACTAACGTTATCTTTTCTTCCTCCTACTTTATTTGGCGTTTTTTTGTTTGTTTGTTTTTGTTTTTTTTGAGACAGAGTCTCACTCTGTCACCCAGGCTGGAGTGTAGTGGCACAATCTTGGCTCACTGCCACCTCCGCCTCCCGAGTTCAATCGATTCTCGTGCCTCAGCCTCCCGAGTAGTTGAGACCACAGGGGCGCACCACCACGCCTGGCTAATTTTTGTATTTTTTTTTTAGCAGAGACAGGGTTTTGCCACATTGGCCAGGTTGGTCTCCCACTCCTGACCTCAGGCGATCTGCCCACCTCAGCCTCCCAAAGTGCTGAGATTACAGGCGTGAGCCACCGTGCCTGGCCCTATTTGGCTTTAATTTGGTCATTCTTTTTAAATTTATTTTTCTGTGTGTGTGTGTGACAGGGTCTCGCTCTGTTATCCAGGCTGGAGTGCAGTGGCTCAGTCATAGCTCACTGTAACCTTGAATTCCTGGGATCGAGGGATCCTCCTGCCTCAGCCTCCCAACGTGATGAGATGACAGGGATGGGCCACTGCACCTGGCCCCTCTAATTTCTTGAGATGAATGTTTAGCTCATTGGTTTTTGGCCTTTCTTCTTTTCTAAAATATTTATCTAAAGCTGTAATTATTCTTGGAAGGACAGCTTTAGATTCATTCCTGAAGTTTCTAAGGTAGTATTGTTGTTATCTTTCCATTCAAAATAGTTGTTAATGTCCATTGTGATTTTTTTCTTTGACCCTGTGTTATGTGGCATCTTTTTTCTTCATTTCCAAGCAAGTGGCTCTTTACTTGGACAGACTGGAGCAATTGGTCTCTATCAGACATTACGTGGTAAGGTCAGACTTTTTCCTACAAGGATTCTTGCTTTCTTTACATGAGGATTATGCTTTCTGTACAGCATCTCTAATCTTCACGTGGACCAGATCTGCTGACTCCAATGAAGAACAGCTTCGCATTGGGGTCAGCCGCTGGTGCCATGGCCTCACGGGAAAGGGAGAGCTGATAGAGATGTGTGTCTCCCCAGAAAGGTCTTCCTTTGTTCTCAGGTATGAGCTGACAGAAGCCACTCTTCTCTGCAGGAGGGTCTGCCCAAGCTGGTCAAGCCGGAGGGTCTGTCCAAGCTGGTCAAGCAGGAGGATCTGTCCAAGCTGGCCCAGTATCCTCTGGACTGGCACTCAGGAAGCTCGGGGACAGAGTGCAGCTCCTAAACCTGCTGGTGACACGACTCAGACAGAAGGTGAGGCAGTCAAGTTTGTGGGGTCATCCTCCTAGAGAGCCGCTGCTGGGGGAGAGCGCGTGGGCTCTGAGCGGCTGCCCGGTGCGACCCCAGGTGACCTCGGGCATCCACTGACCTCTCTCTGCCTGTTTTTTTCTGAGGAAGGGGCTGTGGGGAGGTCCTAGGAACCGGTTCATCTCAGGTGTGCTCGTGGAAGGCGTGCCATGAGAACCTGGGAAGCATGGTCTAGGCAGTGGAGGCAGCACTGGCGGCCAGAACACCAGGCCCTGGCTGTGCCCGCTCAGAGGGGTCCTGGTCAGTGGGGCGTGTGTGCGGGCTGCCCGATGCCACCTGCCCGCTCAGAGGGGTCCTGGTCAGTGGGGCGTGTGTGCGGGCTGCCCGATGCCACCTGCCCGCTCAGAGGGGTCCTGGTCAGTGGGGCGTGTGTGCGGGCTGCCCGATGCCACCTGCCCGCTCAGAGGGGTCCTGGTCAGTGGGGCGTGTGTGCGGGCTGCCCGATGCCACCTGCCCGCTCAGAGGGGTCCTGGTCAGTGGGGCGTGTGTGCGGGCTGCCCGATGCCACCTGCCCGCTCAGAGGGGTCCTGGTCAGTGGGGCGTGTGTGCGGGCTGCCCGATGCCACCTGCCCGCTCAGAGGGGTCCTGGTCAACCGGACGCATGTGCTCCATGTCAGTGTTGAGCCACACTTCATCTGAGATACTAGGGCCCCGGCAAGCGCTGTTCTTTTCAACCTCCTGGGCCCTTGCCTTTTGGGGGTCGGGTCCTACTCCTGCTGGGACCAGTATCTGCATCCAGCAGCGAGCCCACCCTGTTTCCCATGGGGCTGGGGTCACTACCTCGGTTTGACTGCTACATATTCCTAACATCGTTTTGGCTTTTACTTTAAAAAATTGTGTGGCCAGGCATGGGGGCTCACACCTGTAATCCCAGCACTTTGGGAGGCCGAGGTGGGCGGATCACCCCACTCCTGAGGTCAGGAGTTCGAGACCAGCCTGGCCAACATGGTGAAACCCCATCTCTATAAAATACAAAAAATTAGCCGGGAGTGGTGGCGGGTACCCATAGTCCCAGCTACTTGGGAGGCTGAGGTGGGAGAATCGCTTGAACCCAGGAGGCGGAGGTTGCAGTGAGCCGAGATTGTGCCATTGTACTCTAGCTTGGGCAACAGGAGCGAAACTCCATCTCAAAAAAAAAATTTTTTTAATTGTGGTAAAATTCATTAATATATAACAAAGTTTACCATTTTGGCCATTTTAAAGTGTACCTTTCAGTGGCATTAAGCACATTCACAATGTCGTATAAACATTCTCACTATTCATTTTGGCCATTTTAAAGTGTACCTTTCAGTGGCATTAAGCACATTCACAATGTCGCATAAACATTCTCACTATTACCGGAGCTTTTCTCCCCACCCCAGATAGAAGCTCGGTACAATAACCACACAGCAGTGTCACCCCTTCCCTGCTTCCCAGCTTCTAGTAAGTATTCCACCCCCGTCACAATCAATTTGTCTACTGTAGGGACCTCATATTAACACAGTCCTATGGTAGTTGTCCTTTTGTGCCCGGCTTCTTTCATTGAGTAGAATGTTTTCAGGGTTCAGCTCTGCATATGTCAGAACGTCATTCCTTCCCATGGCTGACATATTCCATTGTATGGAGGAATCACATTTTGTTTATCATTCATGCACTCAACATTTGGGTTGTTTCCGCTGTTTGGATTGTGCATAATGCTGCTGTGAATGTTCCTGTGTAAGTTCCTGTGTGGACTTATGCAGAGTTCAGTTCTCCTGGGTGTACACCTGGGAGCGGAATTGCTCTGTCAGACGGTCACCCTGTGTTGAACCCTTTGAGGAGCCACCGTGCTGTTTTCCCCAGACATTAACTCTGTGTTTAACCCTCTGAGGAGCCACCGCACTGTTTTCCCCAGCAGCCACACGATTTTACCTCCACCAGCACTGTGTGAGGGTTCCGGTTCCCCCATCCCCACCA